>NC_000004.12:30571105-31195200 GCF_000001405.40 Homo sapiens | reverse complement strand
CATTTATCAACTGTGTGTTTACAAAATTAATCTTACAAAAGTGGGCACAGATTCTAGAGTCATCTCAACACGTTTTTTTAGTGTATTGTTTGCACGGGAATTTAGCCAATGTTTCAAAAATCCCCTTGGCTCTAAATTTATCATTGTGCAATCATAATTGAAAGGAAAATAAGAGTTCATCTAACCTTTCTCTAAGCAGACTTGTTAGGGTCACATTCAAAATGAATGGATAATTGTTTGGATTTCTGTTCCAAATCTTGCCTTTTGCTAGAAGTAACAATGACCCGTGGTGATACCCTAAGGCTAATATTGTTCCTGTATTGTAATAAGCATATTGATTTGTTTGTTTATTTTTTTGTGGAAACATTAAGTAAAAGCAGGTGATACACGCATGGGGTTGGGGCCCAGAATCTGGTTGATTAAATAAAAACTCTTTTACTCTGTTTCCTCTAAAGGCTTATGATCTTATTTTAGCTATGCTTCTTTTTAGAAAATAATAAAAACAATAAAGGACAATTTGGGGCAATAGTCAGAAAGTAAAAACCTCACAGTCACTGGGACATTCATTCAAGAAATAGGTACATAATATTTATTTTACCTAATATAGCGCTGGACATTATACAGGAAATAATACAAAAATAATAGAAAGTCTTTAACCTGAAGGAACTTAACATGAAAGATTCTGATTCTTGTTGGGATTTGGAGATGTCAATTACTCACCCTCTTGCTCTCTAGGTTCCCCATGGCAAATCCTAGGCAAAAAAGAGAAGAGAATGAAAATGTCAACTTTATTAATGGCCACCTAAATGCAGATACCTCAGTAAAGGTGGATTAGAGGACAGAACTGTATGTATAATCAAAATGCAATGGACACGATCTACCACTCTTACAGCCTCCCGTTTTTCTTCCCTCCCCACAATAATTCAACACTAATTTCTCTCGATTTGCCCACAATTAGGCTAAATGTGACAAAACAAATGCTTATCCAATACAACAGGAAAGACCGTTTATCCTTAGGGATTAATATGCATTTTATCTCCCTGTCTGAATGTCTCAAGATAACCTAGTGTTACACAGCAGCTTCTTCTAGTGCGATAGGCCCTGAGCCTCCCTAAATAGTGTTGGAATACACCAGCTACCTGACATCTTCAGTATCTTTCATTAACATATCTCAGCCCCTGAGTCCTGCTAAGGGCCCATGTTGTGTGATTTTTGCAGTCCTAAAATTTACAGCAAAACTCTCAAAGAAATGACTAGGAAGATTTTAGGAGAAGCCCAACACCTTATTCTGTATAACTTCGTTAATTTATATCTACTTAGAGAGAAAAAGAAAATGAATCACTGCACAAGAGCTCCAGAGAAACCTTTAGAGTGTGTATTATAAAGTTGCTTTGAAGCATTGAAAACATGAAATGGGAATGAATTAAACTGATATCATTTCATTTCACTAATGAGCAAATATTTAAACAGCTTTATTTGCCATCTGGATGGCTGCCAATAGGAAAGCTCCTTCAATAAAGAGTTGCTATCCTCTTGCTTATTAAAGCTGTGTTTTTTACATATCTGTCCTCTTTCAGGTTTTTAGTGAAAAATATAAGAATATTAAAATGAAAGGGTCAGGAGTCAAGCAACATTAAAATATTTTAGCTTACATCATAGGCATATGAACTAATTAGATTAGCATATAATTACGGAAGTCTATGTTAACATATAGAAGGAAGCTGATACAGAAAGAAGCAAGCTGAAATATTTTAATAACTTAAAGAACATTATGAAATAACACATTTTTGGTTTTTTTGTGTGTCCTTGTAAGCTACTTGAAATAACACAGTTTTCCACAGTGCCGAAAACTAATAGAGCCAAGCAATCACATGCTTACCTATAGCAAGATTCTCTATGCTTCTGATATAACTATTGCCAATTGTTAACCATAACAGAATTGATGGTAAATACATACATCTCCATACACACGAATCATATTAGTCTGTTCTCATGCTGATAATAAAGACACACCAGAGACTGGGGAATTTATAAAGGAAGAGGGTTAATGGACTCACAGTTCCACATAGCTGGGGAGACCTCACAATTATGGCAGAAGGCAAAGGAGGAGCAAAGTCACGTCTTGCATGGCAGCAGGCAAGAGAGCGTGTTCAGGGGAACTCCCCTTTATAAAACCATCAGATCTCATGAGACTCACTCACTATCATGAGGTCAGCACAGGAAAGACATGCCCTCATGATTCAATTAACTCCCACTGGGTCCCTCCCCCGACACATAGTAATAATGGGAGCTACAATTCAAGATGAGATTTGGGTGGGGACACAGCCAAACCACATCACAAATACACAAGCACAAATACACATCTACTCACACAATAGGATTAATTGGTTTTGGAAATGAGTAGTCTTCTTTCTATATTTGTGATCAATGCCTATGAAAAGAATAGGTGACATGTATACTTAACACTTCCAAAAATAATATTAAGAAGTATTAAAACAAAGTCATGTTCTGTAATCCCAGTGCTGTACCATTCTTTGTCAAATGTAGTTATCACTATAAAGAGCAGTCATATCACTGCTTCCCTGTTAGCACTGGCTAAATATTATTGCTCTGCTATTTCAACAGCAAACTTCAGGCCTTTGGAGCCAGCAGGCTCTCCTCAAGGACTTGCTGATGTGTAGCAAAAATATTTTAGTGTGAAAAAACTACTCCCTAGTGCACTTGTTTGCAAACTGCTGAATTTCTAGATAACTCTAACTATGTTTGAGGACTATTTTTGATAGCGCAAATCTGGTGCTGAAATGCCTCTAAAGAATCAACGCTTCTTTTTCCTTTCTTTTTTTCTTTTTTTTTTTTTTACTATTTTTAGTCACAGCATGACAAACCTAGCAGAAACACAAAGCTGCTTGGGTAGTAATTTTTTATTTTGAACGGTAATTTGTTGTGTTGAACCCAGACCTCTCTGTTTCATGCTTACAAAACACTAAGAAGCAGTCAAGTGAAATGCAAATTAATATGAAACTCAAATACTCTACTTAACAGCTTTCAACTTAGTAGACTCAATTGCCAAATGAATCTAAAGCAAAGCTTTAACACTGCTGTTAATTATGCTTTTCTTGCCAGAAACACTTTTGCCATTACCTAGAAACTGTAAAGAATTGTTTTATTTCATCCCGAAATTTCTGTGTAATTTAATTACTGTTTATTTCTGTTTTACCCTCATCTGCTTTCGTTTGCATAAAATCCAGCAACTAAGCAAATACTTCCCCTAACGATTCTGTTTATATGTACACCAAAAACTGAAGTCCATTTAACTACCACAGTAAAGTCTAGTTAAAGTAAGACTGAAGATTTATTTTTCCATTGTTGTAATTTATATAGATTAAGTGAACTTTTGTGTCCTCTACTATTGAGAATATGCTTTTGCATATCGGATTATATCTATTTATACTAATAAATTTTTAACACACTAGAACTTAAATATGTTTATGCAAGTGAAATTGATATGGACAATTGAGACTGTTACACATTTAGTGTTTACACTATAGACATGCATTAGAAAAGCTTTCACCATTTGTATATGAGGTGCTATATGCCATATTACACTCTGGTATTGGAAGGATGAAAAAGGCATTGTGCTCTCTTTGTGGAACTCAACATCTAGTGATAGGATATATATTAAAACACATAATTATAATAAAAAGTATAAAGTATTATAATTGTTTTTCATAAAATCAATATATTTTGTTGTATCATCAGGCATTTAAGACCCATCCACAATGTGTTTTTTGATTCCTCTGGATAACAGGCCCATATATTTCAGGAGGTTGGTAAATGTACTCAGTACTGTATTTTTTGGTCACATTGGATGGAGCATGAACTGTCTGATTTATCACCATTTCTACCACTCCCAACTGTTACACAAAAGACCAGAGTCTCTCTTGGATCACCAAAATCTTTGAGACCCTGAAGTGGTAGTTTCTCTAGTAAATGACATAAACCCTCATGTTGACTGTCTAAACTAAACCCACTTGGGTTTCTGGCTCAAATATTCAATTACAGTACAATTGTATAACTGACAAATCTCCACTTTACTTTTCAGTACGAGAACACATGTCGTCCTTCATACACTCAAGTGACATTACTGACCCACCATCTGCCTTGAGAATTTTTCCTGGTGGTGACAATAAATTTTCATGGATTCATATACACCTGGTCCCATTTGTGACAAAGAGCATGCATTTTAGAGACAGCTGGCCAAAGTTAGGGGCATGCTGTGTGGGTGTGGAATAGGGCACAGTAAACTGGCCCCACATGGGGACTGAACTTTGGCCTCATTAGTAATATACTGTAATCAATTGGTCTCAATAGTCTCTAACAGCTCTATTGAAAATGAACAATATGCTCAGCCATCCACTGTGAATTTGCTCTTTCTTAAGTGTGTCAGACCAGAGATTCTCTACAAATTTTAAATTTGCTCTTTTGTTCTCTCTCATTTCCAAGGAAAAAAGGGCTTACTGCCTACCTTTTTCTCCACATTTCTCCACTAATGTTTTTTCTTCTTCAGGTTGCTTTTTTTTTTTTTTCTGGATCTTTTCCTATTCTTATCACCCATTTTATGTAGGTGAAGGGGCAATTAGTGGTTATAACCTGAGGTATGTTAATGTCATACAGCTTCAAAGAATGAGCCTTAGGCAGTGAGGGCTGAAAAGAGTAGACTTTGAAGGAGAACTTTTGCTTTCCAAAAAATATTAATACAATTATCTTGCTAAATTAATTTGACCCTCCAGGTAATGTGAGGATAGGGCTGTTGTGGTACGAAATACCAGTGGTTTTCTATTGCAGCATAACCAACTGCAGTTTTAGTCTCATGAACATTCAAAGCTGGAAAAGTCCTCACAGTACATCTAGCCCACTGAAACCCAAAGAAATTAAATATTTTTTTCAACATTCCAAAAGCCAGATAATGCAGAGTTGAGTTTTACATTAGTTAAGGGATACACTGAGCTGCGGTAATAAGGAAACCAAAACAAAATGATTTGAATAAATTTCTCTTTGAGATAACAAAACAGAGGTGTGGTCCAGGGTTGTTTTATAGGTTCTGTCATCTTTAACTTACAGCATTCATTTCTGAGTGAAAAGTAGATTCTCCAGTTGTCACCAACTCCCAGCCAGTGGGACAGGAAAATAAAGAATTGGAAAGTGTATACCAATTGTTATCTGTCACTTCTCACATTTCTTTGGCCAGAAGGTAGTCACATGGTATATGTAGCTCTGTGCAAAAGATTCTGAGAAATGTATTCGCTAATTGGGCACATTTTTTGCCCAGCTCACACTTCAGGGATATCTTTATTATTATTAAACATACATTACTAAAGGGCTAAGAAAGAATGTTAGTTCTTTTATTATTATTAAAAGGACTATTTTATTAAATAGGACTCTGTAAAATGACTAAGAACACAATAGATATGGTTAGATAAGTAGGATTGCTCTAGTAGAATTCTAATATCTTGACTACAATGCTAGGGGTCTTTATAGCAAAATAACTTTACAGTTGATTAACTTATTCTTTTCTTCAAAATTATTATATTATTAATTTCTCATATCAGAACACCATCTTTGTGGTTGCCTTAGATGACCTTACCTCATATCTTCTGTGATCTCTTTACACTATACTTCTGTTTATGTGAGAAAAAGTGGAAAATTTAATGTAAAAACAATTATTTAATGCCATAGTCGATATTTAAGAGTCCAATGCTTTTACCTAACTAGGAAAATTAAATAGAGGTACAGACTCATTGACTTGAGTTTAATCCTTTATTGGATCAAATTACAGTATTATGACATTTGAACCCAGGTGAAGGAATTTCTATATTTATTTCAAAATTAACATATGCCACTAAATGGTATTCAAAAGAACACATGACTTACAAAACAAGTTCTAGTGCTTGGAATATTTGAAACAATTTAATTGCTCAAATAAATATTTGGATAAATGGATGAATACACGAATGAGTGAATCAACATTTCCCAAGAACAATTTTGATATTTTCATAACGGATTAATCTATATAGATTAGGGCTGTGGGCAGTGGCTCACACCTGTAATCCCAGCACTTTGGAAGGCAGAGTTGGGCAGATCACTTGAGGTCAGGAGTTAAAGACTAGCCTGGCCAACATGGTGAAACCCTGTCTCTATGAAAAATACCAAAATAAAATAGCTGGGCGAGGTGGTGCCCACCTATAGTCCCAGCTACTCAGGAAGCTGAGGCAGGAGAATCACTTGAACTCGGGAGGCGATTGCAGTGAGCCGAGATCGCACCACAGCCTTGTCAACAGAGCCAGACTCCACCTAAAAAAAAAAAAAAAGTCTGTATAGATTAAATATTTGTAAACTCCTTGTTAAATTAAATTTATAAATTCCTTGAGAGATGGTTACTGATTGCCTTTTGTCTCCTAGATCATTAAAAATAATTTTGTTTCTTCTTTGACTTTGCATTGAGGGTTCAGTAATGAGAGTAAGTGTGAATCTGCATAAGGTCCAAAGATTGGCTTAGTCTTTTTTGTCCGGCTAGATAAATGCCATCCATTTTTATACCAGAATATTTAAGAGTTAGTAATATAAGTGTCCTTCTAGCACATATCAGTGAAATCCCCCGTGACTTTTGCTGTCTCCATACTCAGGAGTATCAGTGATACTGTATTGTTGTATTTTTCCAAGTCTCCCAAAGCCAAAGCCATTTCTTTTCCCCCTTGTTTTTCCTTTTTCTTGAGTTCCTGTCATCGGTCTCCTTAGCCTTCTAAAACGATATCCCAAAGATTTCCCAATGATAAGCTGTAGCAGCTTTTTAAAGAAGTTTTCCGTTTTCTTTCCTAGTTTTTGGGTACGAGTTAAAAAAAGAAAAAGAAAAAAGCACTACTAGAGACGGTGGGATGTACTGTATTGTTTGTCTGACTATAATGTCTAGTAGTATCTCTTTGTTTCCCTTTCTCTTTGAAAATCTGTGGCCTCCAGCCAGGCCTCTGACCAACCAAGTAGCTGGTACCACACCCTTAGAAACGAGGAAATCTTCCCTTTGTAGGGCTTAACTCTCACTGCCCAGGCATTTCATATCACATGATAGCTTTCCCGTTTCCCATAAATACAATTTACTTTTAGAAGAACTGCATCTAATGTAAAACTGTTGACAACCTTAAGACATTAAATGTAGACATTTCAAAGTACAGAAGTGATTTTTGAAAACATATACCATGTAATCTGGCGGAAGAACTAAGGATACATTAAAATGTATAATAGATTATTTTATTGTAAAACTTCTAAATCTAATAACATAATTCCTTCCTGTCTTTTATAAATGCAATTTTAAGAGCATTTCCAAGATCTGGTTAGAATAAAGTTCCTCTTCATTAATGTTTATTTCTACTAGCTGTAAGCTGGTGACATCAGTACTTCTTTGTTTCTTGATTTTATATCCTAAAGCAAATTTAGACCTATAGAGATGTTTTGCTTTCTATTTTGTTAATTGGCTGCAAATTTCAAGGATTTTAGTGGAGAATAAACTAGAGTGATAACATTTCTATTGATCTGGTCATTGACATATGTTTAAAGCATACAAATGGAAATTAGTTTTATTAGAAAGGCATGCATAAATACATTAGCATTTTTTCACATAAACCAATTTTTCATGGTTCTATGAAATTGCAGTATAAAATTCCTCTGAAGCCAAATTAGCAAAAATAGAACAAATCAAATTTCATTAAATGTAAGGATATATGCATTCTCAAGTTTGCAAAATTAGTGAAACTAATTTTTCAGAAATTAAAACCAAAAAAAGGAGAGCAAAGAAAGAAAAGGCACAGGATACCAGTTGGGAAAAGAAAAAAACCATGAGACCTTCCTTTGAATATTTGAAGAGTTATTCTGTGGAGGGTCTTTTGTTTTGAAGGGCCAAAGAATAGACCTAGGGATCATAGATTAAAATCACTGTGAAACTGATCACATTTTATTATGAAGGCTTTCTATTAATATGAGTCATTGAGCAGGTAATCCACTACCTTATAAGGTTGTAAGGATCCTATTAATGCCAGTGTCCTGAGATGTACCAATGCATTGAGTATTGGACTGAACGAGACCAATTGGTTTAATTTGATGTTTACACTAATACAGTTTGGCTGTGTCCCCACCCAAATTACATCTTGAATTATAGCTCCCAGAATTCCCATGTGTTGTGTGAGAGACCCAGCAGGAGATAATTAAATCACGGGGTTGGGTCTTTCCGGTTCTGTTCTCAGGATAGAGAATAAGTCTCATGAGATCTGATGGTTTTATAAGGGGTAGTTTCCCTGCACAAATTCTCTCTTGTCTGCTGCTGTGTAAGAGGTGCCTTTCGCCTTCCACCATGATCATTAGGTCTCCCCAGCCATGTGGAACTGTGAGTCCATTAAACCTCTTTTTCTTTATAAATTACCCAGTTTCAGGTATGTCTTTATCAGCAGCATGAAACAGACTAATATACACACCAAAATTACACCTGTTATTAATTATGTTTTTTCCCAATTGGCCTGAAATCCTCCTCTTTAGTAATCTCGTAGGGAAAACAAAAACAAAACTAAAGAGAAAAAAAGAAAAGGAATGTTTTTTCCTAGAAGCTTTAAATGAGTATTGTACATATAACCCAGTTGTGCCCTTCTAGGCCTACCCTGTTATCATATTAGTATGTGCTAGATTATCAGAACGCCTTGTTGACATAGATAAAGGAAAGGTGATTTTCAATAAGATTACTGCTGAATACAGCAGCTACCAGTACTGGGAAGTAAGAAGTCCATGGATGAGAATAATGCCGTGGATGGAGGTGTTCATTAATGCTCATTAATAAGGCATACACTGTTTACATTTTGTTCCATCACATTTATTTTAGTCTTAGGTATACTGTTAAAAATATTTAATATCTGCTGTCAGAACTTTTACTATTGTTTCTCCAGTTCTTTCCTGGCTATCTAAAATTAATTTCTCTACTATTTTACTGAAGTGTGGCTCAAGGGTAAACTCTTCCTTGGATTCTTCTATATTACTTATAGACATAAAACTATGTTCACTAGTCCTGGAAAGACTTTGGCTGAATATAAAGTTCTCAGTTCATACTCTTTCTCCTTAAGTGTCACATAGAAATTGCTTCTCTCTTATTTTTGGTTGGATTTTGATGTAGGGAAATAGGCTAGCTTTAACCTTCTCCCTTAAAATTCTTGTTTTGTTAAGTCACTATTGTTGTTGTTTTTGTTTAAGATGTATCTTGATGTTGACCATTCTGTGTCAATTATTCCTCACACGTGGTCTATCCTCACAATATGCTTTTAAAGTTTTGTTTTGTTTTTCTTGAAATACATCATCAGTTTTATCCTCACATATTTTTACACTCTAAGCAAACTATAATTAAATCATATTTTTGTTTTTTAATCTGGGTACTACAGTTGTGCTTATGTTGAACCTCCTTTATCTCCTGTCACTATGTTTTTTCTTCTCGCTCCCTTTGTTACAGCACTTTTTATTTCTTTTCAACCTGTATTACAATTTTTCTTCATGCTCCTCAATCCTTCACTTTATTTTTGTAATGAGTTTGTTTCTTACCTTTCATCGCAACGTTACCACTTTTGTTTCATCTCATCCTATTGAGAGGTGACAGCGTGCTGGCAGCCCTCGCAGCCCTTGCTCACTCTCGGTGCCTCCTTGGCCTTGGCGTCCACTCTGGCCACGCTTGAGGAGCCCTTCAGCCTGCTGCTGCCCTGTGGGAGCCCCTCTCTGGGCTGGCCGAGACTGGAGCCGGCTCCCTCTGCTTGCAGGGAGGTGTGGAGGGAGAGGCGCAGGTGGGAACCCAGGCTGCGCATGGCGCTCACGGGCCAGCATGAATTCCAGGTGGGTGTGGGCTCAGCGGGCCACACACTCAGAGTGGCCAGCCAGCTGGTGCCGCCGGCCCCAGGCAGTGAGGGGCTTAGCACCTGGGCCAGCAGCGGCAGAGGGTGCCCCGGTCCCCCAGCAGTGCCAGCCCGCTGGCGCTGCACTTGAATTCTCGCTGGGCCACAGCTGCCCCACCATGGGGCAGGGCTCGGGACCTGCAGCCCACCATGCCCCAGCCTCCGCCCCGCCGTGGGCTCCTGAACAGCCGGAGGCTCCCCAACGAGTGCCGCCCCCTGCTTCATGGTGCCCAGGCCTGTCGACCACCCAAGGGCTGAGGAGTGCAGGCTCACGGCGCGGGACTGGTGGGCAGCTCCACCTGCAGCCCCGGAGCGGGATCCACTAGGTGAAGCCAGCTGAGCTCCTGAGTCTAGTGGGGACTTGGAGAACCTTTATGTCTAGCTAAGGGATTGTAAATACACCAGTCAGCACTCTGTGTCTATCTCAAGGTTTGTAAACAAATCAATCAGCACCCTGTGTCTAGCTCAAGGTTTGTAAATGCACCAATCAGTGCTCTGTGTCTAGCTAATCTAGTGGGGACTTGGAGAACCTTTATGTCTAGCTAAGGGATCGTAAATACACCAATCAGCACTCTGTGTCTAGCTCAAGGTTTGTAAATGCACCAATCAGTGCTCTGTGTCTAGCTAATCTAGTGGGGACTTGGAGAACTTTTGTGTCTAGCTCAGAGATTGTAAACACACCAATCAGCATCCTGTCAAAACGGACCAATCAGCTCTCTGTAGAATGAACCAATCGGCAGGATGTGGGTGGGGCCAGATAAGGGAATAAAAGCAGGCTGCCAGAGCCAACAGTGGCAACCTGCTGAAGTTCTCTTCCACCATGTGGCACCTTTGTTTTTTCAGGCTTTGCAATAAATCTTGCTGCTGCTCACTCATTGGGTCTGCACTGCCTTTATGAGCTGTAACACTCAGTGCGAAGATCTGCAACTTCACTCCGGAGGCCAGTGAGACCACGAACCCACCAGAAGGAAAAAACTACGAACATATCCAAACATCAGAAGGAACAAACTCCTGACGCACCACCTTCAAGAATTGTAACACTCACATGAGGGTCTGCGGCTTCATTATTGAAGTCAGTGAGACCAAGAACCCACCAATTCTGGACACACTGTTATCTAGCATCACATTCTTGAGATTTTGCATCTTTGCTGCTTGGTTTTTCTTCAAAGAGCTAATTATTATTTTTTTAATTCTTCGTGAAATATTAGTTTGTAATTTTCATTTACTCTCTTAAAACAAATTTTGAGTGAGATGGTGTTGCCTTTTTGATAATTCTACATCCTTTTTTCACTTACTATACCTTTGTGTTGATGCTGTGCTTGCTACTGAGACAGCCAGGTGGGAGGTGGTCCCTGGAGAAACTCCAACCAGCCTGCCCACTGAGGTGGAGCCTTAGGAAGTTCACGTCGCTTGCAGTAGGGAGGAGCCTGGCACCTCTTTTTCTTATGTGTGGAAACTGGGATTCAAGCTGCTGGCAGGAAGTGCTCTAGCGGAGAGACCCTGGTCTCGCAAGAGTCCCTGTTTCCCCCTTTTCTTCCTTTTCACCCAATAAAACCATGTCTCACTCACCATTTAAATTGTCTGCGAGCCTGAATTTTCGTGGCTGTGGAACAAAGAACCCAGTCTTTAGCTGAATAAGTAAAAGTCCTGCAACACTTACTTTTCTTAGTACTCTTCATTAAATGAGTTGTCTTTTCCTTGACTAGCCCTTTTCAGAAGAATCCCATACAGTATATGGAAAAGCTGAACAGCAGGGTCACCTTCCAGACTTCCTGAAACAAAGCTGCTTTTGGTTTGCCAAAGAAACATCTTGCAAATGTTACTTAGTTGTACTGCACAGAGCTCTGCCTCCTCCTTTCCTATTACTTTGTGCCCAGGAAGCCTTTTCCTTCTGATCCTCTTTACCTCAGTTTCCTCCGCTATTATTGTCTACACGACATTTAGTGTTTTCACTTCATGATCATGCCCTCAAATTCAGGAAGTGTGTTTTGCTGGCATATTCTGAGATCTTCATGCTTTCCCCACTCTTCATGTTTTTAATTCACTTTTATTAAATCTTGCTCCACATTTTTGCCCTACTTAGCAGTAGGCTTTATTTTGAAGTCTGTGAATTATATATCTTTTTCTAGTTTTGTTTAATTTTTTTTTTTTTTTTTTTTAAAGATGGAGTTTCATTCTTGTTTCCCAGGCTGGAGTGCAATGGCGCAATCTCGGCTCACCGCAGCATCCCCCTCCCCGGGGCAAGCGATTCTGCTGCCTCAGCCTCCCAAGTAGCTGGGAATGCATGTCCAGCTAATTTTGTGTTTTTAGTAGAGACAGGGTTTATCCATGTTGGTCAGGTTGGTCTGGAACTCCAGATCTCAGGTGATCCGCCTACCTCAGCCACCTCAGCCTCCCAAAGTGCTAGGATTACAGGTGTGAGCCACCGCGCCCAACCAAATGATTTTTTTTTTTTTTAATTCCTAGAAGGAAAGGGGATAGATAACCATTTACACAGCTTTGCTCTTTTAGGAAGTCCCTGTATTGTTATTTTCATTTGAAAAACAAATAGTTGACTATAGGAGATTGGGAAAAGTGAGAAACGAGTTTTGTCTATTGAGTCTGATTTTCTCAACATGGTATTAAGCAATGATCCAGGTATCAAATTATACTCTTTTTTCAACTTGCCTTATGATCAGGTATAGAGAGACATTGTTCTCAAGGATTTAAAATTTTATTTGAAAGGAAGACTATTAAAAAATAGCCATGATATTTTTTAAACAATATTTCTTTACCATTAAAAAAAAGACAAATGCTACAAAAGCCAAATTTTAGCAAGTTTAAGTGTTTACAATGTAGTTTGACAACTCATACAATTTGAGGTTAAATTTCAACAAGACCATCCCTTCTTTTTTCCTGTTTCACTAATTGCACCTGCAATCAGCCAATAGCTTGCTCAAGAGGTTAATTACTTGCACCTGCATTTTTGCACCTGTAATTTTGGTGACCTTTTGAAAGTAATATGCATGCTTCTATTCACATATCTAAATTGCTAAGCTAACCAAATCATAGATCTCATCTAAAATGTTCAATTTTTTTGTTAGTGTTTTCGAGGTGAATTTGGAAATAAGCAAAAGAGTTGACAATGTTTTAATTTTAAAAAGTCGAGTTCATTGTATGGTAAAGTGAACAACTGATGACATTTTTCAAAGGAACAATCCATACAAATAAACAAAAATGAAACTTAAAGATCATTTTAAAGTGTTAGACATAATACACATATTATATGAAAATGAATGCTATTTCAAAAAACAATAGGATATCTCTCTAATCTTATAAATGATGTCTGCTTTTGTCTTGACGTGTCTCATGGAAGATTCAAAGGTTATATTTAAAAGCTGTTCTTTATACAGCCTGAAACGTCACCTCTGTAGAAGAGAAGAATAATTGGGGCTCCTGGACCCTTAAGATTTTTATCTTTTGTTAAGTGATGTCTAAGTTCAGGTCCCGGTAATTTGAAATGAAGTCAAACAGACAAACCACTTAACCTGAGATGAAAATTAATGGTTGGAAATAAATTAACTCCCTAAATATTTAATTACTTATAGACATAAAAGTCAGTGGCAAGGACCAAAGGTAATCTTTTGACACATTACTGCTCAGCAGGATATTTCTGACTGAAATATTTGATTTTTTTTTTTTTTGAGACGAAGTGTCTCTCTGTCGCCTAGTCTGGAGTGCAGTGGCGCGATCTCGGCTCACTGCAACCTCCGCCTCCCGGGTTCAAGCAACTGTCTGCCTCAGCCTCCTGAGTAGCTGGGATTACAGAAGCCCGCCACCACACCCAGCTAATTTTTTCATATTTTTAGTAGAGACGGGGTTTCACCATGTTGGCCAGGCTGGACTCAAACTCCCGACCTTGTGATCCACCTGCCTCGGCCTCCCAAAGGGCTAGGACTACAGGCATGAGCCACCACACCTGGCCGAAATCTTTGATTTTTAGGAGATATTAATAGGAAAGTAAATTTTAAAAAATTGTAAGTTAAATGACAACCCTAGTTTGTTCTGATAATATTTGAATCTATGGTCTGTGTTCTGTCTCAAATATGTTTTTTAAGTGTTCTTTCATGCATACTGAAATCCCACCAGCACAGAACTAAGAAAAATATTAGCTTGTTGAGACCTTGAAAACTTTAGAAGCAATAAAGCCACCAAAACTGACCAAATGTGTTGCCAACTGGGAGTCCACACAGATTTGCTTGTACATTTCCTGTGTCTATTATTCTCATTCATAATGTTGAGTGTGCAAAGGGGAGAGGGAAGATTATTACAAGTGGTTCTATCCTGTTTCTGGATTTGCCAGGTCTATGACCCCTGACCAAGAATTGTGTTGCTGAATTACACTTAGGTAATATGCTGTTGCCCAAATTAAAGGACCTCATAAGAAATTGCTGATGAAAGATGGGGCAATTATTTAGTGAAACCGTGTTTCACTGGGTTAGACCTTATTCTTTTTATCAGCACCCACAAGGAATGTGCTTCTGGACTTTTGCAGAGTAGTTATGTTTCCTTTGAGCCGGTAGTTCATTTTTGTATTAGAGATATTATGAACATCTAGACTTGATCTATTTTCTTCTTCCTGTCAGTTGACAAGAAGCTTAAAGCAACATCATGATCAACCATCAAGAAGAGATTAGCATACTGACATGCATTTTATGTATTCTTCATTTTATTCCCCTGCTTACATTTTCTCTTTGCTCTTCATTTTCCTTATTTATTTGTGGGATGTGGAATGATATAACAATTACCTCAAAAAATCAGATATGTACTGAAAGCTGATCAAAGAAGCATTAACTGTGATTTATTAGTATTCTAACATTTTAGAAACAAATAAACAAATAAGAAGCTGGTATGAAGAAAGATGACTGTTTTCTTGTGAATCTCCTGCTTTTTCCTGGAGAATAAAATATGTGTGTGTGTGTGTGTGTGTGTGTGTGTGTATGTAAACTTATGTGGCAGTCACAATGGTTACTAAAATACCACTCTCCTGCTAACAGGATCTTAATTTTCTTAAGCCATCAAGCAGTAGTTATTTTATCTTACAGAAAGTGGGCCTAAACCTCTTCATTTAGGAAGTGGTCATTATCTATTTCTCCTGAAAGTGATAAAGAAGAAATCTGCTTAGAGTTTTTGTGGAAAGATAATTTTACAAAGAGGAAACCTGCATGAGAAGCTCTCTTACTGCTTGTAGCTTATATCCCTGTCTTAGAAGGAGGTCTTGTTATCTGGAGCTGTGGCAGCCTTCTTGTAAGCAAGAGGCAGCAAACCTAACCTAAAAGGCCAAAATGGGATCAGAGGATTGTGGAGTAGAAAGATGGAACCATCCTGGGATCTTTATGCTGCTGCTGAATAGCTGAACCATTATTTTCAATATTTCACCTCCAAACTAATTGTTGCATGGAAGAAAAAATATTTTTCATGGTACTTTTAATGGCAAAAGCCACAATTACATGTGCACCAATCTAATATTTTTTAATGTTACTTACAATTGAATGTGATCAATGATATAATCTTAAAAGACAAGGATTAGGAATATTTGCAAGCCTAGCCATTTTTTCTTAGTGATTTATCAAAGAACAAAGGATGAGCTCTTCTATAGTCACAATACTAAAGTTTATTATCTTTTCCTGTATAATAAGTAGTCTGACAACTTCCTTTCTCTGCCTGTATTGATAGCTGTCAAAATAGTATTACCAGAAAAATCTTACCCATGAGTATTTTTACTTTTCTAATTTTTTAATTTTTAATCTTACGAATAAGACATAATTTTAAAAAATTATTTTCAGCAGTTAATAATATATTGGCTACCTTTCCAAAACTGATATTTTGGATGCAGATATCTCTTGTATTTTTGAGGCAGGCTTATTCAAATTACATTTTAAAAAAATACAATGAGGGACCATTTTGCCTTTAACACATAGTATACTTTAATGTGTCAAAAGAAAAACCTGGTGCTTACTTCAGTAATTTTGGATTCCAATGGGACAATATGTACAGAAATAAGAAAAAAACCCACAGAGAATTTCAGAACCTCTCAGAAATCAAAATTAATGTACATTTATGAATGCCAGTAATATAACAAATAGCGAAAGCTATTTGTAAAAAGAGTATTAAAAATGCAGAACTATGAACAATAATATGACATTAAAGAAACAGAAAAATATCAGAGAAGTAATAGTGTATAGATAATATTTAGAAAACATCTACAGTTTGCCTGATATGATGTCAAAAACCTTTCATATAGGGTTTTATGTAAGTCTTCCAACCAGCCTACCAACTGGATTATATTCTCTCCATTTTACAAGTGAGAAAACTGAGCCCTGGGGAGATTAGTTATTTACGGTTACACAGCTAACAATTGAAGCCAGAATTGATTCACATCTTAAGTATAATTTTAAAGCCTATACTTCAACAACTATATGATAATGTCTTTTAGTAAATATATTAATAAAACAGCATATATTCCTATACAGATCGCAACCGCATTTTATCTAGCATACATTTATATATTCATCTATGTCCAAAACTCTATTCTTTGAAATGCTTCAGAGATTTTAGAACTAAAGTCAAAGGTTACAATTTGAGTATTCTTGTAATGCAAAATGTTGTCATTATACATATTAGCCAAACTGTTTTCAGCAAGTAACCATTTTCATTTCTATTTCTCAATTAGTGTTAATCACACTGGTTATGTTGTTTACAGTATACAAGAAATAACAAGAAGAACCAGTTGAGATTGAAACAGCCAAAACAAGACTCACATTAGATACAAATACCTGAATTGTAAATAATTTGAATCAGATCATACACTGAATAAAGAGAAAACTTATTTAGATATCCAAGAACTAGCAGAATTTTCAGTTAAAATGGTGTAGTATGGTATTTATCTCTTGATATTTACGCTTTGATGTTATTTCTTCCCTTAATGTATCTTTGCATTATTCTGAAAGAATGTACCAATCTAAGAAAATGATATGATTTTTGTCTAACAGATATTCAGGTTGATTTCTACCAGCAATACTGTCTGTCTGTTCTGGGATGTAATGCAGGATAATGAACACCACACGTCTAACCTTCAGCGGCCAAAGGGGTGACTCTCTACCAGTGTTTGGTAGCAAAAGGCAAAAGGCAACTGAGAAAAATTTTAGAGCCTAAGGGAAACATATGCCCCTACATACACTTATCAAAATGTCCTTCCATGTTTAGAGTCAAGTGGAAGAAATTAATAAAATTTCTAGGCCAGGGGCAGTGGCTCAAGCCTGTAATCCCAGCACTTTGGGAGGCCAAGGTGGGCAGATCACGAGGTCAGTAGATCGAGACCATCCTGGCTAACACGGTGAAACCCCGTCTCTACTAAAAATACAAAAAATTAGCCAGGCGCGGTGGCAGGCACCTGTTGTCCCAGCTACTCGGGAGGCTGAGGCAGGAGAATGGCGTGAATCCAGAAGGCGGAGCTTGCAGTGAGTGAGCCAAGATCGCACCACTGCACTCAAGCCTGGGCGACAGAGCAAGACTCCTTCTCAAAATAAATAAATAAATAAAAATAAAAATAAACAACTCTACATTCAAAAAATGTGACTATATATTAAAGCTCACATTGTTCAATTTGTTCCCACATCATTTTCAACCCTTATGAACCCACCCGGCAAGGATACAACATATATGCAGCCCAGGACTTCAGGCTGATTATAAAGGACTGTTTCCTTGCACAATAGCACGGGTTGGCAAAGCAAACAAAAAAGACAACAGCTTGTCTTGTAAAATTTGGTGTTTTGCACTTCATATTTTGCACTGATTTTGATTTGCTTAATATATTGCTTTAAAATATTATTTATCTTAATTACTGAATGTTTTGGCCCCTTAAACTTTGCACCTGAGGTAAGCACCCCACTTTCACCAACAAAATCCCAGTCCTAATCTCTATGATCTATTTTAATTTTATATGCCAACAGTCATAGTACAGTCAGGCATGACCAAAGAACATTCTCTGTAATAAAGACCCTTGAGGACACATTGTGGTATGTCTTTTGGAGAGGTGAAGAAAAAAAAAAAATCAATAAAAATAAATAAATAAAAAGGAGTCATATCAAGCAATTTCCTAAACCAAGGGTTTTCTTAGAAAATGGAATAATAAGGCCAGGCGTGGTGGCTCACACCTGTAATCCCAGCACTTTGGAAGGCTGAGGCGGGCGGATCATGAGGTCAGGAGATCGAGACCATCCTGCCTAACACAGTGAAACCCTGTCTCTACTAAAAGTACAAAAAAAGTTAGCTGGGCTTGGTGGTGGGTGCCTCTAGTCCCAGCTACTTGGGAGGCTGAGGCAGGAGAATCGCTTGACCTGGGAAGCCGAGGTTGCAGTGAGCCAAGATCGTGCCACTGCACTCCAGCCTCGGTGACAGATTGAGACCCTGTCTCAAAAAAAAAAAAAAAAAAAAAGAAAGAAAGGAAATAGAATAATATGGGGAGAGAGAAGATAATTGCCTTACCTAGCTTCATGAGCTTAGAAACAGCATACAGGTGGAGGTGAAAAGCCATTTCATGCTTCTTCTTCTGTAAGAAGCTAAGATGTTTTCTAAAAGTAAAAGTAAAAGTAAAGAAGATTTGACTACTAGAGAGTAAAGATTAAAAAATTGTATGAAAATGATCATATCCAAATATGTGTTTTCTTTTCCAAAGTGGTCATCATATTTATTTACTAATTCCAATGAAGTTCTGATAAATATTTTGGAATTAATTCCTTTGACTCACTCTCAGAGCTAGATGATGAGCCCTAGGAGGGAAGCAGTCTTCTTACGTTAGAGACAGAGCATATTTTGTCTGAAATACTTTTGCCAATTTAAGTGCCTATCACTTACATGAAATTAATTTGGCCTATTGCTAGAAACCAAGTCTACTTGCTAAGGATGGCCATATGCCAAAATTAATTGAATTTCAACAATTTGGGCAAGCTTCAAAGATATTGCAAAAGTAGAAATTAGAGAAAAACTGAATATATGATTTTTGAAATAAATGAATAGAAGCCAAATTTTCAGAAACTAGTTCACATTTGTCTATAAATGCACTAACAAGTTTGACAAAAACTAAGTTGAATTATTTTATCTTTATACCTCATAAGTGATCTGCAGTTAATGCCCTCCTACGAGCTACAGATTGGTAATTATGCTGGTTTTCTATAGAAAGATTATAAAGTAAACCAATAAAAAAACAAAAACATAAATATATATATATGTAGTCACATCTGGTCAATAATAATTCTCAAACATTTCTTCTCAGTAAGTTCAAATCAGCATGCAGGTAAAAGGTGTATCTTCCATCATTAGAACATACTATGGTTTCATTAAGTTGAGCACCAGGCAGAGTAGTTGGATTGTACCTGGGGCCACATTGTCAAAAATACATATTCCTAAATACAATCATGTACGTACATTCTGAGAAATGTGTTCTTAGGCAATTTTGTCATTGTGCAAACATGATAACGTGTACTACATAAACCTTGATGGTATAGCCTACTACACACCTAGGCTATATGATAAAGACTATTGCTCCTGGGCTACAAATCAGTATAGCAAGTTACTATGCTGAACACTGTAGTCAATGTGACAGAATTTGTGTATCTAAACATTTCTAGACATAGAAAAGGTACAATAAAAACATGATGGAAAAGATTTAAAAAAGTACCCCTGCATAGGGCACTTACCATGAATGGGGCTTGCAGGACAGGAAGTTGCTCTGGGTGAGTCAGTAGGTGAGTGGCGGTTGAGTGTGAAGGCCTAGGCCATTACTGTACATTACTGTGGACTTTATAAACACTGCACTCTTAGGCTACACTAAATTTATTTTAAAATATTTTTCTTGGCTGAGTGTGGTAAGATTACACCTGTAATTTCAGCACTTTGGGAGGCCGAGGCAGGCAGATCACTTGAGGTCAGGAGTTCAAGGCCGGCCTGGCCAACATGGTGAAACCCCATCTGTACCAAGAGTACAAAAAATTAGCTGGGTGTGGTGGTGTGCATCTGTAGTCCCAGCTACTCAGGAGGCTGAGGCCGGAGAATTGTTTGAACCCTGGAGGTGGAGGTGGCAGTGAGCCAAAGTCACACCACTTAAATGGATCAAGGACTTAAATGTCCCCACTCCAGCCTGGGGGACAGAGAAAGGCTCCATCTCAAAATATATATATATATATGTTTTTTCTTTATTCGATAATAATCTGCTTATTGTAACTTTTTTACTTCCTAAACTTTTTACTTTAAAACTTTTTGAATCTGTTGTAATAACACAGCTTAAAAAAGAACAAAGCTAGAGACATCATGCTACTTGACTTTATACTGCAGGGCTACAGTAACCAAAACGGCATGGTACTGGTACAAGAACAGACACATAGACCAATGGAACAGAATGGAGATCTCAGAAATAAGACCACACACCTACAACCAACTGATCTTTGACAAACCTGACAAAAACCAGCAATAGGGAACAAATTCTCTATTTAGCAAATGGTGCTGGGAGAACTGGCCAGCCATATGCAGAAAATTCAAACTGGACCCCTTCCATACACCATATACAAAACTCAAGATGGATCAAGGACTTAAATGTAAAACCCAAAACTATGAAAACCCTAGAAGAAAATCTAGGCAATACCATTCAGGACATAGGCATAGGCAAAGATTTCATGATGAAGATGCCAAAAGCCATCGCAACAAAAGCAAAAATTGACAGATGGGATCTAATTAAACTAAAGAGCTTCTGCACAGCAAAAGAAACTACTAACAGAGTAAACAGACCACCTACAGAATAAGAGAACATTTTTGCCATCTATGCATCTGACAAAGGTCTAATATCCAGCATCTATAAGGAGCTTAATAAGATTTACAAAAGCAAAACAACCCCATTAAAACTGGGCAAAGGACATGAACAGACACTTCTCAAAAGAAGACATACATGTGGCCAATAAACATCACTGAGCATTTGAGAAATGCAAATCAAAACCACAATGAAATATCATCTCACCCCAGTTAGAATGGGTGTTATTAAAAAAATCAGAAAACAACAGATTCTGGTGAAGTTGTAAAGAAAAAAATATGCTCTTACACTGTTCATAAAGTGTAAATTAGTTCAACCATTGTGGAAAACAGTGTGGCAATTCCTCAAAGATCTAGAGGCAGAAACACCATTTGACCCAGCAATCCCATTGCTGGGTATATATCCAAAGAAATGGAAATCTTTTTATTATAAAGACACAGGCATGTGTATATTCATTTCAGGACTATCCACAGTAGCAAAGACATGGACTCAACCCAAATGCCCACCAATGATTGACTGGATAAAGAAAATATAGTACATACACACAATAGAATACTATGCAGCCATAGAAAGGAACAAGAGCATGCCCTTTGCAGGGACATGGATGGAGCTGGAGGCCATTTTCCATATCAAACTAACACAGGAACAGAAAACCAAATACCACATGTTCTCACTTATAAGTGGGAGCAAAATGGTGAGAACATATGCACATATGGTGGGGGAGCAACACACAGTGGGGCCTTTCACAGAGTGGAGAGTGAGAGGAGGGGGAGGATTAGAAAGAATAGCTAGTGGATGCTGGGCTTAATACCTGGCTGATGAGGTGATCTGTGCAGCAAACCATCATGGCAAACATTTACCTATGTACAAACCTGCACATCCTGCACATGTGTTCCTGAACTTAAAATAAAAGTTGGAAGTAGAAAAGAAAAGAAAAAGAAAGTGAAAGCCAGCTCTGGGAACAGAAACAAACAAAAAATAACACTTAGCTTAAAACACAAACACATTGTACATTTGTACAAAAACTATTTTCCTTCTTCATATCCTTATTCTATAAGCTTTTTCTATATTTAAATTTTTAAATTTATTTTTTACTTAGTAAACTTTTTTGCTAAAAGCTAGGACACAAACACAAACAAAAACACCTAGGTTTTTGCTAAAACCTAGGCCCACACAGGGTCAGGATCATAAGTATCACTGTCTTCCACCTCCACATCTTGTCCCACTGAGAGGTCTTCATGGGCAGTAACACTCATGGAGCTGTCATCTCCTAAGATAACAATGCTTACTTCTGAAATACTTTCTGAAGGACCTGCCTGAGGCTGTTTTACAGTTAACTTTTTTTTTTTATAAGTAAAAGGAGTACACTCTAAAAAAGTATAGTATAGTAAATACATAAACCAATAATGTTAGATAGTTGTTCATTACCATTATTAAGTGTATGTACTACCTATAACTGTATGCACGATATTTTTAAAAGACTGGCAGGATTGACCTGGCATGGTGGCTCATGCCTGTAATCCCAGCATTTTTGAGGCCGAGGCGGGCAGATCACCTGAGGTCAGGAGTTCAAGACCAGCCTGGCAAGGAGATGAAACCCCATCTCTACAAAAATACAAAAATTAACCAGGCATGGTGGCAGCTGCCTGTAATCCCAGCTACTCGGGAGGCTGAGGCAGAAGAATTGCTCAAACCCGGTAGGCACAGATTGCAGTAAGCCAAGATGGTGCCATTGCACTCCAGCCTGGGCAACAGAGCGAGACTCTGTCTCATTAAAAAAAAAAAGACTGGCAGCATAGTGGGTTTATTTATACCAGTATCACCATATACATGTCTGTAATGTGTTCTGCTATGATCTTAGAACAGCTGTGACATCACCAGGTGACAGAAATTTTTCAGCTCCGATATAATCTTATGGGACTACTGTCATATACAAAATGTAGTTATGTGATGTATGACTGTACTAGAAACCACTGAATATAGTGATCAGTTCACACTGTGGGACATACGTAGGAACTAAAGCCAAGTAATGGAAAAGTAACTTTATATGCTAGTTTCATGCTAATTCTGGAACTTTTTTTTTTTGAGTGAAATATTGAATAAAGTAAGCTGCACCATTTAAAAGGTATTTTCTGCCCCTCCTGTATATGCATGTGTGTGAGAGGAGCGTTATTTCGTAATTTAATTATTATAAGTAAAAGGCAACTATAATGCAACTACAATGCAACTTCACTATAATTAATTGAAGAGTGATGTCTTATTTGATAATTACATGAGAATTTATTCCTTTGATATGAAGCAAAATGTTCATCTCTCTGTGTGTTAACTAGGTGTTCTATGTGCGGTGCTAAAAGAAGAAAAATAAGGTTTAAGCTAGAATTTGTCGCATGTATTAGAAAACCTGAATTAAAACCCTTGGTCTACAGCTCTTTACTGGAGTGACTCAGTAATTATATAACATTATAAAGTTTTGCTTACTCATCTGAAAAATAAAGGTAAAACAGTAAGAATTAAGTGAAACTGTACACACGTATACACACAAAAAGAGAGAGAGAGGTTTAGCATTCCAAATCCCAAAATACGAAATCTGAAATGTTCTAAAATCTGAAACTGTTTGAGCACTAACAGGACACTCAGGGGAAATGCTCATTGGAGTATTTCAGATTTCAGGTTTTGGATTTGGGGTGCTTAATTAGTAAATACATAATGCAAATATCCCACAATCCAAGAAAATCCAAAATCAGAAATACGCTAGTCCCATTCATATCAATATCGGATCCGTGTGTGGGTGGGTGGAGGGGGTGGGTGTGTGTGTGTGTGGGGGTGGATGTGTGGGTGTTGGGGATGTGTGTGTGTGGGTGGATGGGTGTGTGTGTAGGGGTGTGTGTGGCTCGCTGTTTGTATGTGTATTTTTAAAGTATTACAATTGCTATTTTTGTTTAAAATAAATATGAATTCAGTACACTAATTTGAATTTATAAATATATATATTACACAATGTTTGAAAGTGATCTACAAGTAATTCACTGTAGCATAATAAAGGCACACACACACACACACACACATATATATATATATATATAAAATTTTTACCTGAAAAACTTCATTGGATATATGGAATTCACCTTCACTGTGGGTAGCATATAATCACAGGTTTACTGACTAACATCAAATCACAAAATGAAATCAGGAAATGTAGCCCATGCTTCGTATTACCAAATTAATTTTTCCATGGTGTTTTTATTCACTTTTTCTCCCATTCTTTCTTTCCACACATATATCTGCGTGTGTAATATTTTTTTAAACTGAATCCAGAACCGAAATCAATGACGTATTAGTAAACAGTGATTCTTTCAATGGTAAGCAGACCTGTACCTTCTAAAAGTTCCAGATCTGACTTCTTAAGCAATTGTGGCAGCATCACTTATATGTAACAATAAAGAAAGTATCATAATTACTCAAGGTTCGGAATCATTGCCAGCGTATTAATCAATGGGCTCTACTTAGCTGCGTGGGAGAAAAGGAAGATATTGATGACAGGACGTCTACCTTCAGTTGCTTTTATTACATCTGTTATGAAAGAGGCCCTTTCTAACCTTCACTTATTCATCTTCTAATGGCATAAGAGTCTTTACTTGCAACTCCAAATACCTAGAATGGCTCCTCTGTTCTGATCAAGCTCTGACCTCTTGAACTTGTCCCCAGTAATCAAATGGGTACCTAAGGCCCTGGCAGATGGTTCAGGCTGAACTACTTAAAGTTCCTTTCTTTGGAATTTAGAATTAAAAATAAGAGGTTCCAGTCTCAGCTGGGGTTAGTTTCTTGAGCTGGAGGCATGTAAAAAGCACATGATGAGCCCCGTGGCTCCGTATGAACTGGAGAGCAGGGAAAGCTGGTTTGCAGGGAGACAAGGAAGCAGATGCCCAGGAAGACACAAAGAAAAGAGAAGGGCGGGGATGAGGCACAAATGGGGAAGGGGAAAGAACAGAGAGAGAGAGAGAGAGAGAGAGAGAGAGAGAGAGAAAGAGAGAGAAAGAGATTTCCAAATTCTGTAAGGCTCCCAATTTCCTGTTGCAATACCTGCCTTCCCTTGATTTCCAAAAAAACACATCTGTGTCCTTGGGACAAATTCTTTTGTAGCTTAATCTAGCACATGCTGGTGTTTACTATTTGCAACAAAAATGTTCTCATTTATGCAAACAGCTACCTTCGGACTGACAGCTCTCATCAAGTGAATGGATGTGTCCAAAGCAGAGAAGACACTTAAGCAAATGGTTTAAAAACCTGTGACTGCTCATACATCGGCTCTCATTGATATCCAAATATTTCTGGGATTAAGAGGCACATTCCAGTCCAAAACAGCCCCGGGGAACAAAGCACATTCTCCAACCAACCCCAGGTTGCAAATATCAAGAACATGAAGTTTCTTGGGGCGGTAGATATGCTGGGTGATTTTTACAAGACTAAAGATGATGAGCCTGTTTATATACATTTCCTGAACGTTTTTGGCTCTTCAGGGAATGTCTACTATAAAAAATCAAAACAATCTCTTGCTCCATAAGCAGAGTTGAAAGAACGTATTTTATTAAATTCCAATCCCGGGTGAGCTAAGAAAAAAATTCACATCAAAATTAAAAGCTGAATAGATTTCATAAGAGAAAATATATACAATAAAAATATTTGTAATTAGGTATTTTATCAATTAGAAAACTAAAAACAAAGCTTCATTCCTGACATACCCCATGAGCATTTAGCCTTTAATAATCAGAGAGATTGACAGAAGAGTTATGATATTTTCAAGAATGCTATTTTGAAAAAGGCAATGTTAAAATGATGTTTGGTTCCTAACCTAAGTAGCTAAATCTAGAGGGGAATATAAATTCTCTCTGGGAAATGCCACACAGTTAAAAGTAGAATACTTCAAAAATCCAGAGGAAAGACATGGAGTTTTTAATATAGAGGTTGATTAGAAATGTAAGAACTCATAAGTGTTTCTCAAAAGGACAAAGAATGGAGAAATTTATAAGGAAATCGTTTCTAATCAGGTCAGAAGCCTAGTGAATTGAGTGCTGGCTCACCTGGAGGCTTCAGGTGTTCTAGCTGCTTGTTAGAAAAAAGTAATCAGGCTGGCTGCAGTGGCTCATACCTGTAATCCCAGCACTTTGGGAGGCTGAGGGCAGGTGGATCACACGAGGTCAGGAGTTTGAGGCCAGCCTGGCCAACATGGTGAAACTCCATCTCTACTAAAAATACAAAAAATTAGCCAGGCAAGGTGGTGGTGCCTGTAGTCCCAGCTACTCAGGAGGTTAAGGCATGAGAATCGCTTGAACCTGGGAGGTAGAGGTTGCAGTGAGTTGAGATCCTGCCACTGCCTTCCAGCCTGGGTAACAGAGTGAAACTCTGTCTCAGAAAAAAAAAAAAAAAAAGAAGAAGAAAGGAATCAGTTGCTTGGTCTTAATGGTGTCTTTATCTCAGAAGTGGTATAATTAAGGAGGTAAAGAGCAATGAGACTTGGCCAAAGTGATCATGGAAGAAAAAAATTGAATTTCAAATGAGAGTGTAGGAGTAAGTTAAAGTGAAGCAAAGACCCAGTAAAAGAGCTACCAATGGACAAAGCTATAATAATTTGAGCAATGAAATAATTAAAATAATATTGAATTATAACCCAAAGTATAAAATAAACATCCATGAACCCATACTGATATGAATAAATAATTGAATAAATAAACAAGAAAGAAAAGAACAATCTCCCATGCAGACGAATCCCAAATAATTTACATACTCTACTCAAAATGGTAGGGCACAATCACTCTTTCCTTAATTGTAAACTGTGCTCGGGCCAGGCGCAGTGGCTCACACCTGTAATCCCAACACTTTGGGAGGCCAAGGCGGGTAGATCACGAGGTCATGAGTTCAAGACCAGCCTTGCCAACATGGGGAAACCTCGTCTGTACTAAAAATACAAAAATCAGCTGGGCATGGTGGTGCACGCGTGTAGTCCCAGCTACTCGGGAGGCTGAGGCAGAAGAATCACTTGAACCCGGGAGGTGGAGTTTGCAGTGAGCCGAGATTGTGCCACTGCACTCCAGCCTGGGCAACAGAGTGAGACTCCATCTCAAAAAAAACCAACTGTGCTCAATACTAGCTTCCAAAAAGTGCAATATGGAAAGGAAGAAAAAGAGTAACTTTGCAATAGAGAAACCTGACAAACATTGCATTAGCCAGGTGAGTTGGGTCAATGTCCACAGCGAAGCCTGCTGTTGGTATGCATTCCTGAGAGGACAGGATGAAAATGGAACTTCCCCTCTGTGATATTCCTTTGAAAACACATAACTCCAGTCCAATCATGAGAAAAACATCAGGCAAATAACAATCGATGGGCATTCTACAAAAGACCTGACCAGAGGACCTCACAATTTCTGGATAATTAAAAACAAGGCATGTCCAACATATTTTCACTGCCAAAAGACCCTAAGAAGACACTAGGACTAAACGAAACCTGGTAATTTGGAATAGAAAAAGGACATTAGGGTAAACATTTAGAAAATCTGAATAAAGTATGGATTTTAATTAATAGCAATTGTGAGGGTTAATTTTAGGTGTCCACATGGCTGGATTAAAGGATACTTAGATAGCTGGCAAAGACTTATTTTTGGGTGTGTTTCCAGAGAATATTAGCAAGTGATTTGGTGGACTAGGTGAGGAAGATCTACCCTCAGTGCGGACAGGCATCATCCAATCAACTGGGGGCCCAGGTAGAACAAAAAGGCAGAGGAAAGGTGTGATGGTTAATATTGAGTGTCAACTTGATTGGATTAAAGGATGCAAAGTACTGTTCCTGGGTGTGTCTGTGTTGCAGAGGAGATTAACATTTGAGTCAGTGGACTGGGAGAGGCAGACCCACCCTCAGTCTGGGTGGGCACCATCTAATCAGCTGCCAGCATGGCTAGACTAAAGCAGGCAGGAGAAGATGGGAGTGCAGACTTGCTGAGTCTTCCAGCCTTCACCTTTCTCCTGTGCTGGATGCTTCCTGCCCTGGAATATCAGACTCCAAATTCTTCAGCTTTTGGATGCTTGGACTTACACCAGTTGTTTGCCAGGGGCTCTCAGACCTTCGGCAACAGACTGAAGGCTGCACTGTCTACTTCCCTACTTTCGAGGTTTTGGAACTTTAACTGAACCAACACTGGCTTCCTTGCTCAACTTGCAGATGGCCTATTGTAGGACTTCACCTTGTGATAGTTCGAGTCAATTCTCCTTAATAAACTTCTTTTCACATATGCATCTGTCCTATTAGTTCTGTCCCTCTAGAGAACTGACTAATACAAAAGGTGAATTCACTCTCTCTTTCTCTCTTCTGGAACTGGATGAACTTCTTCTCCTGCCCTTAGACATCAGGACCCTACGTTCTAAATAAATAAATTTAGTAATGTATCTATGTAGCCGATTTCGCAGTGTATCTATATTATTTAATTAACAATGACAAATACATCATACTAATTAATAAAAGATGGTAATAATGGGGGAAATGGGTATGGGATACAAAGGAACTCTCTGTACCATCTTCGCAATTTGTCTGTAAACCTAGAAATATTCTAAAATAAAAAAATTTATTTAAGGCCGGGTGCGGTGACTCATGCCTGTAATCCCAGCACTTTGGGAGGCCGAGGTGGGGGGATCACCTGAGGTCAGAAGTTCGAGACCAACCTGGCCAACATGGGGAAACCCTGTCTCTACTAAAGATAAAAAAGTTAGCCAGGGGTGATGGCAGGAGCCTGTAATTCCAGCTATGTGGGAGGATGAGGCAGGAGAATTGTTTGAACCTGAGAGGCAGAGGTTGCAGTGAGCTGAGATCACGCACCACTGCACTCTAGCCTCGGTGACAGAGACTCCATCTCAAAAACAAACAAACAAACAAAAGTGTATTTAAAAAACTACAAAACAGTGAGAGATAACCTTCCTGAAAGCAAGAAGGCTGTTGTATGTACCTTTCTATCCCTTTATAGCAATATCTAGCATAGTCTCCAGAATGTACTGGTGTTTAGACAAATAGGTTGAACAAATGAACAAATGCAGGAAAATATATACAAATTATCAAGGCAACACTGGATTTGAAGTGATCAATTATTCTGGGGAGTTTCAGCAAAGGTTTTATAAAATACCCAGTAATTTATTATGGTAATTTGTGTGTGTGAGGTCGACTCCAGAAAAAGCAGAGTACATACTAAAACCATGTACATGTGTTGTTTCTTTTGTCTCTTTTTCATATTAAGATGGCATCGCAGTACATGAATAGTTAACGCTCTCAGCTTGTCTCAAATTTGCCACCTGCTGCTACTATTGTCCAGATAGAATGCCCTCAACTTGATTTTTAAATAGGCCAATTTCCTTCTTGCTTCAAGATTCCAGTCTAGTATATTATCTCTACCCCTACACTGCTTTTCTCCCTCCCACTGTTACCTGATCAATTCTCATTCAGTCTTTGTCTTAGACCATTTTGTATTACTATAACAGAATACCACAGACTGGATAATTTAGAAAGAAAAGAAATTTATTTCTCATGGTTCCAGAGTATAGGAAATCCAATATCAAGATGCCAGCATCTGGCAAGGGCCTTCTTGTTGCCTCATCCATCCCCTGGTAGAAGCATAAGAGAGCAAGAGATCAAATTCACAGCTTCAAGTACTTTCATAGCTGACATTAATCCATTCAAAAGGGTGAAGCCCTCATGACCTGAACACCTCCCATTAGGCCCCATCTCCCAAAACGGGTGCATTGGGGATTAAGTTTCCAACATATGCTTTTTTTGGAGACAACTTCAAACCGTAGCAGTCCTCTAATCTCACACTAACTGTCACTTCCTCAAGGAGCTCTTTCTCCTTGGACCAGACTAGATGTTTTTATTTTTGCTGTTGTTGTTTTAGCTATTTGAAAGCATCTCGTATTTTTATTTTTCTTCTCAAATCTCTAATCACTACTACAAGTACATAAACACACACACACACGCAAACGTAGACACACACATTTTAATGACTGCAAACTCTACAAGAGCAGGAATTACACTTTTGTATTGTCTGCATCTAGCATGATATCTAGGACACAGTAAAACACTCTATATAGTTAATGAATAAGAAAATACACTAAATAGAAATAGAAAGCTTCAAATAGTCATGGGAAATAACAAGCAAATGAATTATCAACTTTTCTATACTACAAAAGTATTATTTTTTTCCCATGAATAATGGTTTCCTTATTCCTTCCTCTAGCTATTTAACATAGCTTCAGATCTTTATTCCTATCACCCAGGTTACTCCAAAATAAAGTGGACAAGCTTTGCTATGTCCTCTTAGTATTGGCTCTCTCTCTGCAATATACAATCAGTCCTTAAATTCCTTAATATAAGAGAGCCATTACAGGACATGCATGATACTTCTTTATGCAAACTGGGAGTTCACATATACACAGAAATAAATAAAAAGATGTCTCTACTGATCTTGAAGCCTACTTTAAATTTATTTCATTTTAAGGGACTCCAGGAAACACCAAAACTATGCTTTTCAGTTCCACGTGGACATACTGCACGCAGAACATGAAATATCTGGCTTGATTCAGCATCTGAATCTAAAAGTATCTCCTTATGATATTTGTGGCTGCTGCTATATCTTACAAAATTAGCTGAACCGATAGAGGTAGGATGTTTTAGTATTTTATATGAGACATGCATATCCATATATACATATACATGGGGGAATAAAGGGAGAGGAGCAGACACAAATGGATGCTTTTCTAACATGGAGCATAAAAGTGATATTTCTCTTCATAAATATTCTGCTGTCTATCTACAGAGCAGTAAGACCTAGTCACAGGATCTTATAGAAATCTAGTTAGTGCCTGGTAAGTTGATATATCCTTGCAAAATCTAAAAAGAAAAAAAATTGTCATCATCAATTATTTAGGTTAGGCTAATTGTATATTTTATCTTTTTTTTCCAATAGAAAAATCAGACATTTCACTTTGCAGAATGTCATTAGTTCCTTGAGAAAATAAGATTTGGGGAACTAAATTTTTAGAGGCATCAAGAGAGGATATGAAATGGTTTAATTTGATATTATCTTGATTCCATGTAGTAAAAGACCCCTCTGATTGAATCTAATTGCCTCTGTTATTAAGGAGGCCTTGTTCACTCTTAGGAATAATCCCATAGAAGATTTTTTAAAGTTTTTAAAATCAGATAAGTTTGGTTTATTTGCAACCCAAGGGTCTCCAAAAACTTGCAGCAACCTATGGTTTTACCTGAGCAAGCAGCTCAGGTAAGTGACCAGAGTACATTTTGGGAACTCTTCTCTTGTGTTATTAATAAATACACATTCTGCAGCCACAAGAAAAAATGAAAACAACTCAATTTAACTTAGGAATTTGAACTAAATACCTCTGATTACATGCATAATATATTAGACTATTTAAGGAGGCAAAGATTAGGGAGAATGAAGATATATAAATACAATATGCTTACAATTTCATCCTAGATGAATATTTCTTAAATCCCTAACTCATGCCAATCTATGTAGTCCCGGATGAATTCTTACTCTTGGCAAAATTTTCCACAATGGGCACATAAAAAATTTCCCTCTGACTGTAGGTTTCATATTAATTTTTAAGAGTAACCTGGCATCTAACTTAATGACAGTAACAGGTCAATTAAATAAATATTCACAGAGGGTTTCTAGGCTGGGTGCCCTCATAGGAAAGGAGAAAAATATATAATTTCTTACCTGTTGGAAACAATCTAGTAAGGTAAATACATGGATTGAAGCAATCACTAAGATGCAATGTGGTAAGTATTTTTTTAATAGAGAGAGACGATACTGTAAGGATTTAGATGAAGAAACAAATAATTCTGCACCATCCAGAATAGTTTCAGAGAGGAGATGTTCTTTGAACTAGACCATGAGGAGAGAAAGGATGTCTTCTAAAAATAGTGTCACAAAATAAATGATGTTTGTTCCCAGAGACTGTCCAGAGAGTATTAGGCTTCTCCAAATCACATCCTTCTCCATTTCTGATATACAGGGAAACTTTAGCCATGAATCAGAGAGAAGATACTTCAAGAGCCTGAATTTTTTTTTTTTTTTTTGAGACAGAGTCTCGCTATGTCACCCAGGATGGAGTGCAGTGGCACCATCTCGGCTCATTGCAACCTCCGTCTCCAGGTTCAAGCAATTCTCTGCCTCAGCCTCCCGAGTAGCTGGAATTACAGGAGCCCACCACCACGTCCGGATAATTTTATTGGTTTTTTTTTGTTTGTTTTTTAGTAGAGATGGGGTTTCTCCATACTGTCCAGGCTGGTCTTGAACTCCTGACCTCGTGATCCACCCACCCCAGCCTCCCAAAGTGCTGGGATTACAGGTGTAAGCCACCGCGTCTGGCCGAGATTCTGACATATGTCATAATTTACTTAGGTTTCAGTTAGTTTGTATGGTCAATTTTGCTTCTTATCAGAAAGTACACAGTTATTTGAAAGTTATCTCAATAAGATCATACAAAAGACACAATTACACAAAGACAATGTGAAAAATATTCTCTCATGAAAACACATTTGATTTTCAAGACCCATTCAGTAAAATTTCTGAAAGAGTGAATAAAAATATAGATGGTTTGGAACATCACACAATGGGGCCTGTCAGGGAGTGGGGGACTAGGGGAGGGATAGCATTAGGGGAAATACCTTATGTAGATGATGGGTTGATGGGTGCAGCAAACCACCATGGCACGTGTATACCTATGTAACAAACCTGCACGTTCTGCACATGTACCCCAGAACTTAAAGTATAATAAATAGGTAGATAGATAGATAGATAGATAGATAGATAGACAGACAGACAGACAGACAGATAGATAGATAATAGATAGATTGATAGATAGATAGTTTGATTAGATCTGAAAGGTGGTAGAATACACTACCACAAAATATGCCATTTTGGCATAAGGATTATTTTGAGCACTTTAAAAAATCACGAGTTTCAAGAAGAGAGCTCTTGACCCTCCTCTTTTTCTTCCTGAAAGCAGGTGATAAATACCCCATATAAAAGATGTCTTCTGCATACCAGAAGGAGTGTAATATTTTTATCATCAAGAAAGTGAAGTTGAAACTGAGAGAATTCTATACTAACAGATTGTGAAAATAATTCTTATCTTTCTTTAGCCTCTCTACATAGGTTAGTCACTATTTCACAATTGCCTCTCTTTGTTGAAACTAGTATAAAAGCATTTAGGTTTGGGACTTCTTTGAGTCTTCATTTCCTTCTGAAGATTCTCATGTCATGTAAAACTTACATTAAGTAATTTTATATGCTTTACTTCTGTTAATCAGTTTATGTCAATTTACTTCTCAGGCACAGTTGAAAACCCTAAGAAGGTAGGCATGAAATTTTGTCTTCCCTGTAGATTCCTCCAAAAACCTGTATCTAAAATTGTTTGCATTAACCAATAAATCTGGAGTTTATACTTTTTTAATTTATGATAAAAAATTATTGAAGATGTGCTGTACTCCATACATAACAAAGGATTTTAGTAGGTAGATGACTCAAGTTGATTCCCATTGACTAGTATTAAAAGAGTAAAATGGGGCTTTTGTAAACTAAGTATGAGTAAGATACAATAATAAAGCCAGTCTAGGTTAAAGGCTGAGCTAATAGAAATAAGAAAAAACAAAAAAGACAAAGGGAATAATGGTTGAAAAGCAAAGATGATAAATTGATAACAACTAACCCTTAATGAGTATTCACTTGATAGCAAATCCCCCTTTATATTCTTTACAACCCTCAAAACACACACAAAGTGGAAACCAATATCCATTTCATGGATAAGAAAAATGAGTTTTCAACAGGTTAAGTAACTTGTCTTGGGCCCCACAGCTAATGAGTGGAAGAGCTGGGCTTCACAGCCATGCTTCCTCAACACCCGTCACCAGTCCCATTTAGAAGGCCATGGCCATAATTTCATTCAGAGTTTAACTTCTATTTAAGAAAACTAAGCATTATGAGCAATACCACAATACATTTTAGTTGGTTGATTGCAATTAAAATACGTAGAAAACCTAGAGATTTAGATATGCTAACGATATTTTGAAAAGCGCAGGATCTAGTATCCAATTTGATGGTTAAAGATCTTTTCTCTTACTTTTATGCCCTAGTTTAATATTAGATTGGTGCAAAAGTCATTGCGGTTTTTGCCATTAAAAGTAATAGAAAAAACCGCAATAACTTTTGCAGCTATTAGGTTCGTGCAAAAGCAATTGCAGTTTTCTCCATTTAAAGTAATCCGGTGGTAGAGCAGGATACTGTTGCTCATTTCATTTCATATAAACAGAAGTACACACACACACACACACACACACTTATATTCTTTACACTGAATTAATAAAGCAAATGAACGAACTAGGCTCTAATTCAGAGCACCAGCAGTAACGTAGAAGTTTTTTTCCTTGGTCATGTTGGAGTACTGCAGCACACTTAACAAGTTGTGGTTTAATTTTATTACTTTCATACACTTCATTAGCTTAGATAAATTTAAGAGGAAATAATCTGTGCATGTATTATATCAAAAAGATTCCAATCTCTTGAGCTGAAAATCTATTCATAAGATTTTACTGCCCCTATATTTAATAAAGAAGGAATGAAATTCTTTTATTTTCTGAGGGGAAAATTTTTAGATGATGTATTTAGATATCTAATTAAAATGCTTATGTACCTTGCCTAATTAAAAATAGACACTTATTCAAAATAACAGGACATCTAATGCATCTATGTATAAATAACTCAGCTAAAATGCCTGGAAACAAGGAAAAGCATGGTAACTGAACTCCGTTCATGCATTAACCTTCAAATCCCTCCACCCACTGCATATTCACAAGAAAACCTTGTGTAAAACAAGTCCTGTCCTCATTAGCCTTTAGAAAAATCTCCAATGGTGGCACAGCATAAAGCAAAAACATCTAAAGCTAAGAATTTGATTTTTTTTTTTCCCCTAGTGTTGTAACCACAACCCAGAATAAATTAGTCATGCTAGGATCACAAGATGACTTTTTCTCCACGGGCTTGAAGGGGTTCATGAATGCAAAATGGACCCAAAGAGCCCGCTTAGTCTCTAGTTGCTGACATGTCTTCAATCATAGAAAAGAGCCTCTATCTTAGAAGACAAAAACTATTTGTGTAAAAACCCCAAACAAACCTTGGATGAGGATCTGGGACATGTGGTAACATTTTTAAAGAGTTGAATGAATGGGATAGGAAAGAGAATGTTGACTGGAATATGGAATAACTCAAACTTGCGTTTGAGACTCTTAACCAGAATTTTCTTAGAGCCTAGATCTAAATTTAATTAGGTGGAATCTATTGTATTCATTGTCTTAGAACCTTTAAATATGATTCATATTTATCTCCGTTTTATAATAGTAGAAGTTGAATCTTCACAATCAAAAAGGAGAGAAAGCTTGTGTTTAACTAAAATAGTTTTATACATTGTCCCTATGGAAATTCTAGATGCATACAGATGCTTGTGGCAAAGTGCTTTTTTATACAATATAACAGGGGAAAGTTTAGAATGAAGAAGTAATTTTGTGAATAAATCCTTTCTAAAACAGGCTGAAGTTTCTGAACATACTCACAATAAAAATTGGGGTGCCATTCATTTAGAGGATAATTACATTATAGAACCGGCAGTTAAGAACACATTTTCAATGATGCTTTCTGTAAATTAGTTAAAGGGCTATCTTCCTTCCTGCCTTCTTCTCTTCTTTCTTTCATGTTTCACATCTTACTGGGCTTCAACTATGTGTCATAAACTGGGTTAGTTTATTGTGATATAATATTGAATAATGTAGACAGGTTGTCCTAAGTCCTCTCGGAACTTAGAATCTAGCTGGAAAGCCTGTCTATTTGTTGATCCTATAATATAAAGGCCATCAGAATTCATACTTAGGATTACAAAAATAAAAATTATACCTTCCCTCTTCAAATTAGTGAGTATTCAGTTAGTAAATTAATATTATCCACAATCAAGTTCAACTTCAACTTGACCATATGACACACATTTCTAGGACTTGAATACTCATATTGACTGACCTGAGTTTATTTTTTTTGCAAACCTGATATCTTGAATTTTTATCAATCACAGCTTTAAAATTTGCAACATATCGATTATAAACAAACAGACATAGAAGCTGTAATTTACAGAAACCCAGTAGTATTAAATAGGCCACAAAACTGTGCTCACAGAATCTCCAGAATTATTTAAGACTCCTGGCAAAGGCGCAGTTCCACAAAGCTCTGTACCCTATTCACCTGGGACCACTCCTGAAGTCAGCTTCTCCCAGCCTCTGAAGCAGCAGTAGATTATGCAAGATAATGAAATGTGTTTGTTTTATGGAAAATATTTTTTGAAAGATACATTCATTCAGAGATTTAGAAAGTCTATCTTTAGCTTCTGACAGGTTGTGTGTAAAGAGTCACCTACCCTTATACGTCTGAAGAGCAGGAGCAAATGAGACTTCACTTTTATTAATAAATGAAGGGTAAATCATGTGGCGAGGGGCACAGACTCTGGAGGCCAAAGTCTTGGGTTTGAATTTGTAATCCACTGTTGGTAACCTTGAGCAATTTGCTGAACTTTTTTGTGTCTCAGTTTACTCACTTGAAAAGTAAGATGGTAAGATTCATTCTCATAAGATTGTTTTGAAGGTTAAATAAGTTAATAAACATAAAACTCTTGGAATAGTTCCATACATATAGAAAATCATATACATATGTATACGTGTGTGTTTAATAAATATAGTAAATTAATTTATTTTAATTTGAAAATTAGCTGTAATTGAATTGCACAGAGTGACCCAAGAGTGATCACATAATCACATGTTTAAATTTTACCTTTCTTTTACTGTAGACATACATACATGTTGAATTAAAACATGAAGAGAAGAAAAAAGGATCTGAAGAAGAAAGTCTAGTGTTAAAATTAAATATCCAGAACAACAGAGAAGGCATATGGGAATTACAGTAGAAATGTCATTTAAAATTTTCTCTTGTAGATCATTTATTGTGCTGGCTGTAAAAGACAGTGCTGACTGTACATCATTCCTTGAAAGAGTATCCTCAAAGTCATGATTGCTTCTCTTGCATTAGTAGAGTTCCGTTTTTGCAAAATGCAAATCAGAGACCTTATTCTCTTAGTTAGCCTACTTAAGTTTAGATGGAAGAAGTTTTGACATATATGATACCCTTACTGACTAATTTTACAACACAGGAGTGGCTAAGCAAAATTCACACAAAATTTCAAGAAGGAGCCCAACAGTCTTTTTTTGTTTTTCCTTTGGCAGAATAAAACAGCCACCTCTTCTCTCCCAGCTTAGAGATGTAAGTGGAATTACTTCTTTACATAAATTCAGTAAAAGATGTAAGATAAGATAAGTAATGATTCTAAAAATGTTTACAACAAATAAAATTTTGGCATATATTAATTTATATTATTCTCAAAGAAACACTATGGGTATTAATTCTTAAGTATTACAGATTCTGAAACACATATTCAAAGCTATGTCAAATTATATCATAAATAGTGAAACAGTCTCAAAAAAGAGTATTATGATCTATTTTTTTTGACTCTTGGCATTACTATAAATCATAGTACCTTTTTGTGAGTAGTAAATAAAAACACCTATTAATCTGCAACCAGTCACTCAACATTAGTGCATTAGTGAACACTGAAATTGTTGAAATACTGAATGATTTAGCAGAAAGTGTGTTCAATTACTTCCAAGAATTATTCTATAACTACATGTAGTGTCACTCTAGAAATCATTTAGTTCTGGAACATAGTTTCTCTTAAGATGGAGACCTCAAAAACAAAGACAAGATATCATGGTAAGGATTTTATCCATCAGAGTCTTGGGTGCCAATATTTTCTCATTAGCATTTGCATAATAAGAGATATGGAAAAGATACTGAGAAACATTTTAATTTTCTGTCTACAAGTTCTGTAAGATGGGATATAAATACAAGAAGCAAATATTTCAATAAGGAAGGTGAAAGATTGAATTATTCCACTGTGGTCAATACTTTTGATTTTTGTCATTGTTTTTGTTGTATTTTTTTGTTTTATTTTTTTATTTAATACTTTTTATTTTAAAAGGTGTGGATTCAAGAAATAAAATGGGCTAATGTCTGTTTCTCATCCACAAATTAAGTCATTCTGCTGTGAGGAGGAGTGGAATATGAGGCAGGAAACTAAGAGTGTTTTATAAAACTCTGTCTCATATAGGAAAGGATAAATGAAAAAATGATATTCCTCTCCTCAATCAGAGTTTCGAGGAATAGAGAGATGATTTTTGAGTTGAAACAATCAAAGTTGGTACTAGGGAATCTAAGATTGATGTAAGCCTTGTACCATGGGCAGGATTTGAGTAGGTTTTCAGGAAGCACATGTTTTGTGATGAGGGAATAACGTGTAAAAATGGCTTAGTGATTTAAATATAAAAGGCAAGTTCAGAAACAATAAACATGAGTAACTAGAGCAGAGTAGCCATGGGAAACATTGGGGCAGATACAACTGGAGAGGTCAGATGATACAACAATATGAAAAGAATGCTGGGAATATGCATTTGTTTTCTGCATTTTCATGCTTTTGATCCTATAGTCAATACCATTAAGCAGGTATTCCAGGTTTAGGATTAAAATGCTCACTAAAAGGCAGATGCTAGGTAAACTCTTTCAGGGCCCCTTGGAAACAGCTCTGGGACTCAAGGCTGCTGAGATAAGGAAAATGGTTAGAGCTTCACAATTAGAATCAATCAGCTTGAACCATTTTCTGCCTCTGGGTTCTCCTCCAAATTGGAGAGAGGATCAAATTGGCCCAACTTGAATTCCCTACCCAGTATGTGGCCAGGGGAAAATAGAGACACTTAACCACAGACAGCTGGCAAAGGAAAACTGAGGTGATTTTGCCAAGAGATGGCAGAAGAAAGGCTTGGTTGATGAAATGAACAGATGTCCACCATTAGTGATGTGTCTAACAGTAGGTAAGGGAGTTTTAATCATACACAACGTGGATGTGAAAAATGGGGCTAAGAAGCAGAGCACTTACAAAACTGCTGTATTATAGGATGACAGGGACCCTGCCCCTCTTCTCATTGTGCTCTAGGAATTCTGAATACTTGCAGGCACTACCTCTGATTTTTCTGTTTACATATATTTCACCTTTAGCATTACTGTTCCCTGTGCTTGAGATACTTATCTTCCCCCTTATTGGTTTTCTTACCTCCACTTAATCTTTCCATGCTGACTTTTAAAGAACCTTCTTTATCAGCTTCCCCAGCTGCTTCAGACAGACCAGTCACTATGATTTTATTTATAACCATATCTATCTATGTCACTTTTACTAGATATAATGCCTGTCATCTCTTTCTATGGCCCAAAGCAGCAGATTTAAGAATTTCCTGTGGTTGTATCATCATACTTTGTTTCACCTTATCCTGCACTCAACTGATGGCAGCAGGATGACCTGAAAGCAGCCAGTAGGATGACCAGCAGTCTATGCACTCAATCATTCTGTCTACTGTCAGAATGTAACAAGCCTGTCCAATGGAACACATGCTGGAGAAGGTTAATTGAATTAAATTCAGATTTAAATAGCTACTTGTGGCTAGTGGGTACCCTGTTGGAGGAAGCATGTCTAAAAAGAACAACTAAGGCCACAATAGGAATTATGGAAGCAGAGACAAAGATGAGCCAAGTCATAGCTGTGGCCAAGAAGACATCAAGGAATCTATGATATAAGGGGATTATTAAGGACTAAATGTCTGTGTGCCTCCCTCCAAATTCATATGTTAAAATCCTAATCTCCAATATGAAGGTATTAAGGATTGGGAGGTAATTAGGTCATGAAAGTAGAGCCATCATAAATGGTATTAATGCCCTTGTAAAAGAAACCCTAGAGAGTTCTCTCATCTTCTTTCAGTTATCTGAGAATACAGTAAAACAAAAGAAATGCAACCTAGAAGAAAGCTCTCACCAGAACCTGACCATGCTGGTACCCTGGTCTCAGACTTCCAACTTTTAGAACTGTGAGGAATACATTTCTGTTGTCTATAAGCCTCTCAGTCTATGACACTTTGTGATAGTAGCCTGAACAGACTAAGCTAGTTTATTAGTCAGGATTCTCTAGAGGGCGAGAACTAATAGACCATATATGTGTGTGTGTGTGTGTGTGTGTGTATGTGTGTGTGTATACACATAGATATATGTGTATATATGTATATATACGTGTGTGTAGATATACATATATATGTGTGTGTATATATACGTATATATATGTGTGTGTATATATATGTATATATATACACATATATATACGTATATATGTGTGTGTATGTATGTATACGTATATATGTGTGTGTGTGTGTATATATATATATATGAGTTTATTAAGTAATATTAACTCATGAAATCACAAGGGTCCCACAATAGGCCATCTGCAAGCTAAGAAACAGGGAAGTCAGTCTGAGTCCCAAAGCTGAAGAATGTAGAGTCTGATGTTCAAGGGCAGGAAGCATCCAGCATGGGAGAAAGATGTAGGCTGGGAGGTTAAGACCATCTAGCCTTTTCACGTTTTTCTGCCTGTTTTATATTCTGGCCATGCTGACAGCTGATTAGATGGTGCCCACCCAGATTAGGGTGAGTCTGCATTTCCCAGGCCACTGATTCAAATGTTAATCTCCTTTGGCAACACCCTTACAGACACACCCAAGATCAATACTTTGCATCCTTCAATCAAATCAAGTTGACGCTCAGTATTAACCATCACAGCTATGAATGAATAGAAGTGTTAAACCTGGATGGCATAATGAATAACCACTCAGTTCCATGAGGGGAGGCTTTTCAGCTGCTGAGATAGACCCTGAACTTTCGTACTTCTCACAACTATAGAGACTACCTTAGACTGTCTCAATTCTTTGAGAGGGCACCAAATAATGCAATTCTTTAATCATAAAATATTCAGATATTTTTCCAGGAAGGGAGACAGAGAGCAACCACTTGGGGGTTCATCTTCTTACCACTATCCCTGATACATTTAACTCCTACACCCTCATCCTTCATTCCCCAAACTCCTCCTTCATGTTCATTCCTTCTCTATCATTTCCCCATCAAAAACCACTTTCAATTCTTCGCTTCTTCATATTCTCTCAGATCATCCAGCCTACATATGCTGCTATCTTTGCCTGAAAATCTCTTCATCCTTCTACTCCCAACTGTGCATTATCATTCCTGATCGTGGATGCCTCTTGCTCTCAGTGGCTATTCTTGCTGCAGAAATTCAAGATAGATGTCCCACACATTAGTCCAAAGAACCGTTATTTTCTTTGAACATACCAAGTACCAAGTGTTATGTGGTTCTTGTTAATTTTGATAATTTTTCCTCTAGATTACCTCCCACCTGGATTATAACTCTATAAGAGAAGGAGCAAGCCATATCTTGCCCACCACTGTACCCAAACATCCAGCATTGTATATGTCTCATTTATTTTTGTTAAGCTAATAAATTGCATCCACATTTCATGGAAGAAATGCACAAAGTCAAAAAAAATTCAGGAAAAAGATATGAGCAACTTTTCTGCAAGGTTATGATACATTTTTAGAAAGTGTTTCCTTAGTTACATTATTCTTATGTATTTGATAATGAGGATAAACATCTTTAAAAGCTAGAATGATGGTGACCATTTTCCTAGATGACTTTTCCAATTGGTCATCAGAGAAGACTGAGAGATAGTATCACACCTGGAGAAGACTAAGAGTTGGTATCACATCCTTGAGAAGAAGTTGCTTATTGCAGTATGCTTTCTGATTTGAATCTTAGCCTAGAAATTTTCCTCTGCCTCACACAGTTATAAGCAGGACTTCATATTGGTTAAAACAGAATCAAATTACAGATACAAATACATGTTGAGTTAATAGGAACATCTAGACTTTCCTAGATAGACGTTGACCAAGGTATGAGTGAAATATATCTGTTCCACCTAATTCCTCCATGCTGGAGATTGTAAATCTGTGTGAGAAGAGTGATACCTCCAGGAATTCTTTCCCATCATGGTGTGCATGAACAAGTATGCCAGAGAACAAGTCCTTTTTTTTTTTTTTGTAGTGAGTCCAGTGAAAACAAGCAATGCAAATGCTGAATCCAAATTAACTTCCGGTAATTCAGCTTTGATTCACTATCCTGAATAATCAGGATTTTATATTTGCAACTCAGGTTGAAATTAACCCTGAAGATATTCTTCTGTATACATTTCTTCTTGCCCTTCTTGAAGAGTTAAAGTATAAATTGGTACCTTCATCTTAATTGAAACACCGACGCAATGTATGATTCTTTGTCAGTGTTGGGCTTGACTACAATAGAATGAAGATTATTTTTCCACCTGTGACACTGTCATTATAATCATCTGACTTATATTTATAGTCAAGTGGGAGTGATTCTCTGATGACTTAGAGCCTTTAAAGCTGAGGATAACAAAATGCTGGCTGAGAAGCACATATAAATCCCAAGCAGAGAGAAAAATCAAACCACCTGTTACAGTATTTGTTTTCATCTAATAAAATATAGAGAAAAATAGAAATAATGAGTTTGGAGTATTCTAGGCAATTTAAGGAAAGAAGTCAATAGGCAGTATACTAAACATCTCTCTCTGAACCCCAGTAATTGACATAGCAGGGGCATACAAAAAAAGATGGTTCACTGGAGGCTGACTTTCTCTAGATAAAAGCTAGATTGCTCATCCATTTCATCCTCTTTTTGCCAATAACATCTGTAGCCTTGAAGCAAATTTTCCAACATGGTAGCATTATTCTCAATTGCCATTTTTCATTTCTTAATCATCTATGGACTGACAGTATCTCAGTACCTGTTCCATTCAACTGATAATTTATCCTTTTTGCTTTCAACTATATTTCCAGATTATTTTAGTCAATGAGAATATTGTTTCTCAGACTAGATATAGATTTATATAGTAGTTTTTTCAATAGCTTCACTTTTGGAGGTTCAACAAAATCAACTCGTCCCATCTACAACAAAGCTGAAATCTATAATAATTCCCAGATTGAGGCTTTAGAGATAGTCATACTGGTGAATCCAAATAGAAATATCCAGTGAAGATGCCGAAGCACCTATTCATAGTTTCTATGTTGATCACCTAAATAATAGGTTTGTTATAGTAGTTGATATTTTTTGGTATGATTGTGTGCTATATAATACTTCCCTCAAAACATAAGCCTCACATTTAATTTACCAAGTTAAAAGTGTTCACATTTAACCTTCACATGAATATTATTTCCTTTGCATTAGTTTAAAAACAATCTCTGAAGTTATTTAGCATATCATTCACTTTGCTGGGATAGAAAATAGCTAATGTGAAATGTCATAAGAGAATGATAATTTAACATTTTTGAAATACAGTTTTCTTTGGGGGCATGATCAGATAAAGAATGTCCAATGCTTTAACATTAAGTGGTGTCTTTTACTATTTTTAAGTTTATTCACTGAACTACCCATAATTTTAAAATATTATCAAAATGTCCACTTTTTCATATTGTTATTATAAAATATATTCATTGTGTACAATTTGGAAAACACAAACAATAATTATAAATAAGCTCCAAGAATGCTGTTATGTTCATCACAGTATTTCTTCTTTTTATTTTGTGCATATCATGCTCTAGATATGAAACTTCGTACCATTTTTTTATTTAACACAATATAATGAGAACTTATCCATAACATTTAAATACAAGTATGTTAAAGTTTTTGATCCAATAGAAAATAGCAAATCTCCCACCTCTAATCCCAAGTGGGCACTTCTAGAATAAGACACTCTTTTTTATTTTTTTAACTTTTTAAGTGGAGGAAGATTACCGCATCAGGATATGAGCTTTTTTTCCAGTGGCCTGAGGACATTGTGCACAATGACCTGCTTCTCTTACAGAGTCAAACTTTTGTGATCTAGGGGTGAGATTTTTTACATAACTAGTCAATGGGAAGCTGGTCAACGAGAAGGAAAGACTCTGATAACTAGGGTGACCTCATAATTTAACTTTTAAGCATGAATAATAATGAATGTGTTGGAAAAGCCATAAACCAGCACTGTTCTAGGCAAACAGGAACATATTTAAGGAAGGCATAAGAAAGGAAATTTTAGTAATAAATTCTAAAATTCGTATCAGTTGAAATCATTTTGGGTACACCATGGTCAGTAAACTAAAATCTATTGGCCAAATCCAGCCCCACTGCCTATTTTGTATGTCTTCTCAATGAAGAATGGTATTTATGCATCTAAGTGATTGAAAAAAAAATCTTAAGATGTGATTCTTTCCTGTCATATAATACCTACACAATATCCTTCATTTTGAATCTTGAATTACAAAGCCTAAAATATTTATAATCAGGCCCTTTATAGAAAAAGTTTGTCACTCTCTGTATATGCTAATATATTCTACTTTAATCATTCATATTGTTTAATACTTTGCTACTTATCCATTTCTCTGATTTGGTGGTTCTCACAACCGAGTAAAATATGGGCTCTTGTAAAGAAAAAAAAATGTTTTCAAACTGCAGAGAATACAGTTTTTCACACAATAGATGAGTAAACATTGACTTACAAAGCAAACTTTCATTCTATGAAACTCAGTTTCAGCTGGGCACGGTGGCTCATGCCTGTAATCTCAGCACTTTGGGAGGTCAAGGTGGGTGGATCACGAGGTCAGGAGATCGAGATCATCCTGGCCAATATGGAGAAACCCCATCTCTACTAAAAATACAAAAATTAGCTGGGCGTGGTGGCTTGCACCTGTAGTCCTGGCTACTCGGGAGGCTGAGGCAGAAGAATCACTTGAACCTGGGAGGTGGAGGTTGCAGTGAGCCAAGATCGCACCACCGCACTCCAGCCTGGTGACAGAGTGAGACTCTGTCTCAAAAAAAAAAAAAAAAAAATATGCTGAAATATTACTTTATTATATTAATAAAACTAAAAAAATTCTTATAGAATACCTAGAACCCTAAAAGTCTGTCTTCTCTCAGTGGACCTCAAACTCCAGTTTAAGAAATAGCTATTTGAGCATATTCCAGCTGTATTGTAGGGTCTGGAGAAGCATTCAAATAATTATTTTCCTTCTACAGCCAGATGATAGAACTATAAATAAATGATCTATGCAACTACTTACTTTATTTCTTTCTACTATTTTGCTCTCACTTCCTCTACATAAATGTATTATAAAATGGTTTAAATATGCAGTCAAGTTTTGATAACTATCCATAAAATTGCAATAAATATATTTTGTGTAATATTATATAAAGCACACAAAAAAATGACATGATCCTATCAAGTTACAACAATTTTACTAAGTCTGGGATATGGTCATGCACTTTTAGTTAAATTGACAAAATTTTAAAATCTTGTTTTTATTTTTTTTTTTTAGTTTTCTTATCAAGTGTTTCTTTAACAATGCACTTTTTAAAAAAAAAATAGGCGCACTCATGAACACTTTTGTCTTTCAAAACTCATTCTACTCTTTACAATTATATCTGAAATTACTTTGTTGATCTCATGCATCTTTCTCATGACGTTTTTGGTAATGGATAATTTGAACCATGATAACTTAATGGAAAAAACAAAACTGAACATCATGGATAAACTATAAATCTTTTAGCATCATCTGGTAGTGTTGGGGACAATTTTATATTTATAAACTATTAAGCATCTTCCCACAGGAGGTTCAATAAATAAAATTATTTCTGTGTGGGTCACACATATTAAAATCAACAAATGAATACAATTTACATTTAACCCAAACACAACAGGAAAAAATAAAATAAGGGTTAAAGGAAAGCATAAATAGCTTTCCACATTTTACATTCATAGCCATTCCTCACTCCCTGCAGCTTAGAAAATTTATATTATCTTGGCTAATCACCTTCCTTCATGCAGTTTATAAACAAGTATTAGAGTAAAGGATAAAGATAAGAGAAAATAAACAAACATAAGTTCAGTCCCTATTCACTCTGTTTCCTAAGAGCTCAATTTAGCTGATATTGTAAATTTCCATTAAAATAAAGCTGCTTGGGTTGCAAATCCTCTGGACCTTGGTTAGCTATTTAACATCCCCTTTTCTGCTGGGAAAGTGAGGTTTGCTTTTGAAAGGGTAAAGGCACAGAGTGAATAACTTCTCAAAGTGTGGCAAAGGCTTTGGAATGAGGACACGAAAAGGTTAAAAATACAAAAAGAAAATAAAAAAGACAAAAGCTCAATAGACAATTTCTCTGTGAAATCAGCTGAATGAAAACTAAAGTCAATTTGGGAACTCTACAATTATCTGATCAATTTTGATAATGCTGACTGTTGGTCATGATCATTTGAGTTCCTAAAGCTAGACTGACTTTTTATCAAGCCAAGGTCCACCAAAATCTCATTGCCTGATAGACTAGGTCAGGGGTATTAAGTAGGATGAAATGTGGCTATGAGGTTTTCAAGATTTACAATTTGATGTCTGAAATACTATACAAGTTACAATTACTGCCAGAGTATGCTGTGCAATGTCAAGTGAAGATAATTAGATGTCTATCTGCATAATTAGTGTCCTCCTCCTGAAATTCCCACTTTAACAAATAATTATTTTATTCAGGTAAATGTGGAAAGTTTTTTTTTTTCTTGTCACCATGGTAAATCATGTAAAATGTTTGGATTGGTACATAAGCCAGAAGAGGGAAACATGTTAATATTGGTAGAACTTTGTGTTCAAATTTTTATTAACCTGAAAATTATTAAAAGTAAAATCTGCCAGACACAGTGGCTGTAATCCCAGCAACAGAGAAGGCTGAGGCAGGAGGATCACTCGAGGCAAGGAGTTCAAGACCAGCCTGAGCAACATAGCAAGACCCTGCCTCTCCAAAAAAAAAAAAAAAAAATTACCTGGGCAGGGTGGTGGCATGCATCTGTAGTCCTAGCTACTTGGGAGAGAGGCTGAGGTGGGAGGATCCTTTGAGCCCAGGAGTTCCACGTGATGGTGAACTACGATCCAACAACTGCACCCCAGCCTGGAGATGGAATAAAGCCCTATCTCTAAAAATTAATTAATTAAAATAAATTAAAAATAAGTAAAAGTAAATAAAAGTAAAATCATCCTTGATAAATGGCTTATCTAACTATAGCTTACATTGCAGATATGAGACTTTTGAGATAAATCTTATAGTAAATGTGAAGTATTGCTGTAAACAGGTAAAGTCAAGCTTCTAAGTTATGAGATGAAATTCTTCCATTGAATCAGAGATGGTAGAATAATCAAATCTATGCCTTGGAAGCAGTTCCATGCAGGTTTTTTTAGCCATGTTTTTTCCCCTCTCTTATGTGAAAATTTAAAGTCTACTTCATAGTGATCTTATTTTATGTACTGTTCCATTAAAATATGTACTCATGTTTAGCTCTCACCACTAGAAAAGCAGAAAGCCAAAATGAATGGACATATCACTTCTTCACCCCATTCCAATTTGAAGTAGACCTTCTCACCATACTTCACCCTAATTCCTTCTTTAGAGAAGAAAGGCTGCCTGTCAAACTCAATTTTCAGAGATATCTTTGATTCAAGAAAATATACGTCATCTAATATAAATAAAATATATTACATTTTCACATAAGAGAGGGGAAAAATCTAGTAGAGAAGCCTCAGGTAAAGATCTTTAGAATATTTTTTCACATTGGTAGATTTTAGCATTGCTATTGTGAGATGGGACAGAAATTCCAAGCAATCTGTTAGTATATATAGAAAGTACTTTCCTTCTCTTTTAAGTCTCTGAGTTGGAAAAAAGGCCGTACTTGAGAGATTGGAGAAGAAAAGGTGCTTACTCGAATAGATACCAATTTAGTAAATAAAGAAGATAACTATAATAGTTAGGGACAGAATTTTATAACAAATTGTAAGTGGAATGATTAAAAATAGATAATAAAATATAGAAAAAATGTGAAAAGTAGAGAAAGTCCATTAAAGAAAAAGTAAGTTATCGAAGTAAAAATTATATTTTTCCTTTATTTTCTCTACATTTTGCATGATTTTTTAAAGCCTATAACTTTTTTGTATTTGTTGTTAAGTTAGATTAAAAACAAATATTTCCAAAACAAAGATACATTTTGACTTAGGATTACTTTTATCTTAAATGTGAAATTCCTGTAGATGCCTCTGAAAATAAATCAGTCTTCATGTTAATGATGTTAAGTTCCTTTTTCTGCCATACACTTTAAGGTAATAAGCTAGCTAGGTAAATGTCTCAGGAATTATTTTGATGAAACTGAAGGATCCGAGTTCTATTCCATTACGAGGCAAAGTAATGTGACAGTTATGAATGGCCCCCCCTAAATCAACAATTGCTGCCACATTAGCCTCCTTGTTGTGTCTTAATTTACAAGGAATCAAACCATCTTAAATCAAACTGGTACATGCATCCATTCACTTTTCGTCCAATCAAAACTGAATTACCTGTCAACAGAGAAGTACACTTACAAGTGTGAAACCATTTGACCATGTTATATTTTAATTTGCAGAGACAAAAATGACAAGCAATTTATTTACATAAAACTGTACAAAAGCAAATTAAATTATGCAAAGTATTTCATAAATAGTTGGACGAGTGTTTAATACATTTCGCCATGTTAAGCATAGTTGCGTGCATAGTGACTCATAATAAACGATGATAAATTGTTCTCTGCTTCACTATCAACATCCAAGTAGCAGAACAATAGTCAATGATTAACATTACAAACAGATCGTACCACACTGAACGCAAGTGCTTTAAACTGTAGGAAAAGTCTGAAAGTAAACCCTAGGTAGCTGAACAAATGATGCTTCCTCCAGATGTTATCATTACACCTTCACCTAGGTCACAACTCACAAGATTTACTATATTCATGATCATGCTCACTTTTTATTATTTATTTATTTATTTATTTATTTATTTATTTTTGCTTAAGGACACATTTTCTTATTTCTCACTGAGAGCATATACCTAAGATTATTTAGGTCTTTAGATTTCTCATGACTGTTTTTGGATGGCTGTTTGCTTCTTGACAATTTCTTCTGGTCTGTGTGTTTTATTCTATTTTCCTACAAGACAGCTTCCTAGGGTAGTGTTTCAGTCAGACATCCTCAGTACCATCTTAGTTCCTCCTCCCATAAAAATAATGCCTCCCTTGTTTTCTGAAACTCAGGCAGCAGGCCAGTCAGAAACCATACAGAAATGATATCTGGAGATTCAGAAAGAGCAGTAGATTTTAGATTGAAGCTACAGACGTTTTAATACACATAAATTTATATAGTTACTCATTAATTTATAAATGTGTCCTAATGTATAATGCATGCAAAATTCACTTGAGAGTCTTGTGTACAGAAAACAAATATGGTTTATATACTGTACAACCAAAATGAAACCATAGCTGAAAGAAACACAACAAAAAAGAAATAAAGAATAAAACTCTAAATCAGTATTTTACCTTGCCAAATGGACTGATTTCACTCCTGATAGTATCTCTGTGTTACACTTACAATAAACGCTTTCATCTTCTAGTCAGATTTAAGCAGCCCATATTAATGCCTTAACTTTGCTTTATGACATAACAATATTTAAGACTGGTCCATTATCTGAGTTTGTCAGAAGGCAAATTTTTAATATATTATTTATTATGTTCAGAAAATAAACATGGACAAATATACAGGATCAAAAAAGTTGGGAATAGCCCATTTCCCCTCATTGTCCAAACCCAACAACCGTTTTTTTACCGTAACAACAGGTATAAAAGGCACAGTTGCTTATTTTGCATTCACTCATTTATTTTTTTTGTTTCTTTTTATTGATTTTTTTTCAAAAGCACTCTATATATGGAGTGGCACCAGATTTAACCTATTTAAAATAAAAGTCATACAAACACAAAATATATTTCTGTGTCATGCCAGCTCATTATATAATAAACATGTTATGACAGCTAATTCTACTAGAATTACTGTGAATACTTACAGTACACTGAATTTTATTCTTTCACATCCATTTTAGTTTTAAAGAGAGGTTCACGAGTTAAATGACAATGGCATGGCTATCTTGAATGGGGTGCAAACATCATTGGGGAATGTGGATCCAATTAATCCGAAGGTCCGGTGTGACCCGTATTAGTTTTATAGACAAGAGAAGGGTTTAAGATAGGGTGAAATGAGCTATCAGTGGTTTCAATGTCTCATGAAAGAAAGAAATGCATTAAAAAAAAAAAAGTTTGTCAAACATCCGTGTTATGCAATTGAGTATTTTCTTTGTAACGTGCAAGAAAAAATGTGTATACATTTCATAAGTATCTTTAGAAGTATTTTGTCTTAATAGGTACTTACAGATTATACAAGGCAGAACTGCTTTAATGCAGTTTCCTAACAAAGTACTAGAATTGCATCTTTCCATAGTGTAAATAATAATCAAACATAAACATGTTCAATTACTGATATTTTAGTCCAATGTTTTTTGTTTCAATTACATATCTTTTTGCATCCTACCTATTATACATAAACTAACATCAAAATGAAAACTCCATTTAAGAAAGAGCATAAGGAAATGACCCCCAAATTGTACCCCACCAAACAGAGAAGCGGTTTTCAAAGATAAGTATTTTGAAGACCTATAGTGAATTATCAACCTATATTCCAGGCTGTGTCACTTTATAGTCTAAGAAATTCTGCAAAGCATGAAACTACCCAAAGCTACATTGTTTCTACAGTTTGCTAGAGAGCCATCAAGGCTATGCCTTAACCAGCTTGCAAACATTCAGTGATAAGTTTGTTCTCTTCACACCTGTTATTCCCTATTCTGTCCATGGATTGTCACTTTCGTCTGAATGTCCCAGCTCAATTTTCAGCCGTGTTAGGTTATCCTCTATAGAGTGAGTAGCTCAAAATCTGCATATTCTGTTTCTTTTTATTGCACTGGAAAAACTCTGCTTTCACCTTTGAGATATACATTCTGTGAAAAATGTCACTGCCCAAAACTCCTTTCTTTCATGTTCAGTCTAGATTTGTTTAAATAATGTTCAAATCACATTAGTGATAAAGTCAACTAGGGTGTCACCTTGTTTCAATGTTGTGAGTCTCAAAATATTTCTATATTGCACACGATTCAAAATTAATGCACTTGTGGTGCATCAAAGTGTGCACTGAACAAGTAAAAAATGCAATTGTAATTTAAAATGTGGATAAAAAGAGCAGCAAGCATAGCCTGGATTCTAAAATGATAATCGTGGACTTAACTATCAAGACTATATGCCAATGCATCTTTCTTAACCTACCCATGATCCATAAATACTATTTTAAAACATGGAATCTTCCCTGATAATATTACCTGAAACTAAACTTGAACCTCAACCAATTGCCTATTATAATACCAAAAATATATCTCACTAGTTTTCATTTTCTGCGCTTTCAAATAAAATCCATTTTAAAAGAAGGAACATTTTCCTGGGCACTATAAAATGAACTAGTGTTTGATTGTTTCTGTGCATACATGGGTTCAGTTGCTTTTGTTGTTTAATGGTTTTCCACGTCAAGACCAAATCAACTTCATGACTTCCCTGATCTGCCATATGATCTTTGGCCTTTGGATGATACAATTGTTCAAGTTAGTTAATAATAGTGGTCTTGTTCTGAAAAAATATATATAATTTTTAGAAGTCATAACTGGTGAAATTGATACATGTAATCAAGACTGTGTGTATACTGAGAATATTTGGTGAATGTATGGAATTGAAGTTGATGCTCTTGACCTGAAAATAACAACATATGACAATTTAGGACTGCAATCACCCACTGAGTATTGTTTTTCTCTTAGTCTTTGTTGGAATATTAAAGCTTTGATATTCCCAAAATACTTTTTAATACAGTCCCTCTTTCTAAGGACTGTACCTTTAGAGGGACTCTATCACTTTCAAAGGATTGCCTTTGATGGTGATAAACCATTTTCTGATGGTATGTCTGAAATACATTTTATCTGTCCTGCTTATTTTTGACCAGCCAGATGACACTCGAACAAAATCAAAGTGACTAAAATCATGCTTCAGCTTAGGGATAATGAGGGTGTGTTGTGTTCTGCTAATCAGGCTTCGTACAGTTACTGTGAAAGAAACTTGCAACTATCCCCCTTTTTTTTTCTTTTCTTTTTGTTTTTTTTTTTTTGGAGAGGGGTGGGGAAGAGAAAGTGAGTGTTGGGAATCAGTGAAGGGGTTAGACATGCAAGTAACAAGGATGGTTTCTACATTGTACAGTAGAATCAGGCTAACAGTATCACTAAAGGCCTGATCTGGAGGCAGAAGTGGCAGGCAAAGCTTTGTCTCTTTGGTAGCCCCCTCTTTGTGATTAAACGTTTTGCTTTGTAAGGTTTTTGCCCCTTATTCTCCTTTTCATACATGTAAAGAACTTTGCTGTTGCTCCTTTATAGCCTACAGGTAAACTTCTCTTCTAGTGAGAGTATTGACAGGAGATGGCTTATATTCCCCTGTTTTTGTAAGGGGAATATCCTCAGGGTTGGCTTCCTCATTTTTGCTGAAACTAGCTGCACTGAAGGTCTCATAGGATGAGGTCAACTTTTTGTTCAGGAGGTTTCTGTTGCGGTCACCCATGATGGCGGCCTCCCCATTGGCCAGCTTTTCCTGGCTTCCTCGTTCATCAACAGGCATGAAAGTGGACAGTTTAGGCTGGCTCTTCTTCCTCTCCGGAGAAGTGCGGACCGGCATCCAGCAGGAGTCTGAGTGGCCATACTCATCACACTCACGAGTGCACTTCCCAGTCAGGGCTACATCTGGAAGAGGCCTTGAATCTGAAATCCAAGGAGAATAAGCCATTAGTATTTGACACTCCTCAACAGGCTCCCCTGATCTATATGAAATTAGAGGAAATATATAAATATATTCCTTACCATCTTATTTCTCATTTCCCAACACCCTCTAGCTCATCATTCCATAGGACAGTTTTTAATCCCATGTGCATCAAAGATAAGGTTTTGCAAGGACATCCAATATTATAGAACAGGAAAGTAGACAAAATGATACATTTAAGTGTGTAGATGAAACAGATATATGTGTGTTTGTTACAGGACAGGGACATGAGGATGGTCTCAGTTAGAAGCTCTAAATACATAGGTAAATTTGTATGGGTGCTAATATTTTCCACATCCATAAGAAAAATTATTAAATCCAAATAGACAATTTTCTGGATTTATAAATTATCCCAGAAGTGGTGTGCTTTTGCCAATTGGATTTCTTCCTGCTTATACATTATTCATAGAATGCAAATATGCAAAACCTTATATTTAAAATACATTCTAAGACATGGGGTGACTCATAAGTAGAACCTAAATTGACAGCACATTATGTGGTAAAAACTAAAAAGCAAGGAACCAGTAGTTACAGGTATAAGCATACTAGCAATATCACGCACCTGCCCACCCTAGCCCACATCCCCTCACCCCCCTCCTACCATGCCAAATGACCTAATATGTGCTGATGTGTTCACATCAAAATACACAGGCCATCTTATCTGAAATGTAATGTACTGGGTGAATACGGGTAAGTTACTAAACTTTGGATGAACTAGCCTGTACTCTAATTAATGGTGCTGTCCAATGGAATGGGAAATGACTTTTACTTCTAAAAGGCTAAATCATGTACAAAGAATTCTTAGGAAACAAGATTAAAGATGACAGTTAATAATTACCTGTATGTATAATTGAAAGCATGTGTCTGTCTTTGGAGAATGGTTATGTATTTTCTAAATATTAAACATGTTTTTACAGACTTTGTTTGAGAAAGAGAGAATGGGAGAGAGAAAAGCCTGTTCTACTTCAACAGATTCTGAGGCAATAACCTGAAGGGTTTTATTTAAAATGTTTTATTGTTTTTTATTGCCAAACAAAAGAACATAATATGACTGCATTCCAGTTGTTATCACATGGTATCATTTTATTACAAGGCTTGGGACTTAAAGACTGACGAATTTGACCTCTGAAAATATATTTGCAACCAGTGGAATCAGTGAGATGTGCATATGCACAATCCTAGTAGATTCGTTTAAAATAGAAGAGGAAGTTATTTAAATTATTCCCAAGATATGTACACTTTCTGCTTTTGCTTCCACACCCCATCCCCTGTAGTTTAACATTTGTATAGGATATTTTAGACGTTTTACTTGGCTAAATCTCCTAAATGAAGGCTCGCCACTAATGTTTGTCATTTTTTCCTTCAATGATGGGTAACTGAAGTATTGACATTTGTCGGCCCATCGATTATTGAAACAGCGTCCTGGGATTTTTATGCCCTTGACTAAGCGTTAACAAGGAAATTCTAGTGTTCTACACCGGAAATCTAGAATTAGCTGACCCTTTCCTGTAGGTAAAATGTAAGGTTAATTATTTATTCCAGTTGCCGATGCTGCCATTTGACTTACAAGTGAGCAGATTCTCTTAATTTTTTCATCAAAAGAAAAAAGTACTTTCCCACTCATTTTTTTACCCTAAATTGTCTGTTTCTCAAATACGTATCTTAGATGCATTATAATAATCAAATTATTGACAAATTTTATTAGTGGTTTTTGTAATCTAGTTGGTTTAAATGAACAAACTGCAAGTTCTTTGAGAATATTTCCTATTTTGGGATCCTTTTTTCTTTTCTTTTTTTTTTTTTTTTAACCTGACCTAAATGCTTTGAACAGGGGGAAAAAAGGATAGAAATGCAAAGTGTAAGATCAGGTCTGCATTTTACTCAAAATATTTCCTTTTTTTTTTTTCACTGCTTCAACAAATTCAAATTGCTCCTCTTTTCTTATGATAGTGAATAGCAAGGACATGGGAAAATAATCAGGAATTTAGCTTCTAAAATATAAAAAAATCTTTATGAATGTGGTTGTTATTCCCTGCAGAAATGACCCTGAATTGTCTCCAATCATCTCTCCACATTTATGTCTCACACAATATGTCATTTCACTTACACAGTGACTTATACAGGTGGCTGCTTTTCAGGGATTAATTTGTGTTTTTAGTTTGAAATTCATTGCACTTGTTTTCCTGTTGTTTGAGATGCATTATAAACAGCTTGTAATTCTATATTCATGCTCAAACAAGTCTTCTTACTTTTTAACTTGTGTACCTAAACTACCTACAGCTCATAAGAGATTATAATCATTTATTAAATAGATTGACTGAATCTCCAATCAGCTATAAGTGAGATGCTCTTCAGTTCTTTCCTTCAGTCTTTACTTCACAGTCTGGAGTATTTTCTGCCAAAATTGATTTCCTCTATTGCTTTTAACGAAAGGCAGCTTGTCTTCTGTGCCATCATATACATGCAAGCTGCCACATCTCTATCCAAGAAGCATGACTTTTAATAAGGATCTCCTGTCATTTCCAAAGTAAAACACTTGATTGGGGACCACAGAGGAAGTTGACAAGCCTAATTGGCTGAGACATGTTGCAATGTTTGTCATCAAATTTAGAAAAATAATCAAGAAGGGCTATAAGAGATTCATCACAAGCAATCAAAACTTCCAATTTGGTTGACTAAAGTGAATCTTCCAAAGAAATACCAATGATTAACAAATGCAATCTGTATTACGATGCAACTTATTAAAGAAGGGCATGAGTGGAAAAGTATTTTTCTTTGTTTACATATTTTCTTATTTTAATTATGCATGCATATATTATGAATTTTTTCAACACAAAATTTATGCAGGATCTTAGATAAACATCACATGCAATTATTTCTTCTTTCCATAAAAGACATACTTTTAAACTGTCCTATTTTTTTGTGGCATTATAGAGGAAAGCCTTTCACAATTAGTAACTCTTCTTAGTCTTTCACTGAAGGATGTCTTTTCTAACATCTAAGAACATTATTTTATGCTTTAGTACTGTTGTTTTAAATTTTGATCTCAGTGAAGATGGAAGACACTTGATCACAAATCTTAGCTGGCATTGAGTAAATCAATACAAATGAACAACAGGAAAATAAAATAGTATTCTCTGTAAGCATTTTCCACAATAAAGCCAGTTCCTTAGAGAATTTTTTGTTGTTGTTTCTGTATTTCTCAACGCCCGCATACCCCATCAATCATATCAAACCTTGAGAAGACTGGAAGTAAAAAAATGGTATCCATCAAATCCTGTTCTTGCTTAGCATTACTTGTAGAGGTTTCCATTTTAACCAAGTTATGCTATTTACTAGAATCATTGCATCTTATTAGAAAGTTAAGATCCTTTCCTAGACATAAGGTTAATATCTCTCTTGAAAGTAGAGTTTTTTTTCTTTTCTTTTTTTTTTTTTTGAGACAGGATCTCACTCTGTTGCCCAGACTGGAGTGCAGTGGTGCAATCTTGCCTCACCGCAACCTCTGCCTCTCAGGCTCAAGCGATTCTCCTGCCTCAGCCTCCTGAGTAGCTACAGTTATAGGCGCGCACCACTACCACCTGGCTAATTTTTGTATTGTTTCAAAATACAATGGGGTTTCACCATGTTGACCAGGCTGGTCTTGAACTTCTGACCTCAAATGATCCACCTGCCTTGGCCTCCCAAAGTGCTGGGAGAAAGTAACAGTTTTTAAGCCATCAAACTAGCAAACAATCTTAGAACAATTCATAACACATGAAGTACTTCCCACATGAAGTTCATCTCTTTAATTTAGCACCTCAATCATATAGCAAGGAGGATGGAACAGCGAACGGGTCCAAGCTACGGGAGAGCTGAAGCCGAAGAATAAGTGTTTTGACTTTCAATTTACTGTTTTCCCACTACAACCCATTGCTTCTTCTTAAAATATAACAGCTGAGTTATTTAGAGGTCAATGACTGCTACTCATAACCATCTGAACAAGCTACAGTCTGCAGAGAAAGAGAAAAAAAAATCTGAGTAGCACAGGAAATAGATGTCACAGAGTCACAAATTTTACTACTTAGTGAAAAGAATGAAACAACCTCCCTAAAACTATACATTTTGGAAAGTGGAGAAAATTATATGTTTTCTTAAGAAGTCAGATTATCTCTCAAAAACATAGTATTTTTGTTTTTACTAGGCAGGGTAGATGGATGGGTGGTGGGCAGATGCTGCTAGATGCTGTTACAATGACCTCAACAAGAAGTGACAGATAGATAATAGAATCTTTAGAAATAACAAGGAAAGCCCAGGTTTAGAGAGGAATTTCATGTTTCCAGAAGATGCCTTACATAATTCAGAACCCATTAGAGACAAAATTATTATAGGAGAGCACAGTAGACTCATTAAGACTTGAAGACAGTTCTGCACCAGGAAGGATTTTAAGTATGCTGAGTTTTGCATCCTGTCAGAATCCCAGACACTCACTCTACTCCAGGTCCTTGGCTTGAGGCTAGAGATACATGGATCTTTGCATTTGCTGAGAGAAGGTATGAACATGTTATATTTAGTATTAAAATATTTCCAATGAGTTTTCTTAAAGATCAGATATGTAAAACTGTATGTATCATTTATTTGTTTAACTCACATATTATTTAATTTGCTGGCCATGTGAGATAAACGGATTGTTAAGTCAACGTATGGACTTCCCAGATGCCCACACCATTCCTCCAATTTGTTCATTAACATCAAGCTCTGGCATATGATTAACATTACTTGACAAAATCTGCAAAAAAATAAGAAGTATTTTCTTCTTTTTATTTATTTTGTTTTATTTTATTTTATTTTTCGAGAAGGGTCTCGCTCTGTCATCCAGGCTGGAGTGCAGTGGCACGATCTCGGCTCATTGCAACCTCTGCCTCCTGGGTTCAAGCGATTCTCATGTCTCAGCCTCCTGAGTAGCTGGCACTACAGGCATGCACCACCAAACCAGGCTAATTTTTTGTATTTTTAGTAGAGATGAGGTTTGGCCATGTTGGCCAGGCTGGTCTCGAACTCCTGATCTCAAGGGATCTGCCCTCCTCAGCCTGCCAAAGTGCTGGGATTACAGGCGTGAGCCTCTGCTCCCGGCCTGGTATTTCTTTCCTTTAGAGACAAAATAACAAAACAACACAAAACAAAACCACATGCAGGAACTTTTTCCTTTTTTCCTTTTTAAAGTGTTTGGTTTTCTTTCTATGTTTCTTGACTTCCCTCTACACAAAGACTTATTTTTTCTAGAAGCACACTTAAATGCTAGTGAAATTTGGTGGACTTACAAAAGGTTTTACAAAAGGGTAAACAAGAAAAACAAAAGATCAGTGAAAAATGTTTTACAACAAATGTTTTAACATTCCCTTCACTGTCATTAGTCTAAATGAAAATATCTTTTACTCAAATGATTAAATAAATGCTTTATTTTAAAATACCTGTTAGAAAATTGTTTACTTTTATTTTATATGATAGGGCTGAGAAAAAAATAATTAAATGCTGGTTAACCAAAACTTTTTTTTGGATGATTATTATCATAGTTAATAAAGATTGGAGGTGAGGAGACAAGATCCAAAAGATGCACAAGTGAGTTGGACTTGGCTTTTTCACGTAAATAACTAAAATATCCCTGCCTTTTGCCGGTTTGGGGAATTTAGGAAGACTGGACAGGCAAACACATCACAGTTCACGGTCAGGGCGGGAATCACTGACTCAGACCAGCAGTTTGTGATCCTCTAAATGTAGGAACACTTTCTGGAAGAGGAGAAATTTATAGTTATCTAAGTAAGTGTCACTCTGGCCACAAAAAGGCCATTAAGATTTCCAAAGAGTTTTTTAATTTATTACAGGATCACTTGATTTAACCAAAATAGAAGAGTATAGGAACACTGGCTAATCAATCAATCCTTGCTGTGGCATCATCTGTACCATTCCTGGGCCCTTCCTGCAAAGAGCAATGAACTTTTAAAAAGAGCAGGAGATTTAGAGTCCCAGTATTGCTCAGTGTGATTCCAGGCTCAACCACGTAGAAGCTGTGTGACTTCTGACATAATTTTTCTGAGCTTCAAGTTCCTTATATGTGAGATAATAATACCTACTCCCCCATTTATTGTGGGATAAAAGAGTTAATGTCTATACAGCTCGTAATATGGTCCTGGCTGCCGTGTAGGTGTTCAGTAAATAGTAGGTCATAGCCCCTGGAGAGATTTAAGGAGGTAGAGATTTTTTCCTCTCTGAAGTCTTCCAGGAATAAAAAGGATATTGTTTAAGAGAACAGGCTCAGTAGCCAGGTGATCTAGATTCACATTCTAACTTTGTCACTTCACAGCTGTATAAATGTGGACAAGTTCCTTGATTTTAGTTTCCTCATCTGTGTAATAAATGTTTAAGAATGTATTAATTTCTTAGAATTACTGTGAGAATTGAATGTGTTAATATATATAAAGTACCTATAATAATTTTTGACATGCAGTAAGCCCTCAATAAATATTACTTGCTTCAGGTGCACAATCCCTAATCCAAATTCAGTCTTCAAAATATCTTAGGAAAACAAAAGGATCTTGTTCCCCCTTCATAAGTTTACAACGAACCTGATATGAATTAATGCAAGGCTATTTGCATCTTTTTTGTCTCACTTAGTGTGAATATTCATATGTTTTACTATAGAAATAATGTGTTTAATTAAAAGCATGGCCTTAGACTTTTAGATTTTTAAAATAATATATGACACATGCATAACATATAACGTCTTATAACATATGAAGGATTCCAAATTTTGAAATGTATCTGGCTCCAAGGGTTTCAGATAATTTATTATGGAATAAATACCAATTGTCAAGCAAATGGGTACCTATTTTCAGTTAGTTTTCTAGTAGTGCTAATGGATTTATGCTGATAGAGTCTGTGATACACAGAGCTACTATCTATCTAGAGACATACGCTGGCCACTGGATCCTGGTTACTCCACATTAGGCATCCTCCTACTACTTTTCTATTAGGAGTTTGCCAAAGATTTATTCATCACGTGTCATGGTTGCTCAAAATTCAAGGGCAAATGATGTATTATTTGGAGTTATCTTTACAACCTCACAGATCAACCTCACGATTAATGATTTCACTTGAAACTTGCCCCTAAGATACTAGGTTGCCAGCGTGCTATCTTGCTTTGCTTGCATGGGCAGCACGAGGAGCAGCTCCATTAAAAGATGGGTCAAAATTAGCAATACATTATTTTAAGAATGAGAAATTGAAAATCAGGACAAGACAACCTAAACACAGGGTAAATACCTAAAATGCACCATACATCAAAAATCATAAAACAAAACAGCCATTCAGCATGAGCTATGAAGATTTCATGATGCATGGACATGAAATTCTTCCAGTCTCCCTACACATACCCACTTTGGAATGTGACATTACTACTCTTACTGTCGATTTTGCATCCCTTGAAGCTGGACTAGTGTTGACAACCAGAATGTGGCAGAAGTGATACTGTGCTATTTTCAGCCCAGCTATTAAGAGGTCACAACTTTGCATTCACCTTTAGAACTTTGGGATCACCATCCTGAGAGAAAGCATGGTCTAGCCTCTTTGCAGATGGAACCCCACTTGAGACAGAGACCCAGCTGACCCAGCAAAGTCTATCCTAGTCAGTTCTCCAGGTGAATGCAGTCATATGAGTGAGCCAGGCAGAACATGAAAAACCATGTAGTCAATCCACAGAAATGTGAGAAGTAATTGATCTTTGTTGTTTGAAGCCACTAAGTTATGTTTGTGTGTTTGTTTGTTTTGAGGAAATAGTTCATTGACAAAGCAATAGGCCCCTGAAATAATGATCATAGATATATTATGCTATGTGCAATAAATTAACTGTTCCAAGCAATAACCCAGGATCTAACAACAATACATTCTACTTCTTTTTTGTTTGTTTGTTTTTTGTTTTTTGAGATGGAGTCTAGCTCTGTCACCAGGTTGGAGTGCAGTGGCACAATCTTGGCTCACTGCAACCTCCACCTCCCGGGTTCTAGCAGTTCTCCTGCCTCAGCCTCCTGAGTAGCTGGGATTACAGGGATGTACCCCCATGCCCAGCTAATTTGTGTGTTTTTAGTAGAGACGGGGTTTCATCATGTTGGCCAGGATGGTCTCGATCTCCTGACCTCATGATCCCCCAACCTCGGCCTTCCAAAGTGCTGGGATTACAGGCATGAGCCACCGTGCCTGGCCCATTCTACTTCTTTTATATCTCCTCATCATGGATAATAGACTGACCAATATCACTGCAAGTACAATGCTTATAACAGAACATTTTCAGAGATATAAGCACATTTAATTAAGAAGTTCAAGTAGAGAGCTACTATCTAAACCTTTAGAAATTCTGGTCCTTTAATTACAGGATTTCACTGTGTTATACCTAGGAGTGCTCTAGTTCAAGCTGACATGCCAAGACAATATTAAAATGTTTAAACATGTCTGAAAGCATCAGCAACTTTTCTTTGTACCTTAGGCTAAACTCAAACAGCAATTGAATGTATCTCAAGAAGCATTTACTGCCCTTAGGCTTAGACCACTGTCATTCTGAATGTGGCATTATTATATAGAGTGGAGATTCTGTACGCCACATCTCAAGCAGTCTTGCTGAATCAACTCAAACATGAATCTGCTGGCTGGCACATGAAAACTGCACTACAGCAGAAAAATGTGCGAGGACTGCTTAGGAGCGATCAATTTATGCACATCAGAGATGTGGCTTCACTTTGGTTCTCCTCTTTACCCATGCGGAGTTAGAGACAGCAGCGGTACTCATGTGAAGGAGCAGCGTGGAGAGGAAATAACTGCTGCAAATGAGATGATTCACTGATATAGATAAAGAGAATTTATAAAACCCAGGAACAGACAGGGGCATATATTCCACAATAACCAATTGATTATCCCACTAAGAATAGACCCAATTCTTGGTCATTCATGTTTACTTTTTCACTGAAATAATCATAGCTTTCATAATTTTCCTTCTTGTCCCTTGGATTTTCCTATATTCAAAATTACTTGCTCGGGAATTATATACTTTAATAATTTGTTGAAAACTAAAAGTACTGTCTCCTCACATAAATGCAAATATGTACCCACAAAATTTTGCATGGTTTCTGTGGGGTTCAAGATACCTGAATTAGAGTCTCAGAATAGTTCCAACATCCAGGTGAATGAGAAAAAGACAGTGTGTTTTCACACCTAGACCTTTTTTCCCCATTGAGTTAGAATCAAAGTCAAAAATGTTTAAAAATTCAGCACCTGTCCTCAACAAGCAGAAATTACATGTGGTAAATAAACTGCCATTCAGTGACACAAAGATTTAAAACAAACAAATTATAAAACTCATATTTAGAAGAAAAGAAAACAGGTATGATTATGTCAATATTTTAGGTAAGTTCTTTGGAGGCCCAAATCCAAAAATCCTAATAATCTGCAAGATTCTGTTTAAATAGAAAATTGATTCTTGGGAATGGATTTAACTGATTGCTGATCACCAACCTGAAAAAACTTGTCTTCTTTCCTACAATCCATGTTCAACATTTGCTTCAAACCAGTGTCTTGAATTGCCAGCAACTGAATCTTTGTTTATTTGTCATAAGAAGTAAAATCAGTTCTTGTTATCACAGAAGTCCAAATAAGAACAATAATGATGCAAATGGGGCACTGTTTATAAGTTAATAGAATTTGTTAGCTACTTTACAATGATAATGATTTTACTAGAAAGTGTATTGGTGTGGTACTAAAACAGTTGTAAGTATCAATTTAGAGCCACTTCATTTTAATGGTCTCAAATTATCAAATTTTACATCATAACTAGGTAATTATCATATGGCAGTATGATCTTTTTACTCATTAGTTCTGTAACTGGATTATTAACTAAATGTTTATTATTGATGATAAAGTTGTAGAATGTATATTCTATGATAAATATTAATATTGCCTTCAGGAATGGATGTTTACTTTAAAAATAGTACATAAAGTCTCCTTTAACTGTAAGAATATCACCTTTGGGTTGTAATCTTGAAGGAAGCGCTCATTTTATCTTTGCTATCCCCCATGACATATACTTTTACACAAATAAAAAGATGGGGGAAAAATGAGAATTGAAAAAATGTAATAGATATTTTCTTAAACTCTCTTTTCTTCCATATAAACCATGATAAAGCATTTCTAAAAGTAAATGAGAAGAAATAGCCTCTGCAATAAGCAGTTCTTATTAAAATACTTAATGAGTACAAATATGTTAAATCGAATTAATTCAGTTGTAGGGGATGTCTTAAGAAAGAAAGTATCACTACAGTAGACATCATGTGATATGAGGTATTTCCATGTGTTATTTTCTATTTATTATTTTATGTGAAAATCTAAAATGAATCACATTGAAGTTCAAATCATATTTGAAGTAGAATTGAAAGGTGATTACTTTTTGCACAGGGACAAATCACAGCAATTTAGATTTATTGAAGTAATCCTAATTTTTTTAATGTAATAAATATGACACCCATGCATTTTTCTTTCCTGTAGTCATCATGAGAAACTATACAGTTATTCTAATAACATGGCTATTTTCAAATCATATTCAAAGATAATATATTCAAATCATATTCTCAAACTCTTTGCTTGGGATTGCCTATTGAAACATTTCAGAAATCACACAGAAAAGCTTATTGGATTGGAACTACTCTTTTAATAACAAGCTGTGTTGTAATAGAATTTCATTAGTGATTGTGATTTGAGAGAAAGACAAAATTTCAACCTCTGAGGAAGGTTTCAAGCAAACATTGAGTTCTGAAATACTGTTAAGGGATGAAGATCTGGGAGCTTTTGTTAGGAGCTGAAAAACCATTCATGGGAAGAGTTTTAAACATTTGAAATGCTGGCTCCTTACTCTGATCAATAAGCTGATCAGTTGAAAGTAAAATTGGCAATCACAATTAGGAGCAAAAGAGTGTTGAAGAGCTCAGGAGTGCAGAGCAGGTAAATAAAAGGAAAAGGAAGAAAATGATCTCTGGTGACCAGCAAACAAAACTCAATGATCAGATAAAAAGGGGAGAAATCAATGAAGCAACACTGGATCAGTTTACTTCATTGATTTTCCCTGCTCATTGACATGTTTTCCTTTATTTACTGCCTATTACTTTGGAGAGTGGCAAAATCTCACTGTTAAACCTCCCGGGGAGCCTGTGATGCACGGAGAAGCAAGCTCTGGAGATCCCCTCATGCCAACATTATGCCTTCTCAGGCTGCATGGATTTAGAGGCAGTCTCAGTGCTCCCTGTGTTGGGGCAGGAGCTGCTCTGCGCATTCACTCTTACAACCTCTCTTGGTAGGCAGAATAATGGTCCCCTCCAAAAATGTATGCATCCTAATCTGTGGAACTGTGCATATGTTAGGTAACATGGTAAAGGGGAATGAAGGTTTCAGGTGACATTGCTATCTGAAACCTTCATTCCCCTTTGCCATGGTTGCTAATAAACTAACCTTAACATAGGGAGATTATACTGGATGACCTGACTCAGCCATTTTTTAATCACAGGGCTTCTTAGAAGTGGAAGTGGGAGACAGAAGAAAAGCCCATGTAAGAATAAAGTGATGTGAGAAAGACTGCACTTGTCATTGCCAGCTTTGAAGATGGAAAAGGAATGTAGGCATGCTCCAGAAACAGGAAGAGGCAAGGAAGCGGATTCTCCCCTTGAGCCTCTAGAAAGGGAATACAGCTTTGCTGAGATTTTGATTTTAGCTCTGGCAGATTTATGTCAGACTTCTGGTCTATAGGATTTAAATAAATTTTCATTGCCTTAAGACTCTAAGTTTGTAGTTATTGTTTATAGCTACAATGGGAACCTTAAACACATTCCCAATTCTCTGGTTGCAGTAGGGTTAGTATAGACTTGCTGCATTTGTGCTTTGTACCTATATTTCATCCATTAAAAGATATGGAGTGGAAAAACTGATTTTTATTTCCCATTGAGTCATGCGTACCTAATTTTTTAGAATACACTAAAGAATTTTCATTTTGCAGTTTTGAAAATTCTACTTCACTCTAGTATCCAACTGTCCGTATTATTTGTATATGATCAATCAACACACCTTAAATTATTTTTGTTCAGTAAAGTACAAACAGCTCACCTTTCTGGGTGATCATATTTTCCTTTCTCTACCCCTTAGTGATAGCTGCCTCTGGCACTATAATCAAAGGAATCATTTTAAGTCATTCTAAATTTGGGTAATGTAATTCCCAAGAAGAGAAGAGAATTTGACGTAACATCTAAGAAGCAGTGTCAGGTACCAGGGCACAACTCTAATAAATACTTTATAGGATTTATGGCATTTTTGTGATTTCTGATGTTTATTATTTGTTCATCACTTATTTTTTGTTGTTGTTTTCTTTAACCTGTTTCCCTCCTAGTGATTAGCAGAAAACTGTACCTAATAAAAAAAAAATTGTGGCCTGTTATGGTGGCTCGTGACTGTAATCCCAACACTTTGGGAGGCCGAGGTGGGTGGATCACCTGAGGTCAGGAGTTTGAGACCAGCCTGGCCAACATAATGAAACCCTGTCTCTACTAAAATACAAAATTTATCTGGGTGTGGTGGCACCTGTAATCCCAGCTACTCAGGAGGCCGAGGCCGGAGAATCACTTGAACCTGGGATGTGGAGGTTGCAGTGAGCCGAGATTGCACCATTACATTCCAATCCAGCCTGGGAGACAGAGCCAGACTCCTTCTCAATAATAATAATAATAACAAAATTTAAAGAAAATAATTTCATGATTATTTTAGGAATTGTAAGTAGAATAACAAGTCTGTTCCTAGTTTAAAACTCTCCTCCATAAACTTCAGTATAAATCACAAACCCCTTATTTTAGCACAAAAGAGCCTTTCGGATCTCACATGTTGCCATTTGCCACTTCCACAGACCTAAGGTAGGTATCATTTCTGGAAAGCCTCATGTTGTTCAATGTATTCATGATATTAATGTGTTTCTTCTGCTATTCCTTGACTTGTTATCTGTCTCTCATGAGTCCTTCAAAACAGTGTTCCAAGGCATCTCGTTCAAGATTTCTTCTGGATAGCCTGTGGAATTTTGATTCCTCATTGCCAGTTTGGTCTTCATCCTATGCCTACCTCTTCTTAGCACTTAATGTCTGGCACTGAAGTCTGCTACCTATTCATATGACCTTTTCTGTAAATATCACTCTCTATGGGCAGGGTAAGCTGTTCAAGTACATACTTTGAATCCTAGGACCATTCCAGTCCCATGCTCATTAAGGGCCTGTTGAATGGTTGAATGAAGGATATAGCAGGGAGACAGATTACCTGTCATCCCTGATGATTATATCTACCTTCACAATGGCCACAGGTAGAATTATTAGCAAGATATCTGTTAATCCTAAATGCAATGTCACTGGCCAAGCTGAGAAAGCAATGTGGCTTTTGCTTTTTTGTTTGGTATTTGCTGATCTGAATGAACTTCACCACTCACTCTCCTCATCCCCTTTTAGGACCTGTCCTATAACCTTTTTAGTTGAGATTTTCTTTCTAACAGAACAATGTAGTCAATGGGAATAACCCATGGAAGTGTTTTATAACACAAAATGCAGTCTTCAAACCCAGCCTAGGGAGCAGGGTGCTGTCAGTAGAGTCAGTAGAGGCTGCTAAGAAGAAGTCCAATGGGAAAATTCTATATTTAGTGGTCACAAGGAAATACACATGAACTAACCTGTTAAGCTTCTTTGCTTATGGATAATAGCTATTTTATAGTTATTTTAGCGTTGTCACGACTTCTAGTTGGCAGTTATACATGTCTTTTAAGAATAAACTTGGGAGATAATATTTATTATTGTCTCATGCACAGCTCATTCCATAGATGAAAATTTTCAAAACACAGATGAAATGTTTCTGATAGAAGAGATGAATAGCAGAAGGCTCTCTTCTCCCATCCTTGTAACTGAGGGCATTGTGATAAGAACTACTGTAGGCAATGTGCCAACCTAATACAGTTTGACAAATTTTATCTGCCTCATGGTAGTAACCTGATGAATACATTTAAAATGGGTATAATCATGGACAGTTTAGATCAGTGCTTTTCAACTGAGCGCCATGACCCATGAGATGGTGACTGAATCCATTTAAGGAGCTCTAACCAGCTTTACATGAAGTTCAGGTTACTTAAAGAAGATTTTGTTTCAGACTTTTATATGTGTGTCCGTGTGTGTGTGTGTGTGTATATATGTATATGTGCATACATATATATGTGTATATATATACACATATATACATATATATGCATATATATACACACACATATATACATATGTATGCATATGTGCATACATATATATATGTATATATATACACATGGACACACATATATATGCACACACATATAGGTACTTGATCACTGTGAAAAATGAATTTCTTATTTTGAGTCACACTGAAAAAGCTTGAAAGCCTCTATAATTTAATCATATTATATGGAAATTGGTGTATTTTGGCTATTTCTGTGTAAACTGTATGTTATCCTATGACATTTGCTATAGCATAATATAATTTTAATATGCACACAATGTCATCTGAATTTTAAATTTTACTTTTAGCTGTCATTTCAAATTACTTCAGAGACTAAAGTTTTATTCTTATTAAAAATAATTCAGATAACTCAAAGAATAAGAGTTAGTTACATCCTCAACAACCACTTCAGGAAATCTAATGTAAATATAGTTTCTTACCTTGAGATATTCTGAATTTACACTTAATTCCCTAGATTTCAATTTTCTAGAATTAGGTGTAATTGTGATGAACCTACTCATAATTCACTTAAATCTTCTGGTAGACTTTCATTTATTTCAATCAACAAAATGGCAACAGACCCTTTAAAAAAGGAGGATTTAATGTGACTTCTTAAAGTCATATAGACATTAAGATGTAGGACACATTCAAGCTATCTAATTGTACTGCTGGTCTAATGCCTAAGTATTAATCTGTCACAATGTCAAATTACATACATTTAGGCTTCTTCTTTAGTTAAACGTGTCTGCGCTTAACAAACTCATAGTGTAAAAAAATCAGGAGTGTAATTAGAATGTCATCTTTCCCATAGATGACTTAAGAAAAGCGTGAGTCAGAGCTTAACAGTCAATATAATTTCATAGATAATCATGGCAAAATTACGGTACTGCAACAATTTGAAGGGAGTACAGTGAGTGAGACTAGCAGACAGTGATGATCAACTATTCGTCTCCACCATCTGCCACACATGCTCTTTATTTAAGTCTCTCTTTTTTGTTTTTGTTTTTGCCAATATTTTCAGGTTTGACTTTGCCAGAAGTGGGTATCACATAGGAGAGCAGATTTCATGGTGTAAACAGATTTTCCCATGTGAGCAATGAATTCACTTCACTGGCTATTCTGCAGTTCTTAGGCAAAGAAGACTGGCTGCAGGGAATTAATTTCTGCAAGTCTTTGTGTATTGGCCAGTGTCTTGTACAATTCAAATAAATCAATCCTATCAGAAACAAATAGATAAAATTACAGGCATTGTTAGCAATAGAAATCATCACTAAAGAGAGTTTTCCTTTAAATGGCACACTTAAAATTTATGTGAACTATATTAACCATTTGGTGGTACTTTGTGAATACTAAAGTGAATCATCAGATGGACAAAACTGGCAATCTCTGCTTTCTAATTTGTCATCTTTCCCTGTTCCGCAAATAAGCCAAGGACTAGTGGAATTGAGATTTGCTAAGGCAGGACATAAAATCTCGGGGAAAATTCCAAGATGAAGAAGAAATAAGAAGAAATGGACTTAACTGCACAAAACTGGCAAGAAGTTTCCAGGATTAAGGAAGATGAGTCCCACTATTGTAGTACTATAACCTCCAAAACTATATTTATTCATACATTCAATAAATTGCCTGCGTGAGGTGGCTCAGGCCTGTAATCCCAGCACCTTGAGAGGCTGAGGTGAGCAGATCGCTTAAGGCCAGGAGTTCGAGACCAGCCTGGCCAACATGGCAAAACCCCCTATCTACTAAAAAGAAAATAAAAAAATAGCTGGGTATAATGGTGTGCACCTGTAATCCTAGCTACACAGGAGGCTGAGGCGTGAGAATCTCTTGAACCCAGGCAGCAGGGGCATGAGAATCTCTTGAACCCAGGAGGCAGAGGTTGCAGTGAGCCAAGATTACGCCACTGCACTCCAGCCTGGATGACAGAGATTCTGTATCAAAAAAAAAAAAAAAAAAAGAAAGGATATGTCAAGCACTGTTCTAAGAAATAGACTAGTTGTATATTACTCCACTTTACAGATGAGGAAGCTATGGCACAAAGAAGTTAAGTGAGTTACCCAAGAGCTTGCATCTGCTGAGTGGCAGAATTAGGTTACACACCCAAGTAGTCTGATGCCAGACCTGTGCCCTTAATCACAATATTATACAACATCTTGATCCACAAGACATAAATGTACAGATAATTCTTGACTTACAATGAGGTTATGGCTCAATAAATCCACTGCAAATTGAAAATATCATTAAGTTAAAAATGTATGTAATACTACTAACCTACTGAATATCATAGCTTAGCCAAGCCTAGGCTGAAGGTGCTCAGAACATTAGCCTGCAGTTGAGCAAACTCATCTGACAACACAGTGCACTGTGAGTATCAGTTGTTCACCCTTGAGATCCTCTGGATGACCAGGAAGTATGGCTCACTGCCACTTCCTAGCATCACGAGAGATTATTGTACTGAATGTCATTAGCCTGGGAAAAGATAAAAGATAAAAATTCAAAAATTGAACTGCGTTTTCTACAGAATGCATATCACTTGCACACTATCATAAAGTCCAAAAATCATATGCCAAACCATCATATGCCAGGGGCAGTCTGTACTATAAACTCAGAAAGAAAAAAATCTTCTTTGTCTAAGCTGAATCAAAGCAGAAAAATACTCCTCTATATGTGGAAGAAGAAAGCTGTGAAAAGTAGCATCTCTGGATGTCAGATATAGTGGTAACTACAAAAGTCTTAGCTTTAAATAAGAGGGACATTTTTAGCTTGGACAGATAGAAAGGTGACAACTTGAGAGTGTGTGTTGGGAAGATTCCAGGGCCAAACCACACTCGGATGTGACTGTTGGTGTCCAACCTGTTTTTCCTGGAGGTTTTCTCCCACAGCTGTCCCTCAGTTGGTCCTTGAATGAGATGGAAAATTTTGTATCCAAGTCAAAATAGACAAAATTACTGTGTTGGTAAAAAGCCTCAAATTTCCACTATCATTAAAGCCATATTCAGCTAAAAAAAACAGGTTTATCTTCACGGGATAGGTCTATTTTAGATCCTACATGGCAAGAAGACCACTCATTTATGAGGTTTTGGATTATTGTCATTTCACAGAAAGAAAAGCCATGTTTGGAAACCACAGCATGCTGGGCCAAACTAAGAATGGGAGATGCTGAACCACTCCTTGGCGAATTAGATGTGAGAAGCAGAAATAAATGCTTAACAACAGAAAAAAGGAGTATGATTTGGACAGTTATTTCTGGCAAACAAAGCATCAAAGAGATTATGTAGGATATATTAATCACAATTGGGTTTCTTCTATTGGAAAAGAATGTACAGATTTCTTAAGAGAAAATGAACACAAAGCACTATTTCAGCTGTGCTTCACCAACTTGACTTACTACATTAATCAAGTAATTGGATAATATCTGAAATTTTAGTTTATTTTGGTTGTACGGTCACAATCCATAAATCTAATAAATAATCTGTAGGAATGGGGAAAAGCTATGTATATGAAAAGACAGTGAGGTAAGAAGGTAGTAGAGCACTCAAGTACATTCCTATACCTAGTAATTTTAATAATTGTATCTTGGAGCACAAAGGCCAAGGAACCATGCATGGTGTAATCTTTCACTTTCACTTGTGATTTAGAGAAATCAATGAATCGGGGTGGTTAACACTCAGGTATCTGAACAAAGGAAGTCTGCTTTGAGTCCACATTCTGCCACTTATCAACTATGTTCTTTAGCAAGTGATTTAAATCTGAGTCTATCTCATTGGGTTGTTCTGAGAAGTAAATGAGAAAATGCACATTGAGTGCTTAGCATTATGGTATACACATAGAAGCACCTAATATATTCTCTGCTGTTATCACTACTGATATAGACAGGAGGCAGGCAAATACTGCGTAGAAGAGTGCAAGGTCCCTGGTGAGGGCTCCACCCTCGAGGCTGGACTCACGGCCCTAATGAGAACCTGTATTCCTTTTCTCCTGCTCGAATGTTGCCTTTTCCAAAACCACCCTGGCCCGTCACACCGCCTCACCCTGTACCCATAAAAACCCCAAGCTCCACTGGCAGAAAAGCAGAGTGGCATGGCAGAGAAGGAAAGAAGAGAAGAAGCATCTGGACGTTGAGAGGAGAAGAGGCAGCTGGACATTGGAGACTAAGGTTGGAGAGAAGTTCGGCTGGGGATGGATGAAGAGGAGTTTGGCTGGGGACGGTTGGAGAGGAGTTTGTCCTCCTCTCCGAACTCTTCTCCCTCCATCCTCTTTCCAGACCCCCATCACACTGAGAGCCACTTCCATTGCTCCATAAAATCCTCTGCATACACCACCCTTCAATCTGTTCGTGGGACCTGGTTCTTCCTGGACGCTGGACAAGAATTATGGGTGCACTGGGTGTGGGAATCCAAAAAGGCTGTGACACTGATTCTTCACTGAGCTGTTTAACACTTAAGCCATCCGTGAACAGCAAAGCTAAAAGAGCACTGTTTGTAACACACACCCTCTGGGGCTCCAGAGGTCATGGGCAACCTTTAGATGCTGCCATGGGCCAGTATGGGTTTCATTCCTGTTGGCGCCCAAAGGCACTTGCCCTGGCTCTTGCACCCGGTTACCTGCATGCTTTTCCTCCCGCAAGGGGTTTGAGCACAGTGGCAGCTGAGTAAACAAGCCACCCCTTTCAGAAGTCCAAGGGGGTCAAGTGATCTCTCCCATCTCACTACTATTGCTTTAACTACTATTCTACGTATTCTTTCTCCCACACATATTTGATAGATAGAATATTGATTCTTAAGTATCGAATATTGATTCTTAATTATATATTTTTACTTAATACCCTCTTTCCTGGCAAAAATTAAAGGTGTCAAAACCTTAAATTTGTTATGTTTACCAATAAGAAAATGAAAGATTAGAGATTCATGTTTTTTTGTTATAAATTTATAGTACCAAATACATTTCTTTTAAATAAACCCCCAGAAAAGTGGCTTAAAAAGGTACATTTTAGTGTTGCTTATCTTAAAAGTATTAAAATTAACAAATATTAAAATGCACATTGTAAGAAGCTTAGAAAAATAATTATAAAATAATTTAATTTCAAAGATTAGGTGTACAAAAGTTAATGATTTTCTGACAGTTGGCATTGTATTTTATAATTACTAGCTATTCAAAGTTAACTGAAACTTAATCTTTTGTGACTTGCAGATATATAATAATAAAGGTTATAAATAATAATTAGTACTCTGTCATCTACTTAACTAGGTATAATCTCTCATTTCCCCCAAAGAAACAATTTTTATATAATTGCTATTTTATATATTTTCGAATCATATTTTTTTTACTGCTTAAATCCCAATTTACTTAAAAAAAAGGGACATTAAAAGAAGGTAAAATTGAGAAAATTAAAGAGAATGTTTGTCTTCAACACGCTATCATCTCTACCCTACACTTAGATGGACTTTACAAGTATATCAGCATTTGAAAAAAAAAATAATTTGAAGAATCTTTAAACAGATTAGAAAGTATAAAAGGTACAGTATTTCAGTAAATGTGCATTAAATAACCTTCAAAAAGAGGGGGAAAAGTTAGAAAACAGCTTCCTGCTCTGCATGTTAAGTAGGCTAAACAATGCACAGCTTAAGTGCAAAAGCAAGAGAATTAAAAGGGAAAACAAATATCTTGAGAAGACTTGTCTTTTAAAGTAACTGTCAGTGAAAACTTGCTTCTCTGAAAAAAAAGCTAGCAATGACTTATGAGATTTATTTATCCTTTAGGCTGGATTAAGTAGTGTCATTTAACTATTAAAAATGTCCAGTCAAAGTGAGGACTAATTATCAGCCCATGATATACCTACATGGCTTCCAAAGAGCACGTGGGGATTTGGTGTGATTAAATATATTTAGAATTGCAGTCAGATTCAGGATTCAGAATAAGATGATCTAAGAAGTATCTGATGAGTTATATATTATTCATGAAATTTGGAAAACAGTACAATATGCTGCTCACGGTGTGTCCAGATAGTTATGGCTAAATATTCCAAAATAGTCATCATCAGACTTGCTTTTGCTTCTTTTGGGGAAAAAAAAAATAAAATCTCCGAAAACTTCTGGCTACATTGTGATTCAGATGTAATAATGATTCTGTTGAATACTTAACTCCAGCGCTACTAACCAACAAGGAGAAGCACCATGAAGTTTTTCCTCCTGAGCAAGATATAATAAAATCTGCTACCTTGTAGATAACTAAAGAGACCCACATATTTTTTTTCTTCCTACAAAATGGAACTCCTTACAGATGAATCACCAAGTTACTATCATTATGCTAAATTAGGTTATTTTAAACTAAGTTGGAGTAACTTAAAACAAATAAATTTTTATGAGAGACGCGTTTTCTTCTACCACTGAGCTGTTTTTAAATGTTCAAACTTGTTCTTATTTGGACATTGGGAGTGCTTATCTATACATACAGAAAGCTAACAAGAACTACAAATTCTCAACTAGTAATCATATTTTCCTGATTGTATATAAAAAGATACAGGAACATAAAAAGTCCACAAAGATAAAATGTCTCTGATGTCCAAGTATCCACAGATTATTATACTGCTGCTTGCAGCAAGGCACAGGATATCGGACTTAAATAAATAAGTTATTCTTAAATTAATTATTCTTAAATTTATAAGCAAACATTTACAGATGAAACTCTTCTAATTTGTATCTCTACAGTTAAGGAAGCAAATTATAGCCACTGATATTTTTCTTACACTTCCTTCCTTCCTAATGATTTTCTGTTATTAAAAAGATAGATAATTTATATATGCTACCTCCTCTCCTCAAAATTGGTCTTAAGTGAATATTGTATTCAACCTAAATCAAGTTTGGTTAAACATGTCTTTTTTTCTCTTGCAGCACCTGGATGTAAAAATGAAGACAATGTGCAAAGGATGTATCAGCCCCAAAACATCTCTTTATCTTTACAGCGACCTGTGAATAATGAACATGTACTGATTACATCCAGCACACCAGCGTTAATTAAGATAAATGGCTAAGTTATCATTATGAGTGGCATGCATTTATCCACCTAAAGGTAAGGATAGCTTTGGGCACACAAAAAGCTATGTAAGTGTAAGCTATCATCATTACCATAATCATCATCATGGGAATTGATTATTCCATGCCTGGCACAATTGAAGGCATCTTCTTTATTGAATGAAGAAGAGAAACAGGCAAGTGTTGTATTCATTTCCCAGAGGGTTAAAAATAAGAAACAGATACCAAATGATTTGTTCAACTAGCTAATCTAGACAGTGAAAGAGGTAAAAGGATTTGGCTAAACTAGGGCCCCCGGAGTAACCATACCTGCTTTCTAATCCTGACATTCACCTATGGGTTTATGCAAGTTAATTACCCTTGCTTAGCCACTGCATCTTTATTTGCTTGGTTGGACATTGCAGCGAACAAATGAGATTCTGCACCTCAAATTTCTAGATATACTTACTTAAGTGGTTTTCAATAAATATGAATTTAAGAAAGGGAAGAAGGAGGAAATAAAATAAGGAAAGCTGGATCCTGATTTTATCATCTCCTCTTTCCATTATACCTAATTTTCAGTGAACATACAGGAGATGTAACATACAGATTGACCAAAAAAAAAAAAAAAAGAAAAAAATAGAAAGAAAAACAACGAAAGACAAGACTGAAAGGAAAAAAAAAATGGAGGAAGCTTGAGGAAGAAAATAAAAAGAGGAAAGGAATGGAAAAAAGAAGAATTTAAAAAACCAAGAAGGAAGGGAGGAAAAAATAAAAGAAATAGGGATGAACAGGAAAGGAAGAAAGAATGGAAAGATGTATAAGGGAAGTAAGAAGAGGGAAATGGGAGAAAAAACAGGAAGGAAAAAATAAAATAGAGAAAGGTAATGAGTTTCTTAATTCGATATGTGACTTGTAGAATAATTTATATTTGCCATTGACTTTGTTACAGCGGGTAGCTAGTCAGACACGAACAGGGCAGGAGACAGCCCTCACACCCCACCAGGAAAGTCAGGTGACCATCAGGTGATGGTCAGGTAGTTGTCACACTGCCTCTCTAAAATAATAATTGGTCGCAGCCAGCACCAGGAAAAGGCATTTACCTATAGATGGAAAAAAAAAAAACCTGAAACTGGTGACCAGTAGCTTTCTGATAAGATCTGTGGACTTAGGCGAGTGGGCCCACACACACGCACTAAGAGGGAAAATGGCAGAATTTAACTGGCGTAAGACCTTCTGGCACAGTCCACTGGAAAAGGGAAGAATGCCTCAGGTTCTTCTGGAGCATGTGTATAACTCCAGTACACACACTGCATGTGCTCGCCTCCCAAGCACTAGCAAACCATTGCACATGTGGATAACCCACACTGAAAGAATCCAGGGGTAAAGGACACAAGACCCCATAAGAATGCCGACATATAAAACCTCATGTCAAAAGGTCGAACTCCAGCATTTGTCCTTCAAGTCGCCTGCTTGGGTCTCTTTCAAGTATACTTTTCTTCCTTTCGTTCCTGCTCTAAAGCTTTTTAATAAACTTTCACTCCTGCTCTAAAACTTGTCTCAGTCACTTCTTCTGCCTTATGCCCCTGAGTCAAATTCTTTCTTCTGAGGAAGCAAGAATTGAGGTTGCTGCAGACCCATATGGATTTGCAGTTGGTAAAAACTTTATATAGATTTTCAGCTCTGCCTTAAGGTAAAGGGTGTGGATTAATTATAACCCTTGACTCTCAATGGTTACAGACCTATGACAGATTGATCTGCGCTCAATTAATTAGATGCTGTGTTAGAGCTAGGAGTCTTCTTTTTTACAGGTATGGGCAGGTTGTAATGTAAGACCAAAACATAATTTAAAAAATGACTCTACAGGATATTACTTCATTGGCATGAAACATAACAGAGAATGTGTGAGTTGATCAATCATTTCCCATCATGAAGAAAGAAAACATATAAAAGCCTTATGAAATGAATCTAAAACTAGGACATGGTAGGCAAGTTAATGAAAAACTATGGTCTTAGCAAGAAAGAAAAACTGCATTAGGAAAAAAAAAATGTAGTTTGATGACACCAAAGACTTGCACATTTTACATTATCTACCTTTAATCTCAAAAAGTTTTTAGTAGCGCCCTAGAGGTTAAAAAAGAGGAGTAAGCCAACAGGAGCTGTTACATATATATTGAGGTTTACGATTTTCTCTTTTTTCCTTTCTTTTCCTTTTTAAAATTTTGATCCTTGGGGATCCAAATCTAACCATCAAGTTTTCTGAATGTTTTAACTAGTCTTTTCATTGTGTTAAAGAACATATACTTTAAGCTCTTTCTATGTTAGTGTTTTAGGTATCTTACATAAGTATCACTATTGGTTAGAAGGTCTTCATCTGTTCCTTCTTACTTTATCCTTAGCTCTTGTTCATTTGTACCATCAGTACCAAAATTATGGCTTTAAATTGAGGTCAGACTATCCCCAAACAGATTTGAAATTAGATACTACTCAGGTTGACATCCTGTTTTTCTTTTTGTTCTTCTTTTTTTTCTTTTTTAGGAGTTACTGACACTAAACATGTTTTCAGCTAAAATCTTTCTTAAACTGGAAAGATGATGGATCAGCTTTGCAGGACGGAAAGACCGCCAAATGACTTGGCTAGGCAGAGGCATATATTTTAGAACAACATTAAAAAAAATGTTAGTTGGGAATTGTTTAATATTCCACAAGAAGAACAACTAATGACCTAAAATTAGTAGATAATTTACAGTTCCCAGTCGCTGATATCAATTCCCTTTCAAAGTAAATCTGAGTGCTATAAGGACAGCAGAGCTTTCATCATAATTTACCCAAGCTTAGCTACTTTCTTACAATGCTGGACATGGATTTTTAAAAGAACCATGGGTTTTTATAAGTCACTGAGGGAACATCTTACTTAAATGCAGAATTTTGCACTCAGATATTTATTCAACAAATAGTTACTATGTATCTCCTTCCCAGGGATTGTGGAGGAAACACAATTTAAATGTGAATCCTATCTTCAAGGTGGGAGAATCTAGGAAAGGGAATACGTATAGAAGTAACTTTAATCCATGTTAGAAAGCACTGACTTTCATAAGATAATTGCAATAAATTAAGTGAAATGTTCCAGGAGTGATAAAAACAAATAAAACGTAGCTTTTCTGATTGAGCCTGTCAATAGAAATGAAATGTTGGTCCCTAACACTTCTGACCTACCTTCATGACAGAATTCCTTAACAACCCCTCTACCCATCCTTTCTACTACAGACTGACCTCTACATCACAGTCCTACCATGTGTCATTACTCAGTATTGGATGACAGATAAAAATATTTTTCATCCCTAAATATGGCAAATGGTTTTTTCCTTGTAAATTTCAATTATCTCCATCATTATATTCTATCAAGGAACAAATGTAGTCTTATTCAAACTGGAAAATTCATGGTTTTAGCAATAGCAATATTATAATTATGCTAACATCCCAGGAGGAAAAAAACATACTGGATTGATAAAATATTTTGCCTAGAAAACTGCTTGGCACATTTTGTAATACATGATAAAAAATTGGGGGATAAATGAATTAATGAATTCTAAAATATTAACTATGTCTCTGAATTCTAATATTTCTTATTCTGTCAAATGCTTCAAATATATATGGGAGTCTTGAACGTGTTACTCAATGTAAAGCTCAGTGCCCTTAATGGAACTAGAGAAAATAAAAAAGCTCTAGGGTACAGCACCCATTTGCTGAATTGACTTGGAATCATGTGAGAGTTTAGCCCAGGTAATTAGGTTTACTGACATTTTGCTTAAGACAGATTCCAGAGCATCTTTAACTTCCCTAGTTGCTAAAAATTTTAAAACACAATCTGGCATATATTACATAAAACCTAGGCCGGGAGCGGTGGCTCATGCCTGTAATGCCAGCACTTTGGAAGGTCGGGGCAGGTGGATCACTTGAGGTCAGGAGTTCAGCCTGACCAACATGGTAAAAGCCTGTCTCTACTAAAAATACAAAATTAGCTGGATAAAATACAAAATACTAAAAATACAAAATTCTAAAAATTCAAAATTAGCCAGATGTGGTGGCACATGCCTGTAATCCCAGCTACTCAGGAGTCTGAGGCGGGAGAATCACTTGAACCCAGGAGGCAGAGGTTGCAGTGAGCCGAGATCGCGCCATTGCACTCCAGCCTGGGCAAGAAGAGCGAAACTCCGTCTCAAAAAAAACCAAACAACAACAACAAAAAAACCCCACAAATATTCAGTTTGAATGTTAGATAATATACAATATGTTATTTATGGTATAGTGCTACATACACACTTACTATTGACACTCACACTCACCTTGGTTTGTATATTTTACAGTTGTATTAATTCTTTCTTTTCCCTTTTTATTTTATCCTACTCAACTTCCTGTATTCAACTTGCATTTGAGACCATATTGAGAGAAAAGCCTGAGGTAAGATTTTTTTCCAAGGATAACAAAGTCGCTATGATCTGCATAGGGTTTCTCAAGCAGCCCCATCAACTACTTGCGCAAACAATGGTGCCAGTGCCACCGAAAATGCCACCACAGTGATCAAGACAAAGTTTGTCTACTTCGGTTCCCTCACAGGAAAAGTGATATCAATAGAGTACCACTAAAGCTTTGATGTGTTGGTAGGCTTTCATAGTGTTATGTTACACATTTCTATGAAACACATGCTCATTTTGGTTACTGCCTATAACAACCAGAAAAGTATGCAAACAGCATTTATGGACCCTTTTTATAACCAAATCCACTTTTGGTAAACTAAAGATGCCTCATGCTTTTCCAGAGAATTACAGCTGTAAGGGTGCTCAGGTACCATGATGTGTGCAGGAACTCAACAAAGACTGAGAGATGCTTCAATGTATTTTGAGCATAAAACAGACTCTTGTAGTGTCAGAGGCACTTATTTTAGAGGGCTTAGATTTTTTAGGATCATTTCTCTCCCCTCCCTTGACCAGGTGGAGTCTTGTAGAAATCTAATTAACCTGCATATAGACAGGGATTTTAATATATTCTATAGCTCCCAGGAATAAGACAATGAAGAGTTATTACATCATTACATTTTTCTAAATTCTTTGCAAATAATATTTTGGTGGGCTGGAGGAAGAAGAATTAAGCCAAACTTAAGGCCTCTGGATACAATGGAGGTTTTTCTTATCTGTTTTGGAAGAAAAAGAATAAATGTGAATTCAGTAGTGATAATGGACTGAATTTTCTGAGCTGGCAAAATGTATATTTTAAACTGATTTTCTGTTGTGTGAGATCCAATTACTTCTGTTAAAATGTTTTAAAATTCAATATAGCTTCCTCCTATCCATGACTATTAGAAAGAGGGAAAGCACAGAATACGTATTTTCTAAGAATTCTTTTCCTAGTTATGTGAATCATAATAAAGAATTCATCACATTACATTGATAATTATTACTGATAGTAAAATTTAAGAGAAAACAAGAATCCTACTGTTTTCCATACTGGTGAATACAGCTTATACAATATACATACGTGAGAAACTTGAAAAATAAGTTACATGATCATACAATCCACAGAAAAATAAAGAATGAGCGGAAAATAAAGAATTCTTATTAAATAGCTACACATATTTCAAAACAAATATGTAAACACATCATGTCAATTATTTAAGAAAACTACTTTTTCTTCCTCAGTTGAATATCTTAGAGGGAATAAAAATTATCCATAATATAATAATATAATAAAAAGTCAGAGGATTGATAATACCAGTTAACATACTTTTAAAAATCATTTTATACAGAAAAATCTTCCAAATATACTGCTTGTTCATAAGCCTCTTTGCAATTATCATTCAATACATGCATTTCTATTAAATTCAAGCTAAACATGACAACTTAATTTGTATGTGCTGTTTATTTTGTACTGTATTATACTGTCTATGTTTTTCCTTCTATTTGTAGATTTTCAGTAAGCGAAAGTGGAGGAGGGAGGGAAACGGGTCAGAAGTGACAGCAAAACTGAATCATTGCGTCCCATGCCAATGAAGTAATGAAAACCCGCACTGTTCTTACAGCGGCAATAATGAATATAAATAGACAAAGGGCGTTGAATAGCTAATGGGAGAAAAAGAATGAAGCATCCATTTCAAGAAAGAACCCTTTTCTGCTATCACAGATAGCTTTGTGGACTGTAAATTAGAATGCCATATAACAATTTCATGCTTTAAGAGAAGTCTTTGAAAGATAGCTCTCACATGTTTTTATTTAAGGAGTCTGATTAAATAACAGGAATTTTGCTTGTTGTATTAGCTGTATATGTTCACCTCTCTCTCCCTTTCTCTCTCCTCTATCCCTGCCACTTTCCTTTGCTTCCTCTCTCTTCCTCCTCCCTCCCCATCTCTTCGTGTGTGTGTGTGTGTGTGTGTGTGTGTGTGTGTGTTTGTATGTGTGAGTGTGTGCATGGTGAGTGACTTTGGAATAAACATTGATAAAATAGATCCAATAAACTTCATACTTTAATGATGCAATTTCATGGAGGGCCTAAAAACAAGCCCAATTTTGTATTACCAAAAGTATTTTGAATGCAGATTTGGGGTAATTTATAGGTCAATATCTGAATTGTGATCATTTTACATAGGAAACAGTATACCTGATAACCATATGTCAGTTTATTTCAAGGTAATATACTAGGTTACCATAGTGTCAAAATACTTGCATTATAATGGATTCTGGATATTTTAAATAATACCAATATGCTGATTTATTATTTACCCAAAGATGCCATGCAGATATTTAATTACTCATCAACTAATTGTCTAAAGTAGTATATGTGTAATTACATTAGGCAATTTCTACTGATTAGAAAAGTTTTTAACTGAAAAATGAGGATAGAATAATACAAAACATTTTGGTGATAGATTAAAAATGCTTAAATTTTAGGCCGGCTGCAGTGGCTCACGCGTGTAATTCCAGCAATTTGAGAGGCCAAGGCGGGTGGATCACCTGAGGTCAGGATTTCAAGACCAGCCTGGCCAACATGGTGAAACCCAGTCTCTACTAAAAATATTAAAAATTAGCCAAGCCCGGTGTCGGGTGCCTATAATCCCAGCTACCAGGGAGGCTGCGGCAAGAGAATGGCTTGAACCTGGGAGGTGGAGGTTGCAGTGAGCTGAGATTGTGCCACTGTACTCCAGCCAGGCGACAGAGTGACTCTCCATCTCAAAAAAAAAAAAAAAAAAAAGAAAGGTTAACTTTTAAATTTCAAAAACTATAACTAAATTAAATGTTAACATTAAAAGTATGGCAGATGGTCCCTAAGAGTTATTTTGTGTTACTGCAAAAATTTTTTGTACCTATCTGCTCAAAACTCAATAGGTAAAATGCTTTGTTCTATTTCTGAAAATGTATAAAGATAATTCTTGAAACTACACAAATTAAAATAAACTATTTTATTTAAGTAAGCTTTGGATTTGTTTATGCAGCGTGAGACTATACATGGGTAATTTATAGGACAAGCCATATAAAATACCTCAGTTTTAGCTTCTCTATGTCACAGAAATTAAAAATGATAATATATTTATATGGAAAAGGAGGAAATATTACCAACATGTCCTACATGAGGATCTTTTATATTCTGGTTAAGTATAGCTTTTAAGATGTAATACTTAAGTATCACCACAATTAAAATACAGCAAAATATGCTTAACTTTAATAATGCAATTATGGTTTTCTTTTGATAAGCAAAGTCAAATGCAAAATTCTTTCAGCTTACCACTTGACCTTGTTGATGTTGGTGGGTGCTAAACAGTCTAAGAAATGGAAGTTCATTTATTTGTAATTATTATGGGCAATGACAGGTATGCTAATGAAACATTGGAATAAAAGGCAGTTATCATTTGAACAAAATTTTGATCTATGACAACTCAAAAATTTTCCAATAAACAATCTCTAAATACAGACAAAAGAAGGTCAATTTTAGTATTAAATAGTATTTTTGCTTGCAATGGTTAGACCTGCTTGCTTAAAAAAAATACCAATAAGAATAAAAAGGGAGCACAAAGAAGACCTGAAAAAAATGAATCAGCTTTCATCTAAACAGGATCTGAGCAATTATACTGAAATTCATGTAGTGTTCAGAATAGCAGTCCCAGACAGTAAATCTGACTATTATCCCAAATAGCATAATTACCTCCTCTCTACTAAATACTCTATGCTCTTTTCAAAAGGATGGGCAGAGGGAATAATTCTCTGTGGTTATGCAAATCCTGCCTAGAAAGAACACTATCAGTAATGACTATAGGTCAGTTTATTTCAAGATAATATACCAGGTGCCCACATTGTAAAAATACCTGCATTGTAATTCTATTCCAGTTGCTATTTTTAATTATGAGCTTCTTCTCAATAGGAAACAATCCCACAGAGAACTGAAACAATTTATTTTAAATACTGTAAACAACAGAGAGGCTTTGCTTCTTGGATTTGAGATTCCTGTTCATCCTGAGAGCTCACAGCATGTTACGCCAACTGAACATACAGTATTGATAGGTTCTTATTTCAAAATGTTTTGCCTCATGAAAGATGTTAAGTAGAGATTAAAATAGCTTTGGTTTTTAGTAGTAATTATTAAATATTATAAATTTGCTGTCCTAATAGTAGATTTTATGAAAATGTAAATCATTACATAAATTAAATATGCCAGTCCTACCTCCACTGAATGAATTCCAAGGAAAACATTTTAAGACACAGCTCTGGACATATTCATTCAAAACTATGGATAACCATAAGAATAAAATGTCTGCAAAATTTCTGTGCCACATATTAATACCTGAATCTTGTTTGCTTAAGGAAAGACAGAAAGTTAGCAAAACTAATCAGTTATCAACTGAAAGAAGGTTTCTATCACTAGAAACTAAGTGGCAAGTTAGTATATAAAAAGGTAGTCAAATGGGATTGAAAGAAATTTCAAGAAAAATAAATATCTCAGTTAACAAGCATCTGTTCCCATACTTAACTTTTAGATTTTACAATAACACATTTATAGAATGCTTATTATTTGCCAATCATGGTTTTAAATGCTGACTCATTAATTTATTCAATTTTTTGATTCCCATTTTAGAGATGGATCACAAAATCATTAAGTAGCTTGCTCAAATCATTATGCTTTTAAATGCTCCAGGCTGGATTTGAACTCTTGTCTATCTTCAGAGACTATGACATACTAATAGAAAAGTAAAGTTGATACTAACAGAGCATAAGAGAAAAGAATGTAAAAACTATAATTCTTTGCAGGAATGATTTGGCACTGCAGAGGTTTCGAGTTAGTTACATGTTAGGGTTGAGAAGTGCCTTTTCTTCTAACTACTTGTTCTTAGAGTGTCTACAATATAGTATTGCTTATTGTTCTTAGAACATACCCTGTTTCACACTTCCGTACCTCTGAGTGTTGTTGTTATATTTGTTTGTTTTATCATGATGGAGATTATATCCACACATGAAAATTTGTGGGAGGCCGAGATGGGCCGATCACCTGAAGTCAGGAATTTGAGACCAGCCTGGCCAACACAGAAAAACCCCGTCTCTACTAAAAATACAAAAAATCATCTGGGTGTGGTTGCGGGCGCTTGTAATCCCTGCTACTTGGGAGGCTGAAGCAGGGAGAATCGCTTGAACCTGGGAGGCTGAGGTTGCAGTGAGCCGAGGTGGCACCATTGCACTCTAGCCCGAGCGACAGAGCGAGACTCCGCCTCAGGAAAAAAAAAAAAAAAAAATTGTAACAAATATCTATAGTTTTCAAGATAGTAAATTACTGAAAAGGTTGAGTTTCTTTTTAATCTTATTTTTAACTGCCAATTACAAAATACACTTTGGGCTACATATAAGGTACATCAAGGATATTTGTTTGCAGTTTGTAATAATAATTACCTAGAATAAATATGAACCATATATTGTACATTATGAATTCACAAATATACTAATACCCTCAATCACAGTATTCTTCACGGTGACACTATGATAGCTGTAATTCCTGTCAGTCAATATGGAATTCTGTTAAATTTAATAACTTGAAACATGTTGTAGCAAAATGTCCTACATTACTTTAAACTTGACTTTTACATGATCTAAGTTAGTGTTTGGTGTTCAATTTTTTTTTTTTTTTTTAGACATAGTCTCGCTCTGTCATCCAGGCGGAAGTGCAGTGACATAATCTTGGCTCACTACAAGCTCCGCCTCCCAGGTTCACACCATTCTCCTGCCTCAGCCTCCCGAGTAGCTGGGACTACAGGTGCCTGCCACCATGCCCGGCTAATTTTTTGTATTTTTAGTATAGATAGAGTTTCACCGTGTTAGCCAGGATGGTCTCGATTTCCTGACCTCGTGATCCACCCGACTCGGCCTCCTAAAGCGCTGGGATTACAGGCGTGAGCCACCGCGCCCGGCCTGGTATTCAATGTTTTAAGATTTGTTCTCTGATATCCAAAGCCATGAACTACTTGGTCAAAATAATGAGTTTCCTTAAACAAAATACGTTTTTGTATATAGAGAGATAAACAACTAGTTTTAAAGTTTTCAGTTTTATTAGCAAAATTCCTTATTTTATATCTAATGGAACTTCACAACCCCTAGTTTCCATAAGTGAACAAATAAAATCTTTGCATTGTTTTTAGGAAAAGATTACTAAAAATGAATGTTGGTAGCAAATCATGAACACAATTTAAAACTTGTACGAGGTTATGAGATATTTTATTAGCTGTTTCTTCTCTTTCCACTAAGCAGCTTTGCTGAAAATAAAAACTGTGGGTGTTAAGGTTGTCACTTTGGAACTAGAGTGTCCGTGTTTGAATGATAGATTCACTAATAAGACACATGGCCTTAAATATGCCCCAAGAATACTCTTCAATTTCCTCAGCGGAAAACTGGGCTAAAAATAGTATTTACCATTCATGGTTGGTGTAAGAATTAAGTGAAATAAACAATTCAGAGAAAGTACTCAGAACAAGCCTAGGTAGCCATAAATGCTTTGAATTTTTAGTAAATGCTATTCTTATGGTGTTCTAGGTATACTTTCCATTTCTGATTAATAATATTGAGCATTCATGAACAACAAACCTTCTTTCACACCAGTTTATGCTGTAATTAAAAAATTTAGGAGGGCCTCCAATGAAGTCAAGGTTAGATTGTAACAGCGTCTGCCTATGTATAGAGATATGGAAGCCAATTTATAAATCCATTGCTTAGATTATCAGCATCAGGTGAAGTACTGAAATGTACCAATGGCATTGTCTGTGGGACATGGCAGAGTACTTATATTTGGAATTTAGGAATACGTATTTTGGAAAGCAAACCTTGTCTTCTTCAATAGTTTCAACTAAAGGAATATTAATTTGGTGAAGGCTGCCAGAGATAAACCCATGAAATGGTTATACTTGTGAGAAGTACACGACAATGAGCATATATTAGTCCCATTCTCTGTATATTATAAAATAAATAAACACATTCAAACCTAGAGGTAGCAGTCATGAACACCTAGCTAAACACTATTCATTACAGTAATTTTACCTTTGAATAAATAAATCTCTATCATGTAACATTCTAACAACAAACTTGACTTTATCCTCTTACAATCTTATAATTTGACTATTTCATGGCTTGATTTTTTTGCACTGTTTTGTTTTACATGGGAAAAGGTTGAAGCTAACAACCTTACTTTAATAAATATGCTTAAAGATATTTCAAAAGCAGCCTTGTCAATTATTCTTTTAGCATAGTCATCATGGTAGATTGCTAAAATGGTCATAATTCTCCATCCTTTCCCATATCAATGCATATTTTGCAAAGTGACTTTGCAGTTTTTCCCCTCACATGGTAGAGTCTGTTTTCCTACCTTTTAAACTAGGCTTAGCCTTGAGACTTGCTTTGATTAATGGAATGGGGTGGAAGCAACATTGTTACACTCCCAGCCTTTGCATGTTCCTACACTTGTGTCATTTCTGTCATGGCATGGGAACAAGCCTGAGCCAGCCTGATGGGGCAAAGGTGGGCTGTTGTCCCAGGAAAGGACAAATGGAAGAGTTCAGCCAACATTAGCAAAGCAACCCAACACAACCCCTAGTGGACCGCAGAAGCAGAATGTGTCCCACCAAGAACAGCTCACTATGGCTCAGGTGAGAAGAAATACCCAGCTGGTAAGAAATGTTTATTGCCTTAAGCCAGTGAGTCTTCAGGTCTTCAGGTAGTTTGTTGCACAGCAATGGCTGATAGTATTCTCTGCACAGTTTATCCTTTCTTCTTATATGACTAATGCATATAATGCTCAATGTGTAGTTGTGAAAAAAAAAATGAATTGATCCTTGCTAATATGTTATGTATCTACAATGTATTGCACAGTTGCTTTACACCAGCCATCTTCTAAACATTTTGCACTTACAATTAATTTTCTCCCCCATAAAAATAGCAGCTGTGAGCCTTACTTTTCCAGCTGTGAGATAGGTGCCTATGCAATCACAAAAACAAGATTTGTCTCTTCTGAAATTTTTGCTGATAGTAGAAAACCATGTGGCACAAACACTGATTCATCGAATTAGCAGTTAACTTAGTTAAAAAGATTATTCAATCTTTTGGCACTCGTTTCCCCCGTCTCTTTTTCCTGTATAATTAGAAAGTGATTTTTTTTTTTTTTTTTTTTTTTTTTTTTTTTTTTTTTTTACTGTATGCTGTATGTTACAGTCTACTATAGTCATTGCTCTATTTTTAGAATATGTCAGTACACACTGGCTGAATTCCACATTTTCTCATTAGTAACTTTTTCAGTGGTCTTTATTACACTACATTTTATTTTTGAAAAGAAAAACTCACCTTTTACTAGGGTAGGACAGAGGAATAGGTTGAATATTTACAGATTTCATACCATAAACATGATCTGGTCTATTTTGGCCTTGGAAATTAAGATAATTTTAATTAAGTTTTGCCTTTGGCTAGCATCAGTGACATAGAAATGTCCTTTTCTGTAGTTTTCTTTGGAAATGCAACAAACTAAAAAATGCAGAAGTACTATACTTTGTATGTTAAGGCATTACCTTAAGTGTTGGTTCATTTTGTTACTATAAAAAAGGTTGATATTTTTGGCTGCCCCTTAAGTGAATTTAATAACAACTACTAATAAAAATATTTGCAAAAGTATTTTACATATATCTAATCATAAATATCCACAAAATTCCGGTGAGAAAGGTAATTTCATACCCATTTTAAGGAAGATAAATTACTTATTCACGTTAACATAGAAAAAATGAAAGTCTAGTTTGACTGACTTCAAAGACTATATTTTTCCCACTAGATTATAAACTACTTTTATTTCTCCCAACTAAGAACTGTGAACATTTTTTAGATATATATTGATATGGAATCTATTACCCCAAAGCCCAAAGTGAAACTGAAGCAAAGAAAAAGATTAGAAACTCTCATCCCAGATGACTAACTCAGTGGTACCTGACTCAGAGGAATATTATACTGACATCTCTTATCATTTTGACTGATGTCCTGTTTCTGTCTCAGAAGAAAAGAACATTTTCCTTCCTCTGTCATCTGTGCGAGCTAAGCAAGCAGGAGATTGCTTTTGACTCATTATAATTATCAAAACTGCTTTCTCACTCTCATTATATGTCTTTGGTCTCTCTGCTGAACTACATTGCTTCAGCGATTTTGTATGCCAGTTAATGGGCCTTCTAGCACATATATTTGTATCATCCTTCTTTGCTTTATTGTGAGATAGAAAGAAAAAAGAATCGAAATGCAAAATGCATTTCTATCACCATTTAGCCTTCAATTTGCATTATTTCACCCACGTATTCATGTCATTACTTGTATATCATAGTACTTAGTTATAAAAAAATTTCGTGGGTAATTTTATCAGATATATACCCTGCTTTGAGTGCCCATGAAGATTGTAGAAAGGTTAAACTTTTGAACAAGAACTATTATTAAAAAACAGTTGGAAAACTAAAAAAAGGGAAATGTAGAAAATAAATAATGGTATTAGATTCCTCTACTGTGAGTAGTTACCTTAAGCAAATAATCATTCAAGAAGTAAAAGTTATTAGTATGAGTAGGATAGAGAAGTTAAGAGCGTAATGCTTAGAAAACCATAATGGATTATTAGGAAAGGATGAGATGCTCATCTTTTATTAAACATCAAAATCTACAGACTAATGTCAAAGATAAAATGTGTGTGTTTTCATCAATCACACCACATGCTACTTCCAGAAATAGAATACTATCCTAAATGGACCATACTTCAGAACCAGTATGATATGTCTAAATAAGATTCCTTCAACATGAGTGTGGCCAATTCACCCAGTATTGTTTTCCTGTTATGAATAATTTCATGATAACTGATGTGAAATAAACAGTCAAACTCTGGCCTTCTGGGGCCAGGAAGTATGGTTAATAATGTTAAATAGGAAGTAACATGACATTCATACTTCTGCCTAAAGGCAGATCCACTTTTAGCCCAGAACCCAATCAGGAAGTGGCTCTTCCATCCAAAGGAGCAGAGTATAAAACCTCCTTTTCATCAACAAAGGACACAGGGAAACCTCACTTCATCGCACTCAGAAAGAGCCATGCAAATAGCAAGAACAGCTACATTCTATAGTTAGCACTTACCTGGTGACTAGCGTACCACAGAAACTAAAGGAAGAAAAGTAGATCCTCCCTAGCAGCACATCTAAAAATTTTGTATTGTCAGGAAATTTTTGCACAATCGCTTATATAAAGGCTGACCATTTCTGCAATTAATATTAAGGTTTCACCTCAAGAAAGCCTCTTCCTAGCACAGACACAAGATCAATAAGAAAGTGGGACAAGAAAGTCAATGGCAGAGCTTTGAAAAGGAATCAGAACTGGCCTGGAAGAGGGAGGACTGCCTTAAACATACTTTGAATTTTTGTTTTGTCTTATTTTATTTCTGTTTCAAAAACCATAAAGTTAATACAATACTCCTGTTACATACAATACTGTGAAGTTTTAAAAGTATATATACATATATATATATATTTTTTTTTTCTTTTTTTGAGACATAATCTTGCTCTGTCACCTAGGCTGGAGTGCAGTGGCGCGATTACGGCTCACTGCAAGCTCTGCCTCCCGGGTTCACGCCATTCTCCTGCCTCAGCGTCCCGAGCAGCTGGGACTACAGGCGCCCGCCACCATGCCCAGCTAATTTTTTGTATTTTTAGTAAAGACGGGGTTTCACCATGTTAGCCAGGATGGTCTCGATCTCCTGACCTCGTGATCCGCCCACCTCGGCCTCCTAAAGTGCTGGGATTACAGGCGTGAGCCACTGCGCCTGGCCAAAAATACTTATTCTATGCTGTGCTTACATTCATAGAATGAGCTCCATTATTTTCTAACAATACTTATTATAGCTCCAAGTTTAACACACACACAAGCACACACACCTACACTAGTGTCATCAAAAGAATTCTGGACTTGAGAACATTGCTTCTTCATTTCAGTGATATTGCTGATCCCCAGAGTGAGCAAAGTGACTCTTTAGAGCAAGCACCTCCAGGGTATAGAGCCCTAATAATGGTATCCCATTCAGGGAGTTTCTCAATCTTCCACCCAACCGTTCTTATACATATGTATGTGGTTTCTAGAAGGTACTCCTGATATTTCCCTGACTGATACCCTGGCAGAATTTAGCATCAAAAAACCTTGATTTTTGTGATTCATTCACATGCATTATGTTAAATAGAATATTGCTATTCTCATCATTCATATAAGTTAGGTTTAGGATATAAATTTACTGTCACAAAACTCATAATGTTATTTTATATAATTGACTTAATAGCTTTATATATTTAAAGTGTCCTTTACTTATACACAAAGAAGTAAATGAAGTATGACAATTATTCAGTGAGAATGAACACATCAGTTCAAAGCTAGGTTTAGGATTTAATATTTTCAACGAGGAACTTTATTCCCCATTCTACTTTACATATGAAGGTAGGCGCCATCCTTTGGGTCAAAATGAAGCCGTTTTCCATTTTATTAAGTTCAAATGAAGTCTTTGAAATATCACATACCAATTGTCATGTGTTCCTTAAGGTACACTGGTGCTTTCATATTAAATAGCTTGTCCAACCCTTTTACCACCTATACCAGCCAAATTTTACCAATGCAGCTTTGCATACAAATCTGACTTCCCTTTCAGTTGGCATACTTCTTGTTTGAGCTGGCACTAATTGATCAATACGCTCATACTTCAGCTGTTCAAGCAGCAGCTAACCAGGCAGCCACAACAAACACAATTCTGGCAGCTCCTAATGTGTGTCTCTGCCTGTAATTCAGATGCTGTTTGTAAAGAGTTTACATGTAGACCACGTCGCTCTTAGAAAGCTCAGTGTTAGGATTTTAAACAGAAAGCTTATTAGGCACACAGTCCTGCAAATTAAATCATTTTAAGTAGTTGCTCAAAATAGTTTGGGAAGACAGAGTGCATGGTAATGTATTTTTATACACAAAAACTAACATTTTCTTGGACAAGTGTACTGCTATAGAAAATGATAACATTCTGGCAAGAAGCACTAAGCATTGATTCAATTAAGTGCTATATCATTTACCTAAAAGAACAAACTGATTTCTTCCCAGTGTAAATCATAGAGATTGTGGAGAGAAGGGGTGCGTATGAGAAAACTAGATGTTTTTTTCTTCCACTTGCTTTAAGTATATTTGGCAGGAAATATAATTTAGTACAATTAGGGATGAATGCATTTACTCAAAACCTCACACAGTTCATTTCACTGAACACTCTGAGCAGATTCAATGTTAGTCACCATTCTGGGTGCTATGGTGGTAGAAAAATAAACAGAACTAAGTGCTTGCACTGCAAGAGCTCACAGTATACTGAAAAAGACAAATATTGAGAAACTTTAACTGCAATGCACTTTCTGTAGCATTATGCTATAGGAGCCCTTGTTTAGGTGAAGAATTCTCCCTTGGGAATGCATTTAATCTGGATATTGAAATGGTTGGCTTTTGACCACCAAGGAATGGAGTGGGGGTACAGCGAGCATTACAGTCAAGGGAACAGCATAAGTAATTGCATGGAGGCATGAAACCGTATCACGTATTTGGGGTCTTAAACTGATCCAGAATGAATAGACCAGATTAAATGGGGGAAATAAGGTTTGAAAAGAAAAGAAAGCAGTTGGTGGTGTTCAGTGCTATGCTTAGAAATCTCACACCCTTTAAGTGAAAAATGGTAAACAATTAATGTTTCTAAATAGGTACGTGGGTATATGAGATCCATTATTGGAGGAACAGTCATATTCATAGAGGGGAATGGAATAGATAAAAGGATACTCTAGTAATCCAGGGAAGACAGTGGTGACAGTCAGCTAGAGAGAATCAGGAAGATCAGAGCAACATTTTTAAAGACAGAAATTGGGAGGCTCATGCTTGTAATCCCAGCACTTTGGGAGCTGAGGCAGGTGAATCACTTGAGGTCAGGAGGTTGAGATCAGCCTGGCCAACATGGTGAAACCCTGTCTCTCTAATAAAAATACAAAAAATTGGCTAGCCTTGGTGGCATGCACCTGTAATCCCAGCTACTTGGGAGGCTGAGGCACGAGAATTGAACTGGGAGGTGGAGGTTGCAGTGAGCCGAGATCACGCCTCTGCACAGCAGCCTAGGTGACAGAGCAAGACGCTGTCTCAAAAACAAAAACAAAAAAAGAAAAGAAAAGAAATTGGGAAAATTTTCCAAAAAATTATATGCCTTGTAAATAAATAAATAAATAAAATATCCCTACAACTCTAAGCTTTCTAATTATAGAAACACTGCAAGGAAGCATAAGAAAACAAATGTATAAAATTATTTGATGTCTCTCAAGCAATATGGTTACCAAAATGTGAAAGACACTGATCTGGCAGTTAGTCATACGTCTTGTAAGGAGACCTGTATTATAGCTAATATTAAATATTTGACCAGAAAATGGTTATAACAAATATTATATTTTTTCTATATGCCACATGTAAATACTAATGTAAACATCAGTTAAAAAACAAAACTTACCTGCAAACATGAAAAATTATTCAGTGATTACACATTGTTCAAACTAAATTATATATTTGTCGTAGAGTTCTATGACACATAATGAACAAAAGTTATGTATTACTGAATGTGATTCATTTAGATCTCACAATGAATCTAAATTACATCTCTAAAAGGTAGGTTGTTATTACTATGTCTCATAGAAAGTCCAAAGAAGGCACAGGAAATAAAAGTTACATGTACAAATTATGTGTACAGATACAGATACATGTATTTTGTACATGATACTTGACTATAATCCTGATACACCTTTCTACACCTTTCATAAGATTTTTTTTTTTTTTTTGAGATGGAGTTTTGCTCTTGTCACCCAGGCTGGAATGCAGTGGCATGATCTTGGCTCACTTCAGCCTTCACCTCCCCGGTTCCACCACCACACTGGCTAATTTTTGTATTTTTAGTAGAGACAGAGTTTCGCCATGTTGGCCAGGCTGGTCTCGAACTCCTGACCCCAAGTGATCTGCCCACCTCAGCCTCCCAAAGTGCTGGAATTACAGGCATGAGGCACCGTGCCCAGCCCATAAGACTTTTTATTTACAAATGCTTTTCCTCATTTCATTTTCACGTTAAATCTACAATATTATAAACACCCGTGCTTTTATGACTACTGCCTCTTCCTGTTCATATCACCAGCCCCAGAGTGGCTAGCAAAATAAAGTATTTCAGTTTCCAATTTTTGTACTTGACTTGGTTTAGATAGATACCAGGTGACATTATTACTTTGGATTTAGGCTATCATTTGGAGTACACAACAGTAAAAAAAAAAAAGGATCATAATATTGTTTTGAAAGTGGCTACATTTGGGGGAACTACCAGATATACTAGTTTTCATTTACAGTAACAATTCTAAGAATGATACCTATTGCTAGAATTCTGCATATCTTATTCCATTTTAAATCACTCTCTGTTACTGGAAGATATGAAAACATTAATAAGGCTTGAGAAATGCTCCACATGGGTAATATTTAAGTCATTAGGGTCAGAGCCAAGTGAAATTTTTCATACATAAAAAGATGAGTTTGTTAAGGCAAAATATTCCTACCATGTCCTTTCATTTGTAATATGGAATTATGCTTGGTTCATCCATATTTTACCACGAGAGTGTACAGATGCAACAAGCACACAAGGGGAACATCTCATATATCTGTAAATCACTCAATATGCTTCGCAGTGCCTTGCATTTATAAAAACTATACTCAATGCATTTATATAATATGCTTGGTTTTGAAACATTTCAGTTGAAAGGAAAATCTAAAGGTCAATGCTTACTCTGTTAAGATAAGACTTTTCATATTTAGAAATAACAGCCTAATATGCAGGAATTCAATAGTCACGTATTGTTAAGAATCTAAGTGACAACAGAGAGTAGTAGGTTTTCCAGAACACCTGAATATATAAGGTTTAAGGCACTTGCACACAGACAGATATGGCAATTGTTCATTGCTTTTTCCCTAAGTATGCTTATTGCAAAGAGGAAAGAAAACTATTTCATTGTGTCACATGCATACACACGTCCTCCAAATTGTCTCACTAAAATATATTACTACCTGAATTATACTTACAGGTATAATTTAAAGTGATGCCTACAAGTTCACTGAAAAAAATCTTTTTTTATAAAAATACCACTTTAGATACAGAAGTTCAAAACCCAGCACATAATTAAATACTTATGATGGATTTTACTGAGGGCTTAATGCATGTAAAATTTCCTTTGACAATTCAAATTTAAACTCACTTTAGTTCTTATAAATCTTGCAAGAGTATAATTGACTTAACATTTTTTCAACCAAACGGCTAATACATTACTTTCATTTCTATCTGGATTTTTATACAAATGAGAATAAGAAATGAAAAAAAAATGCTACCTGGTAATAATCAACAGAGAAGCAGCTTGGGAAAATCAAATACATTTTTTTTCCTCTCCTGTGCAGTCTTTTGTGTAAGTTTTTGGTGATTTTGAATATGATTCATTACAACCAACACAGCAAATAGGGTAAAATTAATTTTAGAGTTGCAAATATTCTGATAGGAATCAGCAGAGAGAATGATCTAGGCAGAAATTAACAATTTTTCTCCAGAGATTATGAAACCAATTTTCCACATGCCAAAGATAAATGCATGTGCAGAATGATCTAGATAAAACAGTATTTTTCTATAACTTCAAGTACAAACAGTTTATATCAGGCCACAGTTCTCTTTCCCTGACTCATCCACTTATGACTTCTCCAGAAAGTTGAACTTGAATGGAAAAAATCCTAAAGAGGGAGCCAGGAGATCTGGGATCCAGTGTTGTTGCCAATCCATAAATTTGGATTACTTCTGTTAATTTCCGTACAAGTTAGTTTTCTCTAGAATTGAGAGGTAAAACCAGATTGTTCCTAAGATACTGGGAACTCTAAAATTCTGCTTCTGGCTTCTGATGCTTACCACGCAAGAAAAGCTGAGTGCCTCACCTAATAACTTCCTGTGTTTTATCAGGATTTTCCTCATCCTTAAACTTTAGAAACGATGGGACTTATCATATCCCAAGTAATATGAATCTGTATTTCCACTAGGATTGATTATCTCATCTGTATCTTACTAAAAGTTCTTTGCAAACAGAAATATGTGGTCATTCTTTTACATTTTTGTTTGATGCTGACTTAAATAATCTCTCACTGGTTTTCTCCAAACCTGGTTCAGCCATGCTGATCCCCCCGATATCTCCATTAAACTGCTCTTCTTTAACAAATCTACCTATCGAGCTTTACTTCTTTTTTATCCTTCAACTACAGCTTTTTATTTGCTTTTTGAGACCTTTCTTGAGCTAAAGAAATTGGAGCTATCACTTTCTTTAGGTTAGAGCTACATTTTGCATGTATTTAGCTGTGGAGGTTTTTATGTAACACATCCATGGCAAAGTGAAAGAGTGAGAGCCATACTCAGCCAAGTTTCCTCCCTCCCTCTCTTTTTCCCTCCCTCCCTCCCTTCCTCCTTCTTTCCTTCTGTTCAGCATTTATCTGAGCCTCATAATGTTATAGGCACAAAGTTAAATGCTTTTAATGTAAAGATCACATTACCCTCCTACCAGAAGGGGCAGGTATATGCAAATATAACCACAATACATTCCTACGAAGGCTAATGAAGACACGCGTCAAATCTTTTATATATATATGTATGTATATTTCGGGTTGTCATCTGGTTTGAGGAAAGAGCTCAGGTTTAGGAATGAAAGAAGCCTATCCACTCCACTTACTAAACTGGTTTGTCTTGAAAAAGTTCCTTAGGTTCTCAGGGGCTCAATTTCACCGTATGTGAAATAGGGAAAATAGTATTCTCCTTCTCAACTTTTAATAAGAATCAAACAGATAATGCATCGCAGTGCCTGACACAGTTAGCAATAAATAAACTACATATGCCATATTTTTGTGGATATCTGCAAGCATATGTATACATTTGTGTGTGTTGAAGGCAAAGCCTGTTATTCCACATCACTTTCCCTAACATGAATCTTGCATGCAGTATTTAATAAGTATTTCTAAATTTACCACTTCTGATAAATGTATCTGTCCAGGTTTTCCTGGGATTTTCCTGAATATATGATCTGCCTATAGCCAGAGCAAACACCTTTAGGCAGATCCCCCTGCAGCCTGTATATGCTGCTTGTATAAAGGTAACCCACTTCACTCAGAGAGCAGATTGAGTAAAACTCAAGACCTACAACACAGGGCACAGTGACTTTCCTTTGCCCCCTTTCTGGCTGTGTAACTAAGGCACCAGTTGCACCTTTTAGCTGTGTGCACCAGTGTTAGCCAGATTGTATTCATGGCAAATGAAATGTTCTCTCCCTCTGTGTTATAAGCTGAATTGTGTCACCTCAAAATTCCTATGTTGAAGCCTTCACCATCAACATGACTGTATTGGAGATAAGGCCTTTAAGGAGGTGATTAAGGTAAAATGAGATCTTAAGGGTGGGGCTCTAATCCAATAAGACTGGTGCCTTTATGAGAGAGGAGTGTGCACAGAATAAAGACCACGTGAGGAAACAGCAAAAAGGTGACCATCTGCTAGCCAAGAAGAGAGGCCTTGGGCGAAACCAAACCTGCTCAACCTTAGTCTTTGACTTTCAGCCTCCAGAACTTCCAGACAACAGATTTCTGTTTAAGTCTCCCAGTCTGTGGTATTGTGTTATGGCAGCCCTAGTAAATTGATATACTCCATATTAAAATGCTGGCCATGTACTGTACATATCTAGTTAATCTATTCCATGTCAGAGGCAGAAGAGATTGTTGGAAACAAGGCTCACTTTCTTGAAAACTACCATTTATATTGTGTGTTTATAATACAATCTGACAGTTACAAAACTTTGCAATAATCATAAAGTTGTAGTGACCAGACGGATGTGAGCCCAAGTAGTTTGGTACCAGAGTCCATGCTATAATCATAACATTGTTCTCCCCACCATTTGTAGCAACGATCAACTTTTGGCTTTGCAAAAAGTGGTCCACATCTTGAAATCCTTGCAAATAGAACATAAGAACATTACATGGCAGGGTGACTAGGAATATTAGAAATAATGTGTATAAACTAATTGATATAAAATAGGTGCTCACTATATAATCCTTTTTATTAATATGTGATGTTTTCTAAACACTGACTCAAATTGTACTAGAAATACATTTCACAAAAATAGCTTATGACTTTTTCCACTGGTCAGTCACGAGACCAGAAGCAAAAATACCCCCGAAGATGATAATATGCTTTCACAATGGGAACATTTTAACTAGTGACCCTGGCCTGCCCATGTGGGCAGTGACATCCCTGCGTGGGGGAAGCAGTAGCTACTGAAACTTATGTTCTGATTCAATTTGTCTTTTCTCTGAGTGAATAAACAAGCAACGTGTTTCCTAAACAGAAGTATACGAAGGACTTTGGGTTACAGTGCTGCACCCAAATACTTTCCCTTAGGATAATCCGTGACCTGAAAGAATCTTTCCTAAAAAATCATTCATTTAGATTAAGAATCACCTTATCTTGATGCATGTAAATATTTCCTTAGAAAGGATAAAATAACAGTGGCCTACATCTTTAGTATGTAAGGTCTCATTTAACTGCCTTATTTTAAAAGAGTCTCATAATTAAGATACAAGTAGATCCTAATTAGAGTTAATGTCTGAAAAAAGAAAAGCACACATATAAAAAGGCAGAGCTAGCCTGACTTTCAAATAAGCTAGCTGGTTTTTAAATTATACTTTATCCATACTTGCTTATTAGGTAGACAACAACAACATAAAATTGATAAGCCTCACAAAGGAAATTACAGAAATTACAGAAAAAAGATTTATATATATATATATATATATATATATATATATATATATATATATATATATGTATATTTGGAGGAAAAACAGCCACATTCACATAGTAAGTGCATCTTTCTTTCTTTCTTTCTTTCTTCTTTCTTTCTCTCTTTCTTTCTTTCTTTTTTTCTTTCTTCCTTTCTTTCTTCCTTTCTTTCCTTTTTTAGACGAAGTCTTACTCTACAACGCAGGCTGGAGTGGAGTGGCGTGATCTCAGCTCACTGCAACCTCCACCTTCCAGGTTCAAGAGATTCTCCTGCCTCAGCCTCCCAAGTAGCTGGGATTACAGGTGTGTGCCACGCCTGGCTAATTTTTGTATTTTTACTAGAGACAGGGTTTCACCATGTTGGCCAGCCTGGTCTCGAACTCCTGACCTCAGGTGATTCACCCACCTCGGCCTCCCAAAGTGCTGGGATTGCAGGTGTGAGCCACCGCGCCCAGACACTTAAAGATAGAAGTATGTCATGGTCTAAAAAATGGCAAGCAGGCACATACTTTCTATTTGTCATTGTTTAATGGATGTCACAATGGCACAACTAGGCGCAAATTGGCTTTATCTAAAACAAAATTACATAATAGTGATATAAAAGTCTCTCTTTTTCTCTCTGTGTATAGACATACACCTACATGAACAACCTCATGAAAAGCACATACACAAATGCACACACTGACAGAAAATCTTATTCACAACACACACACACACACAAACAAGGAATTTATTAGTATTTTCACAGTAATCAATTATGAACTTTTACAGAAAGTATACTCTTTCTTTTTTTGGCTTGTTTGTCTGTCCAAGAGCACAATAAACTCAATAATAAACGTTATTAACCAACTGAAAGCAAGGATCCCAGAATCTGCCCATCTGGATTGTCTAAGGTTGGAAGCAAACAAGGTGTTCCCAGTTACGTTGTATTTTGGGAACAGATTTCCCTTGTCGATATATCAATTTATTCTTGAAAGCATGAGATGTGATTATTTCTATAACATCATCAAAACTCTTATAGGCATAAAATTATTTATTTGTTTTTAAACTCTAGACATAGATTTAACTCAACCTTCTGAGGCTGTGGCTCCCACAGGTTGATTACATGCTACAAAAAGAAACTCTAAATTTGCTACCCTTTAATTTAATTGAGAATGTCTACTCTACTTTTACCCTGAATTTTGGGACAAGGTGAAAAGAAGGTTCTTCTTTAGATCCTTTTTATATCCCTCAATTGCTTCCTAATTTTTTTCCCCTCCAGATCCAGTGACCCAACTTTCTATTTTCATGCATGTTTGACCACATCCTTTTCTATATTAAAGAGGTGACTCAAAACTTGGTAAAAGGTAAACATAAATAGGTTTTATTGAATATCTAAGCTGAATCTATTCTAAAGACCAGAAACAGTTCCGTCTAACTTCCCCCAAATTTCTCGTAACAGGAGAACAACTTCATATAATGCAAATCATTGGCAATAACTTGGGGCCTAGGGGGCATCTTTTGCACATATGATATGCCTGTGTTGCATGATGAGCTATATCTTATCAGTGAAATTAGGTTATTGTAACACTTAAGCACTTATTAGGGGTCTGAAATGTTAATACAGCAGCTATTTGCCTAGATTACCAACACCAAGGGAGATGCAGTGTCTGATGATTGTGAGTATCATGGCAAGAATGTTTCAGGTTTACATAGGTAACAATTTATAATATCCTGCTTAAACTTTTTGTAAGACCTTATTTGTATAACAAAGCAACAATATAAATGAAACAGTCAAGTATGAAACAACAATTCTGTAATAATTATGAGAAGAAACACTATAGAGAGAAAGCCCATAAATTAACAGAAAGTGTCCTAATCACCATAGTAGTGAATAGAACTTCTTAATTTTTTCACTGTTTTAAAGGGATGTTATTTCCCTTGCTGATAATCTCAATTAAATACTCCACTCCCAAGCCTCATCCATCCAGTCCTTGGCTCTCTGACAGGACCTAGCTCTTATTCACCAGGAGAGGAGTCTTCTTTTAAATTTTTGAATAAATATCTATACTGAAATTATTTTTTTGAATAAAAATGAATTTTTTATACTGCTCTGTCACAAAAAAGAGACCCAGACAAACAACCCTAACAGAAGTTATTTTGAAAGATAGAACAAGTACAGATGTCTGATAAGAAACTAGATTTCCTCCAAGGGCCTGCAGAGAGCAGTTCTGGGGTCAGTAAGTCGATTCTCAGTAGGAATAGAAAAGCTATAAAAACGCTTGCAGGTACCCCCATTGAGCTATTCCCATTCCTTTTGGTTCCTACCCTTAATCAGACTCAGATTCAATACTGCAGGGTTAAAAGTGAGGGTGGCAGGGAGGGACTCACTAGATCAAAGAAATATAATTTAAGCTAGTTACAAAATCTACCATAGAACCAATTCCTATAACCACCATTAACAACCTAAAATAAAAGGAAACAAAATGGTGCCAGAGATATTTAAAGCTAAGGTTTTAGCCATAAAAAAAAAAATACCCTGTCTGGTAGATCTATAATTCAGTTCTCTGTTGTATCTTTGGCTTTTATACAGGTAAAGGTCTTTTTGTTTCTGAAAATATAAACCTGACTACTCTGTTTGATTTTTTCACCTTATAGCTACACCTTTACTAAAAAGATTACCAGTTGGGCCATCAATATTTAAACCGAAGAACCTTGTCTTTTTAAATAGCAGAAGAATTATACGGTAAATTGGTATTTGATGCTAGCTTCCAAACTCTAGGTAACATATCCCTAAGGCATCATGTTGTTGGTAATACGAATCATAAAACTTAACTGGAATGTTTTTAAGGATTTAAAAGGAAATGTGTATGGGCTGCAGGAAATGTATCAGAAGAGCAGACTTCAGCTAAACTGTACAATTTTTTTTTGTTTGTTTATGTGTTTCCTATCAGTGGTATCTGGACGAAGGGCAGGTTTTTGCTAATGCTCTCCCCAGTTCCATTTGCCTCTAACAGATGCTATGAAACTGCTCCCAGTCCCACTGCTGGATGTGCCTTGCTGATTTGCTTCTGTTGATCACAAATGCTTTCTGTTATCTCAGTGTGACCTGTCTGTGATTCTGCAGTATAAACTAAAACATTCCTTACTATGAAAATAAAACATTTCTCCTTACAATCCATTGTGAATTTTTTTTTTAGTCTTTAAGATATGCTTTGTCCATTTGCAGCCTTTCACGGATTTGTTATAAGATGTCCTTATGTAATAGCCAGTAAGTAATAGTCATAGAGCAATCTGTCATTTTAATGCAAAAATCTAAATGGATGGGGGTTCAGCTTTCTACTAGGACGTCTGGAATGTTTCTGTTCTAGAGATTGTTGCAGAGATCTGCACAAATACAAATATTTGGTCCTGAAGATGCTATTGGTTTTCACAACTTCATTTACTGAGAGATTTCAAGAGGGTGGAATCATCACCATGTTTTCTCTTGAGTAATGGTAATTTACAAATGGTTTTCACGTATTTTATTTCACTCAATTTTTCTTAGGATATCAAAGAGGCAAGTGTTATGATCAGTATTTTGAGGATGTGGAAATTGTACAGATGGAAGTTACAGCAGGTTCCCAAAGACAGTGATAGAGCCTTGAATGCATGTCTTCCAAAAACATGTCCACCATAAAGTTGAGTAAAATGGAAGGTAAAGATCGCTTACAAATTCCAGTTATTAAGTGATGAAACACTCACACTACACTGATAAAAATTTATAATCAACTTCTATATTATATTGTGATCTTTTATTTTATTTACAGTAGGCTTTCCCATATTTAATTTCACTTAATCCTCAAAAAAAGATAGAGGAAAGAAGTGACGCTTTGGCTCATGTGGTTGCCTTTCAACGTATAACTTCTCCAAGATCCAAGAATTATTAAATTGATTATAGGAGAAACCAAAGATGACTTGCAATGTAGTGGATATACTTGCACTGATGCTTTTAAGAAAAGCTTACGTTTAAGTTTTAAGTTAACAAATGTCTTTTTCAAGTAATGTGTGTGTGTGTGTGGAAAATTCACTGCACCTTGCACTTTATTTCTATAAATTCAAAATAAGGCTGTAGAAAACAAATATGGGCCTTATGTTGTTCAAGAAAATCCTAGCTCTGTATGGTATTCTACTGCCTCAAGAAATGGACTCAGAGATGTATATTTTTAAAGAACACAAAAAAGTAGAAAGAAGGCTGTAAGTCATTTTCTCCCTACCAAATTTCATTATGCTTCTTCTTAAACAGGAGTAATGCAAACAACAGAATTTACCTTTTGACTACTGCTTACAGCAAGAGGGAAGCAAACAGTGCTGTTATTGATACCCCTTAAACTATAATGAAATAAATGTAATGAAAATGGATGTTCTTGCTATTTTTTAGTTGTCATACAGCTCTTATTTTAGGAAATTCAAAATAATTCCTTGTGGTTTACAATAAACACCATTCTATCCTGTTTAAAAACCAGGCAATATCTGAGGGAAATAAGGATACATCATCCATGTGCCCATCACTGGACCACAGATTCCCTACTGCACATTATCTGTGCACATTATTCATTGGTGGATAGATGCAGACGCACACTCTTAATACAGAAGTGGGACAGCCTGGTTCAGACAAAGCTTTAAAATGGTCATTCACAGATACAAGATAAATGACAGAATGCAATATTTTCGTCTATATAAAGACAAAATTGTGTACTAGAACTGGACCAGTCTCTGGTAGAAAGTGGAAATTGCTCCCACACATTTCCATCCAGTCATAGAAATGAGAACAAACTAAGCATAAAGTGGTGATTGCTTTGAAACATTATCAGTGCAAATGGCCAAACAACTTGGAGAGATAGGAAAGGTCAATGTAATTAGATTTAGAGAGGCTGGTCCCTCTCTAGGTCTCTAGTTTATTCAACCGATTTATAAAATGAACTTTGAATAATTAGAGGCTCTTAAATTGCATCTATAGGTTGCCTGTATTAAACTGGAATTCCTGGAAATGTATGCAGAATTGTGTGCAAAATCGTGATTCTGGGCAAATGTGTAATTTTCCAGCAAAAAGGTCTTTAACCCCCACCATATTCACAAAGCATCTCATAACCTCACATCAGTTAAGAACCATTGGTCTAGATGATCTCTAGGAGCCCTTTCAATGGTAATATTCTGAGATTTTAATACAACAAATAGTTTCAGAGAAATGTAACCCATTCTCTCTGGAGAATAAAAATGTTATCGCTGCTGATAGGTTAGAATCTGATCTTATGTTTGTAGCTTTTTCTAATTCCTCAGTTTTTCCTTCCCCAACGTCTATCCCTAGCAGGTTCTTTGAATTTCATTTATTATTTCAACTTCATAGCTAACAAAGATAAAGATTTTGACATTTACCTTTTATATTTATACGGAAGAGAATAATCTCATTTCTTAGAGATAGAAATACGTACATTTTAGACTATGTATATATAGAAAATATTTGTTGATTACTTTTCTTATTCATAAGAAAATCCTATTGCACATCAACATTGTACCAGGCACTTCTTCAAACAGGGAATTAGGCAATTTCTCAAAATGTAAAATATATGGAAAATCTAAACACGTGCGTGGGGGAAGAATAGCTACTCCATCAGACAAGAAATTACTCAGACGACCACCAGAATGGAAATCATCGTACTTCAGATTGAGCTTGATTATGATTTCACAATTCAACTATTAAAAATACTCCTAATTTTTCATTTCCTTTAATCATGCAAGCATTTAGCTCTACTCTTTAATTATATAAATCCACAATCTCACTCCCTATGTTTCTAAGTTGTAAAATTCTTGAGTTAAGTGGAAACTTTATTCACAAATGTCAAAGTGGAGTGAGAATTATATATTTTTATGTATAATTACATATTATGCTTTGGTTCAGTAAATGTTCCTCACAATAACTGATAGAAGATTAGTGGGAATTAAACTAGGATATAAAATTCTTTTTCATCAAATTCATTTTTATGCTATCCTTTTCATCTTGCAATACATAATAGTATGGTTCATTCAAAATACAGACCTTAAACCAATTATTGATTAATAAAAGTTTGAAAAATCACTGTAAATCCAGGTGATATTTAGGATAACTTAAGTAATTCAATTTTCCACATTAATCTGTTTTCATTTTATTAATATCACAGGAAGGAATTCAAGTTCCTTTTCAAATTAAAAAGTATATTTTCTCATTTTTTATATTTTAATATATTTCTATAAAAGTTCACAAATCAAATCAATAAGCATATATACATATATATGTCATGTAGCTATTTTAATATCTTTTACAGGTAAGAAGTATATGAATGCTAAAAATGCACACTTTAAAGCTAATTTAAGTTATGCATCTGATATTTTCCATTGATATTCTTAATAGGTTTGGATGCATCTATCAGTCAGTGAAGGCATTTCATTATTTCCCATGGTGGGTCATAACTCCTCAGCAAGCTCTGAAACTTACCTTTAGGTTTTGGTGACAGGATATAATAAAGACATGTCCAGAAAAGTTTTTGGAGAAGGAAAGTCTAAAAAATGAACTGGGCTAGAAATGAATGTTGAAAATGACTAATCATTATCTCACTCAAAATACTCATTATATTGAGACAAATTATTAATGTACTTCATCAAGTGTTTTTCATAAAGTTGCTTTTAACTACAACAGTTTTGTATCTTTAAAAAATGTAGATACATCATGAGCTTTGAGGAGGCATAAAAATGCATCTAAATAACACTTTTCATAGGTATTCTGTAATGGAGACATGGAGTTAAACTATTGACTTAAGCATTAGTCAATACATTTTAGAACAGAAAAAAATAGTCAAGAAATATCTTTAAAAAATACTATGCTTCTCATCAATTTGTGAACTTCAAAGATTAAAAAACAATGATCAAAATATATGAAAGTTGATGTTGAGTTATAGAGGAAGAAAAATATTTTTGGCATCCTTAGATTATATATCCGAATTAGTGAAACTGCAAATATTCTTTGTGATTGAATTACCTTTTTACAAATATTTGTTTGCATGTATATTAAAGACAGTTTACAAGGTTTTTGTGGGGAAAGAATTCCTTTTTCAATGGTTAGAAAGAATGAGTAAGGCCTAGTATTTGCTAGCACAACAGGGTGACTATAGTCAAATAATTTATTTGAACATTTTAAAATAACTAAGAGCATAATTGGATTGTTTGTAACACAAAGGATAAATGCCGTAGGTGACGGATAATCCATTTACCCAGATGTGAGTATTATGCACTGCATGCCTGTATCAAAATATCTCATGTACCTCATAAATGTATACATCTACTATGTACCCACAAAAATTAAAAATAAACATTTTCTAAAAAAAGAATTCCTTTTTTTTCATAAAGTCTTTCAGAACCATGTATACATTTAATGCTTGCACACTTCCAAGGATCCTCTCTCATTAGGCCTACTTGGCATAGGTACAATGACCTGAATAAGCTATAAACTGGCAGGTTATTCCTGAAGGCCAGTTCTCATAGCCTGCTGACTTGGCATTTGGCCACCGAAATCAAAGGAGAGAAAGGGGTGATGACTTGTGGTTTGCCTATGTACACGACATCTGAGTCAGGTGTTTCTTAATCACATCTTTAAGGGTAATTATTAGGTCAAATTACATCTGACAAGCCACTCTAAAAATCTTACTAAGTTATCTGGGGCCTGTAAAAGAAAATTAGCAAATGTACTCGACGGAAATGTTTGAAAGCTAAAATGCTGAGCTCATTAACAGAGCTGATTTTGCGGATTTTTCCTTGTCGTAATACTTCGAGAGTTAGTTGATGGTTCTCTGAATATAATGTTACTTCTCCATTACCTAAAGTTACTATTCAAAGAGCATCACTAAGTAAAATTGTGGGGAAAAAATGAAAATTGTTACAGGGAGCTTTTATAAATGGCTTTAGAAATTCTCAAGTAAGAAAACATACGTAAATATGTCACTATTCTGAATTTAGCCTTAATATTTCTACACTGGGAATTTAATATTAAAACATGGTTATGATTTAAACTCTTTTTGATATTTTATATCTATATAAACAGCATCTAATATACAGCATTTTATATACAGCATCTAATATAGCACTTTTCAGTACAGAGATTAATTTACAATCTTACCCAGCTTCACACAAAAGTAATGCCAAGAAAAATTAAAAAAATAAGAAAAAAATTTTCTTGGCATTTTATATTTTGGTAAAGTATCCAAAAATCCTTAAACTGTTAAAATAGCAGGGTGGCCTTTAAAAGGCATATGTGTTTTTTCTGTATTTATTACAAATTCTTTTTCTATTCCTAAAATATATTATATTATGTTCATTGTAAACTGTAACATTTTTATGGTTTATAATATAAACATAATGTTTTGAAGACATAGTCCAATTATACCTACTGGTATGTAATTTGGCCAACTTTTGCCAATAACACAATGTCCCTGCAGTGTGGTCATTTTCAGTATGAGAGGTGATGAATGGCCAGAAACTCACTTATCTAAAGCAAACAAGTGGTGCTCTTAGCTATTTTCTGACTGAGTCAGAATTAGAAGATAGCATGCCTGAAACAGTCAAAAAATGTAGTGCAAACACACCATATTAGGAAGTAAAGATAGAATACCTAAAGTGTAAGATATTTTTAGGTGTTACACATGATATACTGTAACATGTAATTAAAATAATTAAAGCATAAAAACATATTTTAACATTATTATTGAAAACATTTAAGATTCTTGGAGCTTTTATTACACTCTACTACGTAGGTGAAAAGAATTACGGTTACTTATTTTTAAAAGATGACTCATAATTTGATTACATTAAAAAACGGCAGAAATAGATACAGAAATTCTAAGAGAGCAGATGCACTTGTTTGACATTTTTAAAAAAACAAATACACTCTTTTAAAAGACTCAGCAATAATGTTTTTAGGCAAAATCACAATATAAGATGTTCTCTTCATTGCTAGTTTTGGTAATTATTACTGATATGTTTGACTTATGTATGTTTTACCAGTGGTAGTTGAAATTATAAAGGCCATTAAATAATAACTCTTGCCTTCACGAGGCCTAGGAGAGAGAAGGTGTATACAAATACAACACAAAGCAAAATTTATGACGTATGAGATATAAAGAAAGGCCCAGGGAAAGCCAAGGGAAAAGTGACTAAACTTTCTCTAAGTAGTTGTTTTATAAATTCAAGTTCACCCAAATAACTATGCTGCTCTTCACGTAGCTTGTAATCTGTTGATAGAAGTATTAACAGGATAACAGGACACCTAAAGTCATATACATCTCCCAAAATTAACAGAAAATTAACAGAAGCAAACAGAAGCAATTCTATTATCCTCTAAATAGATAATAACAATGTCCCCAATGGATGCTCTGTGTAAACATGTGAGACAAATAATCTCATTATGAATGTCTACTATGGGCCTAAAAACACACATTCAAAAGGTACCATGGCTTTTTGAATAAACAATATAGCAAAGTAGATAGAAACAGAATCTGGAGAAAGGGTTCCAATTTCGAATCAATTTACTAACTGAGTGATTTTTGGCATTACACCTAAAATACCTGCCTTAGTTTCCTTACAAAAACAATTAGAGATCCTAACTGCATCTACTCCTTAGAATTGTTATAAGAATTAAATGAGTTAATAAATAAAAGCATTTAAAGGAGTGCTTTTATTGTATGATCATTATATTTCTTCCCTTAACTACTTATTGAGCACCTACTACATGTTAATAATGATTATATCCCACTATTAATATGTGATGCTCCAGAAAACTAAAGTATAGAACTTTCCAAAGTAAAAATAAAATGTTTTAATGTAATTCGTCTGAATGCAAAAACGGCGACAAGATGAAATTCTGAATTAATCGACATTTTAGTTCCCTTCATATTGGTTTCCATGTTTTCTCAATGTGTGCAATTAAAGGAATGGAGGTCCTTTCACTAACAGCTGTGTATCCACTATTATTTCTCCTACTGTGTCATTGTTCCTGCCCACCATTCTATGTCTCTTCTCATTAACACAGATCCTTTCCATGTCAACAACTATCTATCTCTAGATACCAGACTGGTTCCCTAAAAAAGATGCAGGTCCATTCTAGTAAAGGTATTATTTTAATGTACAGAAAAACATGGTTTTTCTGAGAATATCAGATCCAAATATAAACGCATAGCATTGTATTTGAGTTTTTCCTTAAGAATAGTATCATTCATCAACCTTTTCATATAAATCTTCCTACTGAATATCACACAGCCATCATTCTATTATCTTTATAAAACATAATGAATGACAGGGAACACAATGAATTCCAAGTGTGAAAAAAAGGTGCAGACACCACAATGAGTAAAAAGATTTTGATCTACCCATAGCTAGCAGTTGACGTACTGATGTAGAAATTATTCGAACAGGGTGACTACCTGCTGTATGTTTATTTACTACCACCATCGTGAACCATGCCATGTAATTAATCACACTCCACACTAGCAGTAAGAGAACTTGCTCCCCACAATGCAGAGAACAGTTATTTGCCTCTCTCTCACTTCACCTTTCTGCAACTCTATTGTGATTTTGTTTCCAGAAAGGCTTCTGTCCCTGCTGTTTGGGGAAATGTATCTATAATGTCTTGATCCAAGAATTTCATATTCAACAGATGGTATTCTTGGCTATGTATTCACTGTGGTTTCTCTGAGCAGAGCTGAGTGCTTAATATTGCTTGTTCTCTGCCAATCAACTCTTAGTCTACAAGTGAATTTTGATCAAATATGTATTATTCCTTGTGCTTTTGCTCTGACCCTTTGGAATTCTGATCTTTATCTGGCATAAGCTGTTAATATGCCAGGTATGTTATTGTGTGGTCCTGTTTTAAGATAGATGCCATGAATACATATTTATATTCACAGATAAATAAGAAATGTATCTATACCTACAGAGACAGAAACATAAACATATAAATATCCCCACAGAAGTTGATTCTTTCTGAAAGTGGAATTTTCTCTATACTACTTTTCTCTGTACATACCATATAATATACCTCTGTCCTCAAATCTTATATAAGGCAAAACAAAATACTTATTAAGTATGATAATACATTTAGGGTCAAGCATTTTTTAGCCTACAAATCTCTGGGTGTATAGATAATACATCTGTATATATAATGAGATGAGGTTATGGTGTGCATGTGTGCAGATGTGCACACACAGACACACAGCATGCAAAAACAGACTTAAAATAACTGCGGGACATCATCGACTGAAAAGTTTTCTGAAATGCTGTAGGTCAAGAATTAGGATTTTTGCAGCTATTTTAATTTCTTTATTTAAAACAAATAAAAGGAACTCTGCTCTTTTTCTAGACAGGTCTGGATGTTAAAAAACAGGAGAAAGTGGTGAGACAGTATAGGCTTCACATAAAGGAGGAACTCAAATCTTATTTTTCTTCCTCACCTAATAAGCCTCTACAAAGGTTTAATGAAAAGATTCTATTTTTCCAAACAAAGCAAAACCAGGAATAAAATGGATTAACTGATTCAAAGCCCTCAGTTTCCTGATCCTTTCCTAGCTGACAAAATACAGAATTTTGCTTTTTCAACTTACTTTGTTACTTCCTGGCATTCTTTAAAGAGTATCTTCCTGTTAGGCACTAAATCTGTCATCAACAGATTTGACATGGTCATTTGTAAATGAAAGCCTGAGATTTCCTGGTGAAGAGGAAGAGATGAAAAAAAAAAAAAAAGAGAGAGAGAGAGAGAAAAGAGTCTGATGTGTATGTAGGATGTCACAATATATTTTTGACTTTATAATGAATTTTAGCAGTTGCTAAGTCAAGATGCTAGTTTAACACTTGTTAATCAATTGCCATATTAGGAAAGTTGATGAAAACACCCTACATGAGATGGTTTAGATATTTGTCCCCTCCAAATCTCATGTTGAAATGTAATATCTAGTGTTGGAAGTGAAACTGCCTTTGGAAAATTATGCCTGAGACAGTGAAAGAGATCTAACTTAACTGACTCTATCTTGCTTCTAACCTCCAAGCTGTCCTCGTTCATTCCTGGGAGTAGGCTAAAGTAACTTTGGGAGAAACTTAGTTTATAATTTATAGTTTAAACAAAGACAGTAACAGCCCTTTCCCAAAGCAGACCTCCTTCTTGCCTGGGGACTAGATTGCCTTTGTAAGACTAACATTAGCCACAAGATGAGATATTATGGCTTAGGAGTCATACAGCTGTAGGCTACAAGATTCCGACTCTCCCTAAACTCCTCCTAGGATCAGTGCTTGAGATATTTTGCAGACCCTGCAACTTGATGGACCAGCTGGCCCCACCCAAATCAATAAACTGGCCATCTGATCTTGCGGCCCCACCCAGAAACTGAGCACAAAAAGACAGCTCCGACTCCCTATGATTTCATCTCTGACCAATCGGCACTCCTGGCTCACTGGCTTTCCCCTACCCATCAAGTTATCCTTAAAAATTCTGCTCCCCAAATGCTCAGGAAGACTGATTTGAGTAATAATAAAACTCCAGTCTCCTGCACAGCTGGCTCTGCGTGAATTACTCTCTCTATTGGAATTCTCCTGTCTTGATGAATCAGCTCTGTCTAGGCAGCGGGCAAGGTGAACCCCTTGGGCGGCTACAGAGGTAGGGCCTGGTGTAAGGTGTTTGGACCACGGGGGCAGATCCTTCATGAACGGCTTAGTGCCATCCCCTTGGTGATGAGTGAGTTCTTGCTTTGAGTTCATGCAAGATCTGGTTGTTTAAAAGTATGTGGTGCCTCTCCTCTAGTCTCCTCCCCTCCCCCCGTCCCCTCCCCCTCCTCCCCATCTCCTCCCCTCCCCTCCCTCATCCCCTCCCCTCCCCTCTTCTCCCCTCCCCTCCTCCCTTTTCCCCTTCCCTCCCCTCCCCCTTTATCTCTCTCTCTCTCTCTCTCTTTCTTGCTCCTGCTTTCCTTATGTGACACTGCCTCCCTTTGCCTGCCACCATGAACTATAGTTCCCTATAAGCCCCCTGAGCCCCTCACTAGAAGCAGATGCAGGCACCATGCTTCCTGTATAGCCTGCAGAACCATGAGCCAATTAAACCTCTTTTGAATACAAATTGCCCAGTCCAGATATTCCTTTACAGGAATGTAAGAACAGACTAACACACTACACTCGTATTCAACTACAATTTTAACTTTTCTATAATAAAGCTCAATAGCCATACTTTTAACTAATTTCAAATTTCACATCTTCGTCTATAATGCAGAAAAATTAAATTCCTGTCCCTACAAATGAACCTATAATCTATTTTCCAACCTTTACATATTTCTCTGCAATCTGTCCGTATATTCATTATTGGCAATCAAATGCAGCCTTCCTTTTCAGTTAGTATTTTATATGTCCATAAAATAGTCAGCTCAGATTTATTCTAAATATAGTCAGCTCAGATTTATTCTAAATATAGTTACATCTGAAATAGTAGTGGTATTTTTTAATAATCTGCATCAAAACTATACATCAAATTTATAAGTTTAATTACTGAATAATAGGTATTCTTTGAATATAATAAACATAACAAATAGGCTAAATGGCAAAAGTATTGACCCAGAACACATGATATTTAATAAATGATTATGGATTTCTCACATTTACTATCACTTAATTTCTACTTAAAAGTTTTAAAGAAAATTTACTTATGATATTAAGCATTTCCTATTTATTATTCCAGCATCATTGAATGGACTGGGGAGGAATGTGGTACAAGTAAAATATGCTGCAGTAATTCCCTCTACATTACTTAATACATTGAGGGTAGTTACACTTTGACACATCTGACTGCTTTGACAAGGTCAAGGGCTCAGATATTCTGTCCCACTCCACCCCATCATTTTTGAGAAACGAGCATATTGAAGACAGGCTAGAGAGCTCTTAGAGACACTGCAGTCTCTCTTCTTAATCCTGCTGGAACATTTACAACATCCTGGGATGTCTCCTTTGAATGTCAAGATTAAGAACGTAATCCTTTAAAATTTGGCTCAGACGCAAAGAAAAATGAGCTTAGTTTTTTTTACTTTTTAAGAGTATGGCAAAAAAGATGCTTTCTATTACCTGTAAATCTCAAGGAAGACATGATTTTGAAAGCAAAATAATTTAAGTGGTCTGTGATAAAGACAGAAAGAGCATGTTAAATAAAAATCTCTTTCTTAAAATTGGTAATAATTATAGTTCATACCTATATTTTGAAAAAGATATCACAAGAGTAATGATTTCTCAATATCTATAATTTATTCTTATTATGATGTTTTATTGAAAACTAAAGTAAAATCAATTTTTTTCTTTAAAAAAATTTTATTTCAATAGCTTTTGGGGTACAAGGGGTTTTGTGATGTGGATGAATTAAATAGTGGTGAATTTTCAGATTTTAGTACACCTGCCCCCTGAGTAGTGTACATTGTACTTAATGTGTAGTTTTTTTGTTTTTGTTTTTGTTTTTGTTTTTGAGATGGAGTCTTGCTCTGTCGCCCAGGCTGGAGTGCAGTGGCGCAATCTCCGCTCATTGCAAGCTCCACCTCCCAGGTTCACGCCATTCTCCTGCCTCAGCCTCCCGAGTAGCTGGGACTACAGGTGCCCACCACCACACCCAGCTAATTTTTTGTATTTTTAGTAGAGACGGGGTTTCACCATGTTAGCCAGGATGGTCTCGATCTCCTGACCTCGTGATCCGCCCACCTTGGCCCTTGGCCTCCCAAAGTGCTGGGATTACAGGCCTGAGCCACCGTGCCCGGCCCTTAATGTGTAGTTTTTTATCCTTAGCCCCTCCCACCCTCCCTCTTCTGAGTTTCTGAAGTCCATTATATCACTCTGTATGCCTTTGTGAACTCATAGCTTAGTTCCTACTTTTAAGTGAGAACATACAGGTTTTGGTTTTTCACTTTTGTGTTACTTCACTTAGAATAATGGCCTCCAGCTCCATCCAAGTTGCTGCAGAAGACATTATTTCATTCCTGTAAAATCAACTTCTGATAATGTCATGATTTGTTGTGACTTTCTTGCTTTTTAAAGGCTCTTTCTCACCAGTATTTCCAACTGTCCTGACATCCAAACTTTTGGCTGATTTTAATTGCATCTAAAATTTGATAAGTATCTGAATTATATTAAATATAGTTGGCCAAAACTTTATTTTACCATATTTCACTATATATTTCAGAATAAAATTCACATTTTATGTTGGGGAAAAAAACAATGTAATCTACAGACCTTTTATATGCATGTTTAGTATATGGTTCTCACCTTACACTAGTCTTAAGGTTGTTGTATCCCAATGAATTTTGACTATATTGATTTGTTAGAACAGGAAATAAGCTGTAAGACTGGACACTGTCTAGAAAGCATGTGGATTCACTTAGCACTTGTATCTATAGTCTAGGCTTTACAAAGGCAGTCCAGTACATTTTACCTAATATTTGGTGCCTGTTTTCTGAGCTTCCATAAGTGTACTTTCAGTTAGAAATTTTTTAAAAAGGCCAGGCATGGTGACTCACGCCTGTAATCCCAGCACTTTGGGAGGCCAAGGTGGGCAGATCGCGAGGTCAGGAGTTCGAGACCAGCCAGTTCAAGACCAGCCTGGCCAACATGGTGAAACCCTGTCTCTACTAAAATTACAAAAATTAGCTGGCCTTGGTGGCGTGGGCCTGTAATCCCAGCTATTCAGTAGGCTGAGGCAGCAGAATTGCTTGAACCCAGGAGGCAGAGGTTGCAGTGAGCCAAGATAGTGCCACTGCACTCCAGCATGGGTGACAGAGTGAGACTGTATCTCAGAAAAAAAAAAAAAAGAAATTAAAAAAAGTCCCTTTAAAGAAGTTTGTATTATATCTAAGAGTTTTCTTATTAGGCTATCTGACTTTTGACTTTCTTAAAAAATAAGCTGGGGAATGGAAAAAATGGACCTTGGTAACTTTCTTGAGATCAGCTCACATAATCTCAGCTATCTTGGCCAAAACTCATGTAAAGGAACCAAAACTAATAATGTTGCAATATTGAAAGACACAGAAATGTGAATCATTGTAGAGGCATCTCATTGGGACTTTTGGCAAAGTTGTAAGCAAATAAATTTAAGGGCCATATTAAGAAGATGTTATGTAATGTTTCTAAATCTATCACATTTCCATTTATAAAATGTTATATAAGAATGATCAAAATGTGCATATAATATATGGTTATTCATAATTAATTGAATAGAAAAACTAAGTAGTATAAAATGTGGTCCACTTTAGAAATAAATGCTTAACAGTTTCACTGGCATGTTATTTCCTTATTCAAAAGGCTAAATGTTAGAAAGTCTGCTTACTATTTAGAAAACATAACCAAATAAAATTTGAAAGCAACTCTTTTCTCTAAAAAACTATAAACTATGAATGCATATTTTAAATACCAGAAATTCCATTTAGAGTTTTTCTTCTTTATTCCAAAATACTGCATGTTTTTCATACATTATGTATTAGTCTGTTCTCACACTGCTAATAAAGACACACCCAGGACTGGGTAGGTTATAAAGAAAAAGAGGTTTAAAGGACTCACATTTCCACAGGTTGGGGAGGACTCACGATCCATGGCAGAAAGTGAAAGGCATGTCTTACATGGCGACAGACAAGAGAGAATGAAAGCCAAGCGAAAGGGGAAACCCCTTATAAAATCATCACATCTCATGGGACTTATTCACTACCACAAGAACAGTATGGAGAAAACTGCCCCCATGATTCCATTATCTCCCATTGGCCCCTCCCACAACACATGGGAATTATGGGAGCTACAATTCAAGATGAGATTTGGGTTGGGACACAGCCAAACCATATCACATTATAATATTTAGCTTGGTACTAGTGCTAAGACTTGTGGCAAGTTTACTCTTCATTTTATAGCTTTCTCTGGCTTCAACTCTACAAACAAACTGTGCTATAGATGTTTCCATAAGGCATGAATAAATGCAATATGAAAAGAATTACACTTTTTTTTCTAAAGAACGATCTTACTCTAATTATCAATAGGTAATCATTTATTTTATAGTAAGTCTCAGTAGTTCCTAATACATCAAATGATTAAATGTTAGAGGTTTTAATAATACCTTGTCAACTCACTAATGACTTTTTACACTGATTTATTTTTTGTTCTGTAATCACAGGTACAAATACAATGGCTGTTACCATTTTTTAGGTAATCAAGAAATTCTGATATTTTTATCATATGAATTATACATACTATTATTTTTAAAAATCAATTTGATTAATCAAGGTTGATCCAAGGAATAGATATGCTAGTTAAAAAAAAAACTTTCTAAACAAGATAAAGAATATCTACAGATTTGTAGGGGGAAAGAAGCAAAATCAGGTGACATTTTACAACTCAAACATTTTATTAGCATTTTAAAAAGTGGTAGAAGAGACTTATCTAGTTATATTTAAATATTTCCAACTAATTCTAAGATTTAAAGAAGGCACTAGAAAGGATTTAATAGCTAAGTTAAATATGTTGAAGGACCCTGCTTTTATCTTATTGCAGGAAGGTATTAGGTGGTAACAGGCAGTCAGAAGGTTAATTATGTAAGTAGAAGAGAGGTTGCGGCACTTCTTACTGAGTGTTTACTCTTATCCCTGCTATTTTATTTGTATTATATTCTTTCCCTCATCATTTTGTGTTCCTTTTTTATTCCTTTTCCTTCCACTGGGTTCCATATGATCCTCTATTTCTAGTTTGCTCATTTTGATTTATCTGCAGAATTCTACATTGTATGAATCCACCCAAATGTGTTGATCTAGACTTCTGGTAATGGACATTTGGGCTGTTTCTAAAGCTGCAGTTAACACCGTTGAACATGTTTCAATGTGCTCATGCATGAGAGCTTTCCTAAGGTCTATGTAAGAGAAGAATTAATGTGTTATGGGATGTGATTATCTAGAACTTTACCAGCTATTGCAAAATTTCTTCCTAATGCAATTCTATAAACCTGTACTCTCAAAAAAAAAACAGTATATGAAAATTTCTATCTCTCCACATCTTAAACATATACTTGGTATTACGTGCTGTTGGACTTCTTTGGAATCTGATGGTTGTCAAATAGTATTTAAATGCAGCTCCAATCAACCTTTCTTGGTTACTAGAGATATCGAGCAACTTTTCATGTGTTTACCAGCCACTTGGATAACTTTTCACATCCACTGCTATTCTGTCTATTTTGAAAATGTGGTGTATATATATATATATATATATATATATATATATATATATATATATATATATATATCTTCCAGTATTGTAAATATCTTTTACACACTGTGGCATTTTTTTTTCACTTGGTTTATGGAGTCTTCTGTTGCATTGATATTTCTAATGTTAACGAGGTCAAATTTAATAAATATATATTCTTTGTAATTTTCACTTTTAGTGTCTTGTTTGGCAAAAGAAAACATCCTCATTCTTGAGGTGATACTGTTTTCCTATGTGATCTTCTAAATGTTTTACATTTCTATCTTTAAATGTTAAATGTTTAATACCCCTGGAATTTATTTTGTGCATTTTGTGAAGTAAATGTCCACTCTTCCTACACCCAATTATCACAGATTCATTTATCGACTGGAGTCAACAGACCACTGTTTTCCACAGATACAGCATCTATAAATTAATTATCCACATATATGTGGACCTATTTTGTAACTTCTTATTCTGTTGCATTTGTTTGTTTTGTCTAACATTGTGCAATCTGCAATACCATCCTCTTAACCACTGTGTCTTTAAAATAAATTTTGACATCATGTATGGAAAGCTCTTCCTATCACCAAATTTGTTCTTAAAATTTATATTGCCAACTTTTGGACTTGTAATATTCCAAACAAATTTTGGGATTGACTTACTAAATTACTTGAAAATTACATTTAGGATGTTTGATTGCAAAAAAAAAAAAAAAAAAAAAAAAATGGGGCATGGTTCATGGTTCTGTGGTTCTTGCCTATGATCCCAGCCCTTTGGGAGCCAAAGCAGGAGCATTGCTTGATAGCTTGAGGCTCAGAGTTCAAGACCAGCCTGGGCAGCATATCAAGACCTAGTCTCTGGAAACCAAAAAAAAAAAAAAGAAAAAAGAAAAGAAAGAAAGGAAGAAAAAAAAAGTTAGCCAAGCATATTGACATGTGCCTGTAGCCCTGGCTACTTGGGAGGCTGAAGTGGGAAGATCACTGGAGCCCAGAAGTTTGAGGTTACAATGAGCTATTATTGAACCACTGCACTCTAGCCTGGCTGCAGAGCGACACCCTGTCTCTAAAAAGAGAGAGAGAGAGAGAATTGGTTTTATGTACTTTGAGTCTGGTAGATGTTTAAAGCTGACTTGATTCTGGGATCTTTTGAAAGGTTCACATAAGCTTCCTTGCTGCGTCCCTCCCAATGCAACCACCATGATATGGATGTTACATTAATTCCTTCCACTTTCTGAAGATGCGCTTAGTCCCTAATTTGTTCAGGGAGGCATAGATTCTCACTGTTAGATCACACCAATTGACCCTTGTTAGATAGAAGTAAAAACAGCTATAAGCCAGCTTTTTTCTCCACATGGCTCACATCGAATCCTGAGAAAATATTCCTGTTTCCTTTAACCCAGTAAATTCTGGGATCAGAATTCTGATCCTAAATCAGCCACCTCATTTTAATTCTTCCTTCAAAACAGCTTGTTAATATCTCCTCTTTGATTCTCTAGATTTCTGTTTAGGAGTCAGTCAGTGGACCTCGTGCCTTCTAAATTTCAGAGTCATATATCAAATTCTCCAAGTAGCAATATTTGAAAGTATTGCTGAAGGCCTTCTTTTAAGTCATCTTGTCATATAAAATGTGCTTTCCTTATCAATTCCATTGTAGAAGGTGGGTGAAATGCACCTATCCTATCAGCTCTCACCAAAGCAAGCTCTTAACAAGTATCCACCTCCCATACCTCCCTTTCCATCCTATCTCATAAACATGAAGTGGGGAGACATACTAAGAAATGGGAGCTAAACATTTAAAACATTTCCTTTGAAAATTTTCAATTGATTTGTCTACTACTCTCTTCAGTATCCGAAATGCATCATCTCCGTTAACTCATTCTGTTTCTAATTTAATGTCCTTTTGGAAAAGACTTGCATATTTTTTTTCTTTTTTTCTTTTTCTTTTTTTTTTTTTTTGAGATGGAGTTTCGCTCTTGTTGCCCAGGCTGGAGTGCAATGGCATGATCTCAGCTCACTGCAACCTCTGCCTCCTGGGCTCAAGTGATTCTCTTGCCTCAGCCTCCTGAGTAGTTGGGATTACAGGCATGCACCACACGCCCGGCTAATTTTGTATTTTTAGTAGAAATGGGGTTTCTCCATGTTGGTCAGGCTGGTCTCAAACTCCTGACCTCAGGTGATCTGCTCGCCTCGGCCTCCCAAAGTGCTGGGATTACAGGCGTGAGCCACTGCACCCAGCCTGATTTTTTAAATATGCATAATACCATCAGATTTATGTGTGTATGTATATACATATATGCATATATGATAACATTTCCAATCATTACAATTTTTCTTTTTTTTTCTTTTTGCCTTTTTGTATTGAAGATCTCATAGGATGTACCGAAGCAGTGATAATGAGCATTCCTGCCCAGTCTCAAATTTTGAAGTCTTCCAGTGTTTTATCACTAAATATAAGATTGCATGAGGATTACAAAATCCCCTTTTATCCTAAGTGTGCAAAGATTTTGTTTGACATGAATAAGAATTGTTTCATCATCTGTTGATGTGATCATTATTTTTCCCTTCCTTAATCTGTTAATGTGGTGTATTACACCAATAGATAACCTGTGTAATAATGTTGCATGCCAGATCTCCCTGTATGTTTTAGATCTTCATAAAATAATTGCTATAATATTACTAACTATGTTGAGATGCTGAAAAAGTGCAATTTGGCTGTTTCTTTTGGCATATGGGGATTTTGAGAAATAAGAATAAAATGTAGCTTTCTTAGAATTGGTTTGTTTGAATAAACTGTATGGAAACTTTATAAGTATAAAGATATATACACCAAATTAGATGAGAAAGCTTCAACACCAGTGGTATATTTTAAATAGTACCACTGCTTTACACTAATGTCTTATTTATGTTTTAGGAAAGTAGAAAAAGGAAGTTTCCTTCTAGATTTTCTCTTAGAATATTTCTGTATGAAACAAATGCATTTTTAAATGTGTTTCTTTTTTTATACTGACAGGCCACAAAAGGAATTTAAATAAAGCATGAATTAAAATAATCTCTTTTGATAAAGGATGGTATCACAAAAGGTTAACACATTATATCCTGGATGCAGAATCTAATACATATTAAGAGCATTGGCAACATAAACTTGATGAGTACGCCAGAGCTGATCCTTCAGACATTACTGTGTCAGAACAGACATAATTCATTCCTCTGCACTCTAAGAGCTTCAAAAACAGCCTGGCTTTCAAACTTCAGACTACATAGGGACAAGGAAAATAACTGTCTCACTAGAATGAAATATATATGCCACATAATATTTGCATGTCACTTAACCCCAAGGATATTTTAGAGATACAAATATTTCCATGAGGTCATAACCTACATTGGGAAATTTAAAACTGGTCTTATACCTACACGAACACTGCCAGGGCTTGCTGGAGTACTTTACATCCTTTCTGGTTTAAAGTCGTTTGAATTTTGCTTCTGGGATATATGGAGATACACTGAAGAAATTTTCCATAGAAAAAGTGACCCAGTGAAGTTGATTCAAAAAATAATAAAAGGAAGGAAGGATTAACTTCTGGATTGAAAAAGTTATTGATAAATCACATTCCTAGTTGAATTTAAGGTGGTTATAGATGTTATCCCCCATGAGATACAACAGGGCCCATATCAGATAGTCAGACACTGACCTTTGCATGCTATGATGACACAGTTAGCATTATCAGAGGAGTAATGAAGCTAGGCCCATGTCTTGAGGGTCCCAAGTCATAATCCACACCTTTGTTTCTCACTCCTAGTGCATATCTAAATTACTTGTGCATCTTTTAACAAGTATACATATCTCAGACATAGAGAATCAGATTCTTCATGTACATTATACATTATTTCTTTAATTTGTGAGAGAAGATACTACAGAGGTAGAAATTAAGGCTCTAGGAGACTAAGAGACATATCCACTGGCCAAGGTCTAAGCTGATCAGGTAGCAAAACCAGCTCCATGATCTCAGTTATTTTTTCTTTTTATTTACTCTTAATCTCTGGTTGTTTCTCCCATGGTACATTGCTAATCTCTAAACAGCACTATGTCATCCCCAAAATTAGTATCGTACCATGCAAAAGAACCACTTTCAGGCAAATGCAAAGGTCATATTCATGATTATAGAACAGAGATAAGTAAATCAAAATAAGGCAACAAGAACAAAAAAAGAGGCTTTCTGAAGGCAACATGTTACAAAGGGGTGCACATAATAAATATAATTCCATCACTTTTATCTACATTTGTCTCTGTTTGTAAAAAAAGGGTGAGGTCCAGACAATCGTGTAATTTCTTTTTTGCAGGCTCCCTTTCAAAGTCTTTTTCAGCAGAGCCTTAATAAGTACTTTGTAGATTAGAAGGACATGGTTGATTATATACTAGAGTAGGAGGAGAAGAAGAAAGGACACTAACATTTCCTCCTAATTCCTATTAATTTTCCTGGTACAAATGATGAGCAATGTATCAGTGGGCATGAATCTCATATGCAGGATGGTAGGGCTAGGTCTGTCAAATAAATACAGCTTTTTTTTTTTTTTTTTTTTTTTGAGACGGAATCTCCCTCTGTAGCCCAGGCTGGAGTGCAGTGGTGTGATCTCGGCTCACTGCAACCTCCACCTCCCCAGGTTCAAGCAATTCTACTGCCTTAGCCTCCTGAGTGGCTGGGAATACAAGCATGTGCCACCATGCCTGGCTATTTTTTTGTATTTTTAGTAGAGACAGGGTTTCACCATGTTAGCCAAGTTGGTCTGGAACTCCTGATCTCAGGTTATCCACCCTCCTTGGCCTCTGAGAGTGCTGGGAGTGAGCCACTGTGTCGTCTGGCCAATAAATGAAACTTTTAACCAAACAAATGTCTTTGCATAATGTAGAGGGGACTAAGACACATTTATCTTTCCAGTCACACCCAAATATAGTTTGTACTCGCTGTCATTAACATCGTTTTTGAAAGCCATGATATAAGTATATAATAATGCTATATCTTCATCCATTCAACTAAACACCTATTGCCCTAGATCTTCAGAAAACAGTAATGTGCTAAATGAACAAATTGTTCTCCTATTTTGCAATCTAGTATGTTTATGTGGTGGGGATGTGAGATAGAAGGAGATAGAATAAACATATAAGTAAGAAGATAAATGGGATGATTTCAGATAAGAGGAGTGATATGGTTGAATGTGACGGGGGTTTTGGGGTTGCAGAGTACAGCTAATTTAGAACAGATAGTGTGGTGACACTGGGCGAGGATCTGAAAGGCAAAACAACCATGTGAATCTTGGGGAAGACGAGCATGGATAGTAGGAAGAGGAAGTGCAAAAGTCCTGGGGTGTTGATCTTGCTGTGTTTGAAAAAATAGCTAGAAAAGCAGTTTGGCCGGAATATACAAAGCCCAGGAGAGAATAATAGGAGACAAAGTTAGGAGTATGCACTGTTGAGATACTGGAAATATTTGTAAGGCATGGCAAGAAATTTAGGTTTCATCCTCAGAGAGATGGATTGGAGGATTTTAAGTGAAGGATTTACTGCATATCTTGAAAAGGATTATGATTTACATATTTAACTAAAATAAATACTAAGGTTTGTGTTATAAAATTGTGTATGCAAACAGTGAAATAATCCCACCATGTAATGATTATACATCATTGATTAGTATTCAGTCTTGATCCGTGGTTGGGCAGAGGCCAGAGGAACTACTATTATATATGACATATATGCTTCTTTTGATATTATCATATTCAGTGGACTTAGGTAGATGCCATAGTCTTGTTCAGAAGTCTTTCATGTAGTCACTAAACTGCACATGACCTGCTATGAGTTATTATCCCTTTAATTATTCTGTTTTCCTTGAAATTAAGAGGTTTATATTAGACTAAGTAATGATGAGTCAGTTGAGCTAATAGTATAGCAGATGGATTCTTCAGTTCTTTGTAATGATTGACACATTATAATCTCTACTTGGTCTAAGATATCATCATAACTTAGAAGATATTAAATATCAGTGGGTTGAGTATACAGCAATCTATTTTGTTTATTTATGTGTGCTATAAATCAATGGTTCTAACATTCAAATAAGATCTTTTTGCTTCTCTGCTCAGATGCTTTCAATGATGTAATGCTATGTAGCAAATCTAATCCCCTAAGCACAGTAATCAAGGCCTTCTACCCCAAAAAACTATGCCCTTTTATACCTGTTTGCATTTACAAATACTTATTTCACTTGCTTTGACTGTTCATCTCACACTCTCCATCTACTATAATATTTACATACTCTTCAGGATCTAGGCCACATTCAGCTTCTCTGTTAATTTTTTCCTGATTCTCTCAAGTAGATTTAGCTGGGACATGTGTTTTACTTCCATGATATTCTGTGAAAGCTCCAACTTGAGAATTTATTATACTGCCTTTTGATTATCTGTTTTTCCTTCCATACTCCGCACTAAAGAATGACCCCTACACAGCTGCTATATTTTATTCATTTCTGAACGTTTTTCTAGTGTTACACTCACCCATTGATTTCATTGAGTTCTTACAACCCATTGCAGGAACTCCATGAACTCAATGAATGAGTGAATTAATGGGTGAATATGTCAGCCATCATTCCATTCTTATATTTGACACATTCCAATAATGTGATGTGAGTAATGTGATTGAGATAACACAACTCTGTGAAACGTTCTCGGACTTCTGGCCTTCATATCTTCATACATGGTGTTCCTCACTCTTAAAGTTGCCCCCTTCCACCAGCAACTCTACATGATCTTACACATCTTCCAATTTCTAAAATGGTGACTCCTCCAAGAAGCTTTTATTGGCACCTAGTTCAAAAGCCTGCTTCTTTCCTCTGTATTTATGCTCACATTGTCAATGCCTCCTTTTTTAAAAAAAATTATCTCTTTCCACATTATGTTTGCTTATATTAAAGCATAATTATTCATGCATGAGTCTTTACACATCTATACATTTACAGGCTCTTTAAGTGAGACATATATGATCTTATTTATACCACTCTCCTCTAGATATATGCATGACTACATATCTCAGGGTGATGCAACTGCAGTGCTCAACAGAATGACTGATGTAATTATAATTCTTTTCCTGTATGCATTTAAAAAAGATTTAACATATTATTTCTACCAAATATGATGAAACCCAGAAAAGCCCTTCATTGAATTGGTCATTTTTATTTGCCAAAATGATTGCCTTAGGGTTTCAATCAGTTCTATTTTTTTTCTTAGAGGTGTGCTAGTGTGCAGCCATGTGAGTGTTGTAGATCACTCCAACACTGTCTTCCAAAGAAAATTAACTTCATTACATGTCCAAGCTTAGAAAAGCGAAGACAGTAAACATGACTCATAGCTCTGATACTGGTTTAGTATAAGAGTAGTTATTTATACGAGCTAATATAAAAGTAATAGCAACTAAATAGTGTTCTCACCACCTTCAGAATAACCAGAAAAGCATGTATCCTGTCATTTGTATCTACCATTAATTAGAGAATTTCCTTAACACTGCAGGAAAAGCTTTCTCAATGCTGTATTCCTGAGTCTTTTTTGAAAAGAACAAAAGGAATAAACCTAAATGAAATGCGAGGGATCTCTGCCTGGGAGGATGATGGGAATATGATCTAACACAATCAGAGCAACCACTCTGCAGATGAACTATGGTGGGTGGGATAAATGCAATGAATTGAGCTTTCTCTGCTGACTTACCCCATTATTTTATCACTAATGAATTGATTTGCCAAACATCAAAAGCAAACAGAATAGAACTAAAATTTGCCTGCATTTACTAAAACCTTCAACTCTTTTCTGTAATTCCAAAGCATCATTATGATAGGGTGAGCTTGTCAAATATATGTTCAACGTTATTCAGTTTATGAAAGGCTGCCCCCTCTCCTGCAAAAAAAGCACACAACATTTCAACCAAAGATTTTTTTCTTAATTAAACACTGATTTTCTTTCATATGGATACAAAATAAATAAGCTTGTTTGTAAACAACAGACACACATGTACACAGTAAACATGATAGAATGACAAAAATATAGCTGTACAGAGACTATGGGTTTTTGGGTTTTGGGAGAATAACAGCCTCACGGTGAGTTAATACTAGGCATTCCCTCTATATATTTTTTCTCCACCAGAGAGTTTTAAAAAAGAATCTATTAAAGACTATTCTACCTGTGAATGAGCTTTGAATTACCTTTGCTTCTGTCAAAGACCATTTATCAACTTGACAGTGTCAGTCTCTAAAAGCAAATAAGGGCAAGAAGGGGCCCTGCACTCTTGCCTTGGCAGAATTAAGCTTTTTTCCACAAGGGAAAGGCATCCTAGAGACAGCTGTAGTATTTTATACAAACTCAGCTAAACACTGCATAATGTCTTTTTTGGATGGCCCTGTATAAATTGTGTTTGATATAATTCTGAATGCCACTACTTTGCAGCACTGCATTAACAAATACCTATATTTGTTCATCTTCATGAATCTAACATACTAAGTTGTAGAATATAAAAGTCTGGGACAAAAATTAATAAAACTTCCTCTATTTTCTACAAAGTGACTTCTGATAATGTATTCTTTTGATTGTTTTTATGAATGTTGTTATAGTCTTTGCAAAGTAACCTAAATATATAAAACAATTCTATATTTGGGAAGAAATATTTCCATAGGCTACAGTAATTTAAAAAATATGATTAGGTCTGAGTAAGTCTAATACAGTAATCATTTTGTTAACACAACTTATATATTTAGAGAATGGTTTGCTTGAGCAAATGTCTGCATATAAACATTCAGCATCTAGACACAAATGTCTGTGTTTTATTAGCCAATGTCCTTGAGAACATATCTATGTAACTTGAGCAACTCCCTTTTACTAATGGAGTAGAACATTCTAGAGGGAATTCTATTAAACAAAAAGTCAGTCGTATTATTGGATCTTGCTGGATCAGTGATGCTAAAAACATTACCCAGCCAAGTCTGAAAAGTATTCATTGTCAGATGTCCGTCTAAATAATTATGCCCATTTTGTTTCAGTGAAATATCTCAAAAATTACACTGTTGAATGAGCCTGTGTATTTGTCAATCGATAAATCCTACTATAGGTAAAGTGAACATTTGAGAATATCTAAGGTGGAAATATGAAGAATTTATTCTCGTACACACATGCATATTTCATATTTTTCTAGAATTTACTTTGTATCAATTCAGCATTCAATGGAAAGGAAAATTCACTTTAGGCACGGAATACATTTACTGTTTAAAATTAAGTGTGAGTAGATCAATCATTCACAGATTGAATACAAGACAAGTTACCTTCTCAGTTAATCTAAAGATCTCAATAATGCACTCAAAGTATTTGGGCTGTGAAAGATTGTTGCACAATATGTCAGCTTTTAAAAGGGTCAAACTTCAGGAATTCAACTTAGAGCTGATCTGTTGAGAGAACCATCAAATGAATCAAGTGGAGAAAATTTGAGATTAATTTATATATAAAATATATATTAGAAAATAGCCAAGAAGTAGCTCATACTATCTTATGGATTAATACTTAAAATTAACATAAGTACAACCATGACAAAAGTGTTAAGGAAAAAATATGCCACATGAACAGGTGGTCTAATAAGAAAAATTTCATATTTCATTCATAGATAGGCTTCAACTTTTAAAGAAAATTTGGTATAATTCCATCAAACTTTTATCATCATTTAATCCATAAACATTATGCAAAAACTAAATATTTTTCTAAAACAATTCTAGGCATTAAAGTATCATTTTGGAGGAAATGTATTGCAATATTATTTTTACTTTCTTTAAGCATTTTTCATGATGTGTAAAGTGATGCCCATTACTTCTCTCTGGGTTTTCTCTGCTAATTTTTTGGTTTAAAAAAATCCTTCAAATTGTCACTGAGAAAGCCCCAAATTCCGTGAGAAGAACAGGTGTTTTCAAGAAGGAATTTGAGGCATGAGGCACCAGGGAGACTTGGCTTATTTCAGCAAAGCAAATGAAGTGGATGAGGTTTTTGAACCCTGCTTTCACCAGAATAAAGCAAGTTTCTCCATGCATTAGTGTTTCTGAGTCAGAAGGGCCTTTTCTGCAACAGTTGGCATAGGGCTGCTTTATGGTTGCAGTAAACTCCCTTTTTAAAAACCTTCATTTATCCCTAAAAATAAAGGCACAGAAAAGGAAACTATAATGCGTTTTAAAGGTATTCTTAGTCTATCAGTTTGGCATTTAGCTCGAACATAACAGCTATTTCAATGTGTAAATACACACACACACGCACACACACAGATATTAAGAAGTTATAGGTACTTAACAAAGTCATCTTTTCTGTTACCCTCAACATTTCTAGGACAAAGCCAAAAAAGTATCTGGAGCCATATTTTAAAACAAATGTTATTCTCTGAATTATAGGCCTGAAGTCTGTTCCGGAAATAGTCTCATGGCCAGTGTAATTATGGCTTATATGAGTCACGGGGCCTACTCTAGGCACTGTTCATCCTATTTATAATCTATCCCTGGAACAAAAATTCAGAAGCTAAGGAAACAATGATAAAGAACAATGTCAGGTGGAGTTCAACAGACACAGCCTCCTTTCTTATAACTCAATCTCAAGGATCCCAGCAGACAGGTTAGGGAGACGTCCTGCTTCCTTGGAATCCCTCGACAGTTATGAGGGGACATTCGGGTAGGTCACTGCTTCATTTGAGGTGTGACCTTGCTGGGTTATTATAGAGAATTGGATCCTACTGAAAAATTTGGCCACAGCAATTTACTCTGCAGCAGAATAACGCACTTCACCAGAGAAGTGTCAGATTATTGAATTCTTTGTGCTGAAATGTGGTTTGTACAAGGGTGTATATATTGGAGTCTACAAGCCTAATACAGTTCCTACACATTCTGCCTGCCTTCAGTTTACGAGTCATCTTGCTGTGCGGGAATTTTTGTACAGCAACAATGTGTTAGCTGAATGCGATGGATTTTTTTTCTATTTTCTCTCTTTTTTATTAAAGACTTTTTTTTTTTTTAGAGCAGTTTTAGGTTCACCGCAAAATTGAGAGGAAGATACAGAGATTTCCCATCTACTCCATGCCTTCATACATTATCTACTCCTGTATTATCTACTTTCTCTTTAGTTAGCAGATCAAAAGAAATAAAGATCAAGATGGTGAAAATTATTGCTTTAAATGTTGCAAAAAAATTTAAGGTCCAATTTGCCCGTAAGAAAACGCCAGAAATATGTTTGGAATTTCGTGTCTGCATCATGTCTCTTTCTATAATTATGTATGGACTGCATTAAACTATAAGCTCATGGAGAGATGGAACTATGCATAACTGTTGTGCACAATTAGATCCTTAAACAGGAGATAGCAAGTATTAAAAAGTATCTTTTGGTATGAATGAAATCTGAAGCTTAAAATATTCTTTCAGAATGTAAGGTATTGCGCCGCTCTCATTGTTTCACTGTATATATCATTTATCTCCAGCAACTTCACAGCACCTGCCATTGACAATTTTCTATGATATCTTAGAATGAACGTCTCAAAATTCCCCACAGATCTAAAAGGAAGAAGCTTGTTTGTTCTGCTGAATTTTTTAGAAAAGGGGCTATGCGCTCATAAATGAATGAACTAAGCTGGTAATATAATGGAAGCCTAGCAAACACTATTTTACTTCTTACTCATTTCATATATTTATATTCTTCCTGGTCCCTTGATAACACTTCATTTTGTGAACTGGCTGCTCTTTCTCTATTTCTCCTTGTGTTCCTCCTGCTAATACCTACTGACACTATGCTAAGTACGATCACCTATTCAACAGCCCACGGAAATACCACTGGCACGATCCTCATTTTTCAGAGAAAGAAACTGAATCTCAAAAGTGTAAAGTCTTGCAGATCCCAGACTAAAATACTGGTTCTTCTAATTCCAATTAGGCTTTTTTTTTTTTTTTTTTTGTCTCAGTGATGAAATTCCCCTGATGTAGACATTGAGTGTCATATCCATTCCGAACTGAAATAAAAATCCTAGACATCCCTGGAACAGTGGTTCCCAAACCTTGTTGTAGGTCCCAATCACTATGGAGTTAGTAAAAAACACAGATTCATGGGCACTGGCCCTAAGTTCAAATTCTTCCAAACTTAGATGGACCTAAGGTATCTGTATTTTTAACACGCTTCACAGCTGAATCCCATGCATAGTACACTTGGAAAGCATGGATCTCCCCCAAGCCTTTTATTTTCTAGATGAAACAACTAAAACTTGGGCTTGTGACCATGAAAGGAATAAAGCCCAGGCCTCCTATTCCTCATGCCAGTCCTTGTTCTACTCTATCATGATCAGTAACTGGTTCTCAGGTACATCCACTATCCCTGGGGATGGCTTAATTATTATTTCCTTTATCTTGCATTGTCTTTAGGCAATTTTCTTTAAGAAATTGTGAATTAAATTAATGGATTTATGGGAGAGATGTTTAAAAATGTTCATGCACCCCTTTTTTGTCTACTATTTGGAGGTGGAGAGTTAAAGGAAATGGAGTAATTGAACCTTTATGAAATAATATTTAATACCACAGATGGTACTCTCCATATGTGAAAGCATATTTGGGATGTTAAGTATTGTGTCAATGGCATGACCAAAATATATTAAACCCTATTTAAAATCAAGCATTATAGCAAAGCATCTGAAAAGAGTAATACCAGAGTGAAATTCCAAAGGGGGAGGTGAAGAGAACAGATTAATAGAGCTCATTAGAAGGCATCTGAGAGACGGGTAAGTTTGCGAATGTGGCTTTGGTCAGTGAGGTTGGCTAATTATAACACCCAAACTAAATTCCCATCTGAATTCTCATTTTGTTTGCATTAAGTGTGAAGAGAAAAATTAGAATTCTATGAATTTTCTGAATGCTTCTTAGTGTTTGGGCAGAAAAAAGATAGATCTAAGTCTTTTTTTGAAGGAGGGGTGACTTAATATATTTATCCTTATTATGTCATTATTATTACATTATAAGACTCCTCATATTACACAATATCAAGCTGGATTAGCTCTATGTTCTTCATTTAACATGAAAGAAACAGAGCCTCCTTTCCTCATAATATATGCATATATTATCTCTTAAATTAGAGAGTGAATCTTAAGAGTAAAATAGCTTTGTCTCACGTTGCATTACCAATGCCACAGAGTGTCAAGTGGAGCCTTAGTTGAACTAGATGTCCAGTGAATGTTTACTAAGTAAATGAGGAGGCTGATATGAAACAGGATGGTGATCATTGGTTAGTGTGATAGAAGGAACACTTATATATGAGATGCTAGCTTTCAGGGAACATGTAAGGAAAACTGTGGCACTATTGACTAGGTCTAACACTCAATTACCCAATATTATGTATCTCCTGATGTCACCTCCATTACCAAAATAACTCAATTTTTCGCAGTGAAATTATATTGCACAATTAAAAGAATCCTGACATAAAGTAATTTTTTTTTCCTGGTTCCAAAAGATTCCAGAGACACAAGAGATTTCTGTTAATATTATGATGAAGCTAGTGGGTAATATCCCTGTCAATTCTACCTTAAGAGTACATTTTAATTTCCTAAGAGTTAAAAAGCAGAATAAACTAAAGCACAAAAACATAAAGTGAATTTCTTACAGTCTCAGAGACAAGACGTTTAAGACTTACTACTCGGTACGTGCTGATTGACTTAATGCTCATTTGTTAGATGTCTATTATATGCATGATTTTCTCTCTAATGCCACTTATTTTTTTAAAGTTCTAACCAACAGACTGCATGTTACATTTTCTTTCCTTTGCTGACTACATGCTTTGTAATTGGAGAAGCATTAATTTTACCCTGAATGTGATCTCTTAGCAACAGGTAAGTGGAGGGAAAAGAAAGTTGAAAATTGCATCCCTGACTTCAAACTACAAAGTGAAGACAATTTTCAGTAAAGTCCATTTAATTTAAAATCTCTTTTCTGCCTCTCAGACAGCCTTACCACTAAGCACTGCTATTAAAGTGCTGCTCATTCCACCTCACCGAAGAATTGCTCTCCTGGATGTTACGACGACTCAGAGCTAAGTACACTAGACTGAAGCTGCCACACAGATCTTATATTTATTGCCAATATGCAGGTGAAAGGATGGGAATAAGTCAAATTTCTGGTGTTCTTGCATTGCCAGAGGAAAATAATAACATGCCAGGTTTACACAGCATCCCTCAGAGAGGTGTCTTAGTTCCTCACAAAAGCACCATTGGGGTGATAAAATATATTCACATTTTTGAAAAGCAAAATTCTAAATTAAAACTCTTTAACTTTTTTACTGAAAATCTAAGCAAGTAAACTTGAGAACTTTAATCATGATTAATCTTAATTAGTGACCATGGAAGTTATTTACAATATGTTAGATGAAATAAGCTATGAAATAATATATGAACTAAAATTCTAGTTTTGCACAAGTATAGTGTGTGTGTGTGTTATGAACTGAATTGACTTGTGTCCCCAAAAAGATAAGATAAAGTTCCAATTCCAAGTATCTCATAATTTGCTGTTATTCAGAAATAGGGACTTTGCTGAGGTAATTAGCTAAATTAAGATGAGGTCATACTGGAGGATGGTGGGTCCAATATGACTATTGCACTTACAAAACAGAAGACAGAAACACAGGGTGAACATCACGTGAGGACAGAAACAGAGATTGGAGCGATATAGCTTCAAGCCAGGAAGACCAAGGGTTGCTGCCACCCACAGAAGCTGGGAAGAGGCAAGAAAGGTTCTACTTTAGAGGCTCTGAAGGGATCGTGGCCTTGCCAACATCTTGGTTTTGGACTTCTAACATCCAAAACTGTGAAAGAATAAACTTCTGTTGTTTTAAGCCACCCTATTCATGGTACTTGATTACAAAAGCCTTAGGACATTTTGTTGCCACATACAAAGACACACACGCCCTACAAACACAGAGAGAACTTACTCCATGTATACACATAGAACACAATGACAACGCATGGACATGGGCCAACATTTTAAAGGTTCCTATATCTGGATGATAGGAGTAAAGGTGACTTTTTTCTCCTGCGTGTTGTTTCCAAATTTTTTATATTAAACATACAATTCTGTTGCAATGAAATAATAGAAAACAATAAGTAAAACTTCATCTGATTTTCTTCTGTTGGCAATCTAAATTTTTAAAAACAGCATTCTAGCTTTCTGTTTTGAAAACAGTGCTGATACTTATTATGTGGCTCAAAATATAATGTTTGGTCTTTTTACCTGCTTTTTCATTTTTGATATACTGTAAACATTTAAATCTTCTTGCCTTTCAACACTTTATACAACTTTGTGCCAGTCCACTATCAAGCTTAAAAGTCATATAGTTTTCAGATCGAATTGGGTTGACTGTCTTCTCCAGTTACTACCAGCTACTTATTTTGAGCAAGTTTCTAAGCCTGTCTCAGTTTCTCCATCTATAAAATGGGGACATTTATAAAAACTGACCCTCATTGAGATGCTGTAATACATACAAGAGATAACATCTAGAAATGCTCATGTCAATATCTAACACCTGTTCATTCAATCTTAGAGACCATTATACTCTATAGAATGAGGCAGAAAATTTAAATACTGAATACATTAATTTGAATATGCATTCCCTTATTATAAAGAAGACAAGACCATTATTTAAAATCAATTATCCCTTGCTTTGACTGACAGCATTGCTACTTAATAACTGCTATCTCTTTTACAAGTTACTTAACTTGGGGGATGAGTTTTCTCAAATGTGAAATGGAGGAAAATAATACATTTCCCATTTGGATTGTTTTAGAATGATAATAATAATAATAATTACCATTATTTATTAAATCCTAACAATCTGTCAGGCCCCAGATTAAAAAAGCATGTATGATAGCATGCTCAACCCTTGCAAATCTTTTTGTAAAATATTTTGTGGATTCAGTCCCTAAGAATTAAATATAGGAGAACCACATAAATGTCATAGAAAAATTTGTCGGCATTAGAAAGAAGATGTATTATATACCTGCATGTATTAAAGTTATGTTATCTTCTGACTATCTGAATAAGCTTTTTGATGGAAAGGGCATTCATATATTTTCTCTGCCATTACAGTAATCCACATGGTACATACACATGAATGAGTGAGTTAACTGATTAAATAATAATAGATCTATCTGGAGGTATCTCAACTTTCAGTTATGCTTGAGGTTCAGAGGCTTGACAAAGACTTTCTTGTTAAAACATCATTTTACACTTCATTCTCTCAAAGTCTTCTCAGATACCCAATAAAGATTAATTTAGCACATATACTATATTATACACATATGTAATAAACACACATATTCTCTCTTTCTGTAGTTATACTAGCTATACTGCATGTAATATATTATATACATTATACACAGCCTCAAAATTTATGCTAAAACAGCAGCAACAGCAACAAAACTTGGTGGTTCCTTCACTATTTTCAAAATTAAAAACACGAAGTTTTTGATTTTACTTAAAACCTCAAAGTTACGCTTTATATCAATCAAAAGTGTACAAGAAAAATCAGGTTTCATGGGACACACACACAGAAACACAAAATTACATTTTGTATGGCCCTGTGGCATTTTGACAAAATGACCCTGAAAAGAATATGAAGAAAGAGTGTGAGGAGAGGATCATGAATGCAGAAGGAAATTGTTTTTATTGATTTTCATTGGCAGTAGAGTTCATAACATGAAGACTAAGTTTATGAAATCAGTTGTTGATTTGGCACTGAGAGGCAGGCACCTCTACAACTCAGAAGGGTTTGGCTCTCGTATCCTTCTGATTATTAATTTTTGCATTTCAGGCCTGTTTTTGATGTCTAAATGATAAGAAGTATGCCAAAATAAAGGAAATTAGATATTTTAAATGAACAAGAAAACTATTATTTTCAGAAATATCCTGCACCCAAATCTTAGCATCTATATTGGTTCCTTTATGTATTACTTGATTTCTTTTCTATGCGTTATCCAGTTGCAACAATAAAAATTAGACTTGGAAATAGAGATAGAATGCAATATCCTTAGTGCATTCCAATTTATCCAAATGTTCTAGGATGTACTCCTAGAATATTCTTAGAGGTTGGAAATTATACAGTTGTAATAGATGGTTATCATACTGCCAATGGCTTTTGGTTTTCTGATAACTTCACAAAAGCCACATTTTAGATACCATCTTTAATATGAAAAACCAATATAACATACAAACTACATGAGTATCTGAAAGGATTCTTGGATGTTAAACAGTTGCAGAATCCACTGTTACTCTCCCTTGTGTATGGTTCTACTTCCATTTGCTTTCCGACACATTATTAAATGCATCATAAAGTAGAGTGTTTCCTGGAGCAGAAGAGAAGCAGAGGAAAATTATGTTACTCAGAATACCCTAAATTCAATAAACAAAGTCTCTGTGTATATGCACAACCAATTTAACCATGTTGACTCAATTGGTCAATCAATTCTGATTTAAAGCAAAGGTCAGCTCAGTCAAACCAGCAATCATTTCAATGAAAATCAGTAAAAATTTCACTTTCAATCTCCATACTTTGAATATTACAGGAGTTGCAGTTATTCCAGAAAAGGAGAAAATAAAATCTCTAATTCTGTTACACTGAATTTAAGATTACTGACTTTTAAGCCTCTTTTGTTAAAACATTCTTTTAACTCTTTCTTGACTCAGAATATATATTTTGCTTTGTTACTGCAAAAGACAGAAATCAATTTAAGTGCATGGAGACTCTTTTTTTTTCTCCAAGTCCAGAAAAGTTTTATAATGACAGAAAATAAGTATAATTTTATATTTTCTGATAGTAATAGTCTTAGGGACAAAACAAGGTAGGATCTGTTAAGAAACAAAGATTAACTCTCTAGAAGAAAATTAAAACTATAATCTTTAGATTTTGCATCATCATATTATTATCTAAACACCCTATGCATTATACAATTTAAAAGATGAAAAAGACTTCATGAGCCAAACACTGTTGGGAGACAAACCTAATACAGCAATTATCACTAGATAGCTTCTGCTAAAAGAGATTTTAAAATAAAATCACAAATATTCAATCCAGGGAACAGTGCAAATGATACAAACCACAGACTTGTAAGTAAAACACTGACAGTGTAATTTAAAACTTCCTTGTAAACTACACATGTTCTAGAATTTCATATCCCATAGAAATCAACATGACAATAAATGAAGTCAGTAAACAGGGGACAGGCATGCACTTTCTAAGAGAAGTTTGTATTTTGAAATTATTAAAACCTGGATTCCAAGAGATCTTGACAGAAACGAAGAGTCTCTCCTTATAAATGGCATAAATTTGAGCAAGTTACTTAACAACCCATCTTGTTTTACTGAGAATAATGAAAACTTTCCCTAAATTTGTAGTGAAATTTAATGCAAAAATAGATGCATGTTATGTGCTCACTACAGAGAATGTTGAAAAACTGACATTCAATAAATAATATTTATCATTACTGATGTATTATCTAAGTTAACTAAATCAACATTTTCATCCTCATGGCTGACAGTCTTTGTGCTTCAAAGAAAAACACAATGAAAAATCACTAACTTAAAAGAATTATAAGCAGATTAGAAGAAGAAATTACACACTAACCTTCATATATGTTGAAATTGAATATGTTTAGGTTTTGGAGATGGTAAGAAATGATTGCTGTTGGGGAATATTTAAAACTTAAGGCATATGGACAGTATTAAAAATATACATAGAAGTAACCTAAGTTGATGGCAAAAATTTGGTGAATTAAGCTTTGGCAGATGTCCAATAACAAATCATGAAAACTGTCCCCTCAAGGGACTTTAATTAAATATTTGGCCACCAAGGGGCATCAAACAATACGGCAATGAGGAAGACAAAAGCATTTAAGAACCTAGCTGGATACAGGGAGCTCTTCAGAAATGTAAGAAATAAAGGTTTCTTTATACATGAATGCTAGCAAAAGTATAATTAAGTGACCCCAAATAAATAAACAGTCAGTGAGTACGGTCTTAGTCATTTAAATGCTAAGGGAAGTAATTTATTATCATACAAAGATATCTACTTTCATAACCAAGATTGGGGACAATGTGTCCAGAAAATATCCATCTCTTCCCAGCTTACAAGAGCAAAGGAAAAATGAGCTTGCAACCAGATGCCACTGATTTATACTTTATGGGATTTAGCCACATTTGTATAAATTTCTACTTAAAGATAAAGGCCCTCTTAATGGAAATCAGCACACTCTACATTTCTTTGGTCTGGTATCTCTGACTAAACAAAGAAAAGCTGGCATCATAATGATTCTAGCCATCATTATGCTTCAATAATTGTGTAATTTTATGAGTTATTTTGCCTTGATGTTGCTCAATCTCTTCAACTTGTAGAATGAACATAGATTAGATGATCTCTAAGGTTACTTTCAGCCTAATATTTTATACAGGTAATAAAAGAATACTTTATATAGTAAATATGTATAATGCTTCAATTATACATACATATAAATCAATGGAGATAAGATTACATATAATTGTTGAAAAATATTCTCTTGATTGTAATTTATTTGGGTTATTAGAAACACAGAATAGAATTCAGAGATATCTGACTCAACTGTCCTTCACTAAATATAAATTTTCGTTTTCCCAGATTATTGAACAAATGGAAATGTACATCTGTCTAGCTCAAGTTGAAAATCATATTCTTTTACTATGTGTTCAAACAGTTTAACTTGTTATCATTTTGAGGGCAAATAAAACAACACTGAAGTGACATGGAGCTTAATCTTTAGAAGAAAATATTTACATATACTCTGGAGATTATGAATAAATATGACTGAGTAATCTGAATTGATACAATTCTACTGTCATGCTTTCAATGAGTGTTGAAGAGGCCTGGATAACTATACCTAAATTGATTTTAAAAAATAGTAATCATACATTGTTGCCAGAAGTGTTATTAGGAACAAAAGAGTTTTGATTTCTATTATTTTAAGAACACAATTTTTAAGAAGTTATGCAAGTCATACAGATGCTGTCATCAAGCATTCATAGAACATTTCTCCTCAGAATAAAGATTTGCTTCAAAATTGGTTGTCATTTCAAGTTAATTCAAATATAAATATACACTTCAAAAACCATATGAAAGTCAGCAAATACAAAAATGATCTTAAGACATAATGGTATGAAGTCAAGACAAATATCACAATTTTAAGAAGTAAATTCTAAAGGAAAAAAACTTGAAATGTTTTTTAAGCATCAGGTTTCTCCATATAAGGGAAAGATTGCTTCAATTTCTCTTAAGTATTGAATTAGAGCCTATGACTTTTACCCAATAAAAATGGAACAATAGGTTTTAGATCGGCAGTCAGTTACATGTGGCAGTGAGTGTCAGCCTGTAAATAGCTTCACAATTCTGTGTATCACTGCTTTTGTTAATTCTTCTATTTGGCTCTATTCATTCTATTGTCCTCCTTTCGAATGACTGTCTCTGGAATCACCCACTCAAAAACTCCATCATTATCTAAAGCACATTTGTCTACATGAGAGAGTGTTTATTAGGTTTGCCACTAGATTGCCAACACAGTTGGTGTGAAAGACTGCCAGGCAATTAACTTTCATTCATTAATTTCCAAAAATATTACCTACATTATAAGAAGGTCTTTTACCTCCTTAATTAAATCAATGGTCAAATTATATTTATTGTCCTCAGGAAGCTCATTAAATAAAGTAATAAAAATTAGAAAACCATCTTTGGAACAAAATGTCATATATATCATTTACTTCTCAGGTAAATGCACTCTGCCTAACTAAAATGATCTTAAGGATCATACTCTTTGTCTGTTAAATTTATAAATTTTGGGGTAAATTTTGCTTCAGTAGACTGGCATATATCAACAAGCCTTTAACAAATAAATTAATATTGCTTACCCAGGCATCAACATTATTTAAGATGAATTTCACAGAACCTCACCATTGTGCATACTCTATTAAACAGAATGGATTAAAACAAAGAATACAGTAAAAACTCTTTAAGTGAAAATGGGTATCACCCAATTCCTTGCACAGAATTAATTGATGAAAGTTGTTCATTGGTATTTTTGTTGCGTGTGTGTGTTGTTTGTTGAGGGATTTATTTTATTTTACTTTAATTTTAATTTTTTTGGTTGTGTCAGAGAAGCCAAATTTTTCTCTACTGCTTCTAAATAAAACTATTTCAAAGCTGCAAACTCTTATTTTATAGCAGATACTTCATTGGAATCTTATTGCTTTCAGTTGTCAAAGGTCATTTCAACTTAATTGGATATTTAAATCCTAAGACTCTCCTGTGAGCATCCACTAGAAGATTTATCTTTTCTTTGAACCCCTAATCATGCTTTCTATGATTCTAAAGGCAGTTAGAAAGAATATGTACATATTCCAGGTACATGTTTTGTCTCCTCTTTAAGAGAGTAAGTATCTTACAAGGATATTTCATCGGTTTTGCATTCTGATTGTGCTATATGTATTTAGTAGGTGCTAAGTAAGCCTCTTCTAAAGAAATGGTTAGATGAGGAAATAGCTGGTTGTAGTGATGGAGATGTATAGTAATGAGCAATAAATTTTTCTAAACTAAGTAAGATTTTTAAACAATGTATTTAAATGATCACACTACTGTTGATTCCTAAAGGGATATACCTAAGCTTGATTTTCTTGTTCATTCTTAGGGAATACATGGTGTTACTTTGGTAGTTGAATTCACTGACAGAATTGGATTCCCATAGCTAACTGGCATGTGACCTTAATCATCAGGTGTATTATCACATACAGCCCAGTTCTCACGGACATATAGGAAAGTTTTAATCTCTTCTCTAATCCCCAGTACAGAAAAGTTCATATATGTTTATACCAGGAGACTCATGCAATGACCCACCTCTGCATCACTACTGTTGAAAGTGACAATGCTTGTTCTATTTCAGAGACTGTGCTTTAGGACCATGGCTTCATCTTCCCATTTTCTATGATGACTTTATTTTGAAGAAAAATGGAGGAGAGATTATTATTTAAATGGAGTCAGAAAAATAAAGTCAATTTCTGCTAGGTGTAGAAGAAGAGAGGAAAATATAATATGACTAAGCTTTTCTACTTATGAAAGTAAAACTATTTTTGAAAGTTGGCAAAAGAATAAGAAAAAAGATCTCACAGGTTTACAAATATTTCTAATAAAGTACATTTATGAATATACTATTTATAAATGAATAGACTTAAACAAAGGCCAAACTTATTTAATAACGCATTTTTTCCTAAACACTGAAATTTTCTAAAAATAAACAAATCCTTAATACGTAACACAAATGAATTAAGATATTCATTGACAAACATACATATTTAAAGTTTGTCCCATTTGGATATTTGACTAATGGATGACTATTTAAGAAAATGTTGGCTGGGTGTGGTGGCTCATGCCTGTAATCCCAGCACTTTGGGAGACCAAAGAGGGAGGATCACCTGAAGTCAGGAGTTCAAGACCAGCCTGGCCAACATGGTGAAATCCCATCATTGGGCTCTCTTTCTTTTCTTTGCTTTCGTTTCTCTTTCTTTCCCTTCCTTTTTCTCTTTCTCTCTTGCTGTCTCTCTCCTCTCTCTTTCTCTTTCTCTCTCTCCTCTCTCTCTTTCTCTCTCTCTCTCCTCTCTCTCTCTGTCTTTCACTCTCTCTCTCTCCTTTCCTTCCTTCCTCCCTTCCCTTCCTCTCTTCCCTTCCCTTCCTCTCTCTCTCTCCCTCTCTCCTTCCTTCCCTTCCCTTCCCCTTTCTTTCTTTCTTTCTTTCTTTCTTTCTTTCTTTCTTTCTTTCTTTCTTTCTTTCTTCTTTCTTTCTTTCTTTCCTTCTTTCTTTTTCTTTCCTTCTTTCCTTCTTTCTTTCTTCCTTTCCTTCTTTCCTTCTTTCTTTCTTCCTTTCCTGTCAGGGTCTCTCTCTGTCACGTATGCTGGAGTGCAGTGACACTATTACGGCTTACTACAGCTTCGACCTCCTCGGCTCAAATGATCCTACATCCTCAGCATCCCAAGTAGCTGGGGCCACAGGCGTATGCCACCACACCAGGCTAATTTTTGTATTTTTTTAAAGATGGGGTTTCCCCACATTGCCCAGGCTGGTCTAGAACTCCTGGGCTCAAATGATCCTTCTGCCTCAGACTCCCGAAGTATTGAGATTACATGCATGAGCCACCACGCCCGGCTCTCATTATTTTCTAAGTCCACTTCTGGGATACATTCTTAGTCTTAAAGGGAAAACATTACTAACTACAACTGATTTACTCAGTTCTAGAATTTGAGACCTACATTACAATGCCTGGGCAATAATTTATTTAGTATTTCCTCTTTGACAAAGATGAGGAAGAGTCTTCTGTGAGAATACTTAAAGAAGATTATAAAGCCTTTATATGGCTGGGTGCAGGTGCCTTTATATGGCCTGTAATCCTAGCACTTTGGGAGGCCGAGGTGGGTGGATCATTTGAGGTCAGGAGTTCAAGGCCAGCCTGGCTAACATGGCGAAACCCCGCCTCTACTAAAAATACAAAAATTAGCCGGGCATGGTGGTGGGCACCTGTAGTCCCAGATACTTGGGAGGCTGAGGCAGGAGAATCACTTGAACCCGTGAGGTGGAGGTTGCAGCGAGCCGAGATCATGCCACTGCACTCCAGCCTGGGCAACAGAATGAGATTCTGTCAAAAACAAAAAAACAAAAAAATAAAAAAACAAAGCCTTTATATTATAAGGCTCAACTCTAGGACCTAGTATGTTGCTAGATGTTTACTAAGGTGAATGCCATTTGGAGTTTTAAAAAATCTACTACTGCTCAAAACCATTATGGTACACAACTAGATTTTTTAAAAACCTATTACTACCAAAGCTTTTGTAGATGCCAAAATGCACAGCTACTATACTACTGCCTAAGGGAGTAGAAATTCGTTTTTCAAAAATTTTAACTCATCATGGCAATTAAAATACACTAACATTTTCTGAAAATCAATATTTTTAACAGAAAATGCTCTAAAAAACTGAAAATATAGTTTATTTTTAAACAAATCTAACATGTTTTTCTGTGCAGGAGGAGGTTATATAAATACAACATTTCACTTGAAGATGGATGACATAAATAAAAAAATATCAGTTAAGGAGAAAAGGAGCAAAGGCATTTGTGAAGCTAAAACTAGTGAGCTTCAATGTCAAATCCTTATTTGCTACGATGAAATATAAATGCTTTGTTATTCATAAGTTGCTAAAACCTCCTAGGAGCAAAACCCTTAGAGGTAATGCTATAAAAAAGAAGAAGAAAGCAAGCCAATATAAGATCATTACAGCAGTTAGTAAATAACATGAAATGGGATGAAACTAAAATTATGGCAGGTTGATAGATTTCATAAACTCAACATTAAGAAATGTTCTTAAATAAAAGATGCTATGTGAAGAAAATATTCAATGAATTAAGTTCTAAAAATAAACCTGCAGACAACTTAACCTGAACGATACCAACAAAAAAGAACTGAGGTCATACTAGACCAGATATTAGCACACCTGTTTGGCATCTTTCATCACTCTGCCTTTATCATATAATGGCACCAAGAATAGAAATCTTTAGTTGATTTCATGGTATTCAGATTACTTCCTTGAATTTGATGAAGATAAATGTTTCAGTTACTTTCTCATCTTCTTACACAGGATGGAGGTACTAAAAGAATTTTCCAATGTGTTAGAAGCACCAGATCTAGATGTTCAAAAAGCAGTATCTCTTCTGTGAAAGTTGATGTGGCTGAAACTAGTGGTATCTTTCACACTTTGATGTTCTTGCTCACTGTAAGAGGTTAGTTTGTATTTTTTGCTTGTTGTGCAACTCCAGCTGCAGAATTAATAATCATCAACCCTTTTGGGACGTACTAACTTGGACATGTTAATAATTTTCAGCCCTCGTGGTATATGTTAAATTTGTTGTGGCTGCTTTGATTTCACATGTTGTTCCCAAGAAGCTGATTGGATTGTGGGATCAAAAGTTGTTCCAAGGGCCGGACGTGGTGGCTTAAGCCAGTAAGCCCAGCACTCTGGGATGCTGAGGCAGGTGGATTGCTTGAGCTCAGGAGTTTGAGACCAGCCTGGGCAACATGGTGAAACCCCCATCTCTACAAAAACACAAAAATTGGCTGGGCATGGTGGTATGTGCCTGTAGTCCCAGCTACTGGAGAGGCTGAGGTGGGAGGATTGCTTGAGCCTGGGAGGTAGAGGTTGCAGTGAGCTCTGATTGTGACTATGGCACAGTACTCCAGTCTGGATGACAGAACAAGACCATGTCTCAAAAAACAACAAAAAAAGTTGTTCCAGGGTCCAGGTGTATGTATTATCATTGCTGCTGAAAATAATTTCAAATAACCAGAAAATTTTAGTTTAGTAACCTAGTTTTTATATATAACATATTTTTATATATTATTTTATATACTTTGTTAAATGGTATGGGAAAATCAAAAGAATCATAATATGTAACTACCAACTCCAATAAAGTAAAACTTAGCTTAGGGACAGAGCATAAATACATAAAAGGATGTGGGACAATAATATACGTGACGAACAGTGAGTGAGTGTACCATGCAGAGGGTCATGAAGTCACAGTAAAAAGAGAGTACAGTGACCTCAGAGGAGCAGAGATGACTCAGCAGAAGATAAAGAAATCAAACTGATTTTTTATTTTTTATTTTCATTTTTTGTAGGGACAGGATCTCACTGTGTTGGCCAGGCTGATTTCCAACTCCTAGCCTTAAGTGATCCTCCCACCTTGGCTTCCCAAAGTAGTGGGATTACAGGTGTGAGCCAGGACATCTTATTGAAACTGAGTTTTGATGGACGTAAAGAATCAAAGTTAGTGGCCTCGATGGAAGGATGATGTATCATAAGTTGAAGAAACAGCAGAAACAAATGCATGGAAGCAAGAAAAATAACTAAGTTATGTTTGGGGGACAGGATGTAAAGTTCAGAAAGATAGGTTGGGATAGTCTAAATGACTAGGGGTGAAGAAGGACTTTGGGTAGGGGGTAGTGTTTTGAAAATGATGTTTTCACAGTATTAGCCTGGTGATGGGTATGCAAAACTCTGGAAGTGAGGCGAGGTAGAGGCAAGAAGACAAGCTTTTGCTTTTATACATCATATTTAATTTTTAGCATTTGCAAAGGAAAATCACAAATTGCCAACAAAAAGGTATCCTAACTGGTGCAAAGAGAGGAATCTGGCATCTGATTTCTCAAAAAAAGCCATTAAAGAAAGCGCTGGTAAAAAAAAAGTAATTTGACTCGTGACGAATAGATAGCAGTCACACCATAGCATTAAAATACTTAAAAGGGGGTAAAGAAAAGTTGAAGAGAAAAAGGAGAAAAAATTGTTACATAAATAAAAATAATTTATGAAAATCTCTATTCTGAAGGGACAAGGTTTGATTATATTATTTTCATTTACTCTTCTCCTTAGAATAGTTTGAAATTCAATCTCACACAAGTGATTCCTACGAACAGATAAACCAAATAGTCAGATGCTGGCATCAGCAGCAGCTCATCATATTAAACAAAGCTTGCTGTGTGTCAGAAACAAAGCTCCTTTTATAATTGCATATGCAGATAGATTTTCAGGATCACTTGTGCTTGGTATGATTTTTCTGACTTCCAGTCACTTACTATATTTTTATTTCTTAAAGAGCCATTTTTATTTGGGACAGTGTCTTGAGGGTGAAGACTAGGTAAATGGGACTCTATGTCCTTAAAGAAAAGGACATATTTTAAATCTTTTCACTACAGAATGATCTTTGGATTGAATTCATTGCATTATTTAATCTACCACCTCTCAATAAAACTTTAAAAATGCCCCAACTGAATTGTAAACTCCAAGAATCTGTAAGTTCTTGTTCAATAGTATGGTGATACATTCCTTTGTGTAGTTTCAAAATGTTCAGTGGTGTGGATGATATTACTACTTAAAGTTTGATGTTACTCAGACTGGACAGAATTCTGTATCAGTTTTGCAAAGACTCAAAACACTGGCACTAGGATTATTGTGTATAGAAGACACTTTTGTTTAAACTAAAGTCGATAAGGAACAGGCATGATAAATCATTTCCTCCAACATCACTTCAAGTCAACACTTCTCTAATGCCTTAAACAAAATAAAACAGACAACAAAAAAAGGGACATTATATATAGTAACAAACCACAGAGCAATATTAGCCTTCTATTATTATATACAGCTATAACCTTAACACTTAATTCAGATATTTGCAAAATTACCAATCAACTCTTTCAATGAAACCACAGAAAAATAGTCCGTCAGAATACCACTGATAAGCAAATGAATGTCATAATATTCAAGGATAAATATCACAAAATTAGAGGACATCTATTATTTGCTGAAGCTATATTAAATAAATGAAATATCATGAACAATTCCCCTACCCGCCCCCCACACACACCCAACAATGCTTTGGTTTTGAGAAGATCAAGTCTGCTCCTACTTAAGACAATGTGTAATATTTTTCTACAGAAGATTGCATACCTGATGTGTTAGCAACTCGAGACTGCTATTTTTATGCTGTAAAGGTTTAAGGTCTGCTGCTACCCATTATAAACATGTGATTTACTGCTGTTTTATTTTACTTGTTAAGAATTAAATTTAAAACAAAGGGCATTATTTAAGGGTTTTAATATCCGAATAAAGAAATAGAATCAAGCTGTAATATAATTGTAGAATGGCAACTTCTAACTATGAGGAAACAATTTTTAAAAACCTACATATAAAATCCAGGGATTATTATTCTATGGCTGGAAGCTAGATTACTTATCTGTAGCTTCACTATGCCTCAGTAAGTCACTGTATCCTATAGTTCTGCTGCTCTATTTTTGGTGTGTATGATTCATTCATTAGTTCATCAAACACTGGTTAACCTTCAGGTGCCACACTCCTGGAGCTCTAGTAACAAAAGATAAACAGATGCAGGGGATATGGTCTCTGTCTTCAAGAAACTCACAGTTCAGTTGGAGAAACAGTCATGTAAACACATCATTATAATGGAGTGAGACATGCTAACAGATGCTTGTAAGGTGGGGCTGTGATGATAGACAAGGCATGTTTGCTTGGGGATTCAAGGAAGACCTTAAACAAAGAGTGGCTTATAGGCAATATTTTGAAGAAAGAATTGGAATTACCAAGGCAGGTCCAATAAAAATCACACAAATAGTGAAATAGTTAAATTAGTCAGTTAAATAGATAAATAATTATGTGAACTAAGCGATTAAGATTCAGGTGCTATTCACAAGTAACACCCTTTTTGAAACACACGAGCATAGCAGAGGATAGACAATGTGAAGCAGAGAACCTAGCTATAAATGTGAAGCAGGGAAGTGACCCCTGGAAATATATTCAGTCCTATTATCAATCTCTAAAATACAGAATCAATATATGAATTCACAGGATTTTTGAGGAAAGTATTTGAACCTGTTCTGTGAATTCTAAAGTATCCTACAAATGTTATCTACTTAATTACACCAATTTTTGTCCAGTGAGTGTAGAAGTAGAGGTAACTTAATTATAAAGATGTGCTTCTTAGAAATGGCAAGACAAATTTTCACATCCCTCTTTAGTATAAATATCATTTCAGTAAATTATGAGATGCTTACCATAAAATCTTTTTACATCACATTATTGTCATTAATGTCCACAGGCCTAATCAATACTTGAACAAGGGCAATCACAATGAAGCATGGATCATATTTAGAAGACATCTTTTACAACCGAAAAGTCTCTGAACAGAGGACAGTCCTTGCACTCTGAGTATATATAGTTTTATTTTTCCTCATTATTCTATTTTATTTCTGAGCCAATGTAACTGTCAGTACAATTATTGTGTCATGTAAAATTTATTTTCCAGACTTGCCCCCACCTACATATTGTCAGTATAACAAATAATAATATTGTAGTCTACATAGCAGAGTACAATGGTAATAGAATCAACATCCAATTCCAAAATCAGGATATTTTTATAAGTTTTTTCTCGAAATTGATGTGCAATGAATCTGACACAAATCCAGTGTTTGGCAAAAGCCTGCCTGAGGGTACTCTTCTCTGTCTGCTTCTTGCTGAAGCATATTCTTGAAGCCAAAGTATAGACTGAACACAGGGAACTTCAAAAGGAACTGCTGAGTCCTGCACCTCCTGTCACAGCCAGAGAGATATGCCCATATCTCTCTGTAATTATTGATTTATTGACCAATAAAGTAGACATTTGTATTTTTGCCACTCAGAATCCACTTCCCCTATTTTTAGTGTAAATATACTATTTTACTTCAGAAAACTACCCCTTTCAGCTTTTAGGCTATGATGTGTCTGCAGAGATAATCCCATCCCTAAGCTTGGGGTAGACATTTGATTTGGGCCTAAGCCAATCAGAATATATTATCTTTCATGAAAATGATTGGTTCAAATATGTCCACGTGACCTCACTGGAGACCATGTGACTATGCTGGAATGGCTATCAGGTACTATATTTTAATCACAGAAAGATATCGTGTCTGAGGATGGAAAGAGAGATCAAGAGATGAAGAGAGTCAAACAGGGCCCTGATGAAGGCGTCTGACCCTGTAACCAGCCATGCCAGATCAAATTCCAAACTTTTTGGACACCTAATCTGATGAACTTCTCTTTACCTAAACCTAATTTGGGTCAAGTGTTCTGTCACTTACAGTGCAATGAACAGATACAATCAATATCAACGATTTAAGCCCTATCCCTGTTACTAGCAAGAGAAAGAAATGTAGCTTATTTCTTGCCTGTTGCTTCCCAGGCTGCCCCACATTGTCTGTGTCACTCTTGCATATCCATGCCTGGTTTCTCCTAACTAGGGCCTATACCTCCTATCACTGAACTTGTAAATCACACCCTAATAATGACTTGGAAGAAATGGGTTATACTTACCTATAACACTCACAATTACTCTATTCTCACTTTTGCTTGCCTGCCTTGAAGCCCCTTTCAAGTAGCAATATAACCAAACACCGCATGTTCTCACTCGTAGGTGGGAATTGAACAATGAGAGCACATGGACACAGGAAGGGGAACATCACACACCGGGGCCTGTTGTGGGGTGGGAGGAGTGGGGAGGGATAGCATTAGGAGATATACCTAACGTTAAATGATGAGTTAATGGGTGCAGCATATCAACATGGCACATGTATACATATGTAACAAACCTGCACGTTGTGCACATGTACCCTAAAACTTAAAGTATAATTAAAAAAATTACTTTTAAATGATATCCACAGCTTGTTTTTCTGTTTCTGGTTTACAGTTGAATTATACATATCATCATATTTGTCTTTGTCCTGACTATACTTTTATTCTCAAAGGGCAATTTGTCCTTTTACATTGTGGAGCTCTGCTATGACAACATTTTCATATAATGTTCTTTCCAGATTGTTTGGAAGAAGAGCTTACACTGCAGTGGGTTAAGTGCGATTTCCTTTGCTGAGTGGCAATAGCAACCTTACTTACAGAATTAAGCTTTGCCTTTTTTTTTTCTCTCTCTCTCTTTTCAACAGTACTAGTGGGATGCTTTCTCCTGAAAAGCTGAGTATCTGGCATATGGAAAAATCAACTATTTGTAGTAAAAGCTTGAGGCTTCCAAGGACTTTTGTGGGCATCCCATATAAATTCAGTGAGTTGGAATTAACAGGTCTGTCCTTGCATAAATGAATAGAAAGCCTGCAAAGTAATTCTTTGCTAATCACAGCAAATTAGTCCTGAATTCTACTGACATGGAAAGATTCTAACTGGCATCAAGCCTGAAGACTAAAAATAATTATATTGCCATGGATTAGAAAGTGTCAATATTTACATGCCTTAGTGGGATGTAATCTTTATTGAAAACAGAATGACTAAATTTTACCCAAAATTGTGATACTCTGATTGTTAACATGTTTTTGGACTTGATAGATGTATACCTTCTTGTCTGAGGACTGAGTAGAGCCATAAAGAAATCCAGAAACATCTCTCATTAATATTCTACCTTTCAAGACTCCTGAGATATTCTTTTTCTTGTCATTTAACAGCATTTAGTAGTTAATAATAAATTTATTTTACATATTTTCTGAAAAATATTTACTGTACCAATCTTTAACTAGATAGTAGAGATACAATTATATGAAAGAAGAAAAAGTCCCTTTCTTCATGGAACTAATATTCTAACAAATACTCATATAGATAACTGCTTAATTAAAGTTTTGAGGAGTATAACTACTATGCAACCATAAGGTAAAATTTATTATGGTTAAAAATGTATAAATAAACCACAAGTCATCTATGCATGTGGACATTTAAAAATGTTAATTTAAGAAGTCACTACAGTCTAAACCAAACAGACCTCCTATCAAGTGGGAACTTATCACTTTTTAAATCTTGTCTCTCAAGTCATTTATGACTGCAGAAATAAATAGGAGCCTCAAGGAAGAAAATGATCAACAAGAATAAAATATAGGTTAAGGCATCAGCTATACTTATCTTCACAATTATGAGAGCGAGCTAATTAAATATGACAAACTTGACAAAGCAACATCAATTTCTAAATGTAAATATAAGAAACTCATAAAGAAAGCTCTGAAATCAGTCAGTCAACCAATCAATCAAAAAACTGAATAATTTCTCTCTTTGCCTCTACTGTATTTCTCTTAAGATACAAATGAGTGCATTTTGAGAAGTAAATTTTGAGAAGGGAGAAATGACAATTGTGTGACTCCTATGGAGTGAATAGAAGCTAGATAATCAGGGAAAGGCAGGGATGGCGGCTCCTATGACAGTGAGCATTTGTCCAAAAGATACAGCTGTACATGACCCAATGTTTATGATTCCTGAATTTAAAAACAAAAAAGATGAAATGATGACCAAGTTTTGAGACCACCGATTTGCACTTAGGAGCTTACAAATTGTCAATCATGCTATAGGGTAGTGTACACATGCGTGGGAAATTTGTATTTGAACATTTGCCCACAACAGCAGCTGAGGAGAAATCCACATGAAGTTATTCATGAATTTAATCTTAGAGAAGATTTTGAGTCCATGTAATCTGATTTTAAAACTGCTGTTATGTGATATTTGTGTAATCAGAGAAAAAGGAAAGTTTCAACTACTTGGAAATTGAGCCTATTTAAAAAAAACAAACAAAAAATTTGTGTTTTAGTGAACTTGAGAATATTAAAACTTAACTACTCAAATCTATCAAAATTATATACAATTAAGCACTATTATGTACAGAATGGTATAGCAGCAACTGTGTCCTTTCATTCTCATTTATCCCTTTATAACAATTATTAAATAAACAATCCCTCTTTGCACTTATAAATGCTTATGTTGGATTTATAATGTATATACAGCTATTTCTGTGCAAACTGAAAATTATAACTAATTGATTTTTCCTTTTAAGTGGTATTTGCAAAAAATCTCCAAACCTTTAATATGATGGATGTAAGTAACATTTCCACAAAAAGAATTTATTTTAAACTGTTTACTTTGTTATGCTTTGGAATATTTAACTCAATAGATTCGGCCTCTTTGAATAATTAAATCTAAGTCACTTAGAAGAGAATTTCTGTAAAACTATAACTTGCATGTGTGTGTATACTTTTGGAAATGCTTTAAAAAACTGAGATTTTTAAACTCTATGTCTGAGAAATAAAAAGCATCCTTTACATTTTGAAAAAAAATTAAACATTTTCAATCATCAGAGTTCAACTAAATTTCACAAACTGTAACCCTGATTATTTGAGTCATGGCAAATGCAATAGAGAACTTTCAAAGTATATTATATTAGGGAGATTAGCTTAGTATTTTACATATATAACTCATATAATCTTCTTAATAACCCAAGAAGAGAAGTCATTGGTCCATATCACATAGTCTAACTGATGGAGCTGGTATTTTAAGCCCAAGAAATCTGACTCCAGAGCCAAGCATGGCATATGTATAAATATGGTGAAAAGTAAGATAACTTACATAAAGTATATTTTAATAAGAAAAGGGAAAAATTATGGTTAAGTGGGGGTGTTGTGAAAGATCCTTATTAAACAGGCCTAGACTGGACTATTTAGCCTAGGTGGATCAATCTACAAAATGTTACTGATATAAAACTTGTATACAGATATACAAGTCAACCCATGGTCTACAACAATGGACAGGGGAAGCTGCTGTAGATAGCAGGGTTGTGGATGATGCAAAGAATGCGTGATTGCATTTCACATAAAAATAGATTAAAATAACTCTTCAAGTATTGCACAGCATCTTAATAAAAGGATACAAATTATACAGTATATAAAACAGGTGACAGTGCCCTCTGGAGGATGCTACTGAAATTTGGCACCAGCTACCTATTCAAGAATGCTGCAGGTAAAATTGACATTCTTTCATGTATCAGAATCAGTGTGCTTCGAAAAATACAAGTGCAATGAAAGAACTGTTCACACTGGTTCTTCAAACTTGTCCTCAAAAGGCAGCCTTTGTAGTACTACCAGCTTAATGCAAGGATGTAGATGGGGTAGTATTGGTTTTTATAATTACAGGAGAGATAGGTTGCAATAATCGAATTTATGAAAAGTGTTATCAATTGGTTACTAAGAATTTCAACCAAAAATATTTTATTAACAAGTAGCCATCCCAAACTGTAGCAAATCAGGAACTGCATTTGACCAAAGATTTTAAATATGCTACCATCATTTGTATCAGCTACCGTTCTGCTTATCATGTTATGACTTCTGACAGCAGGAACGGAATGCCCAGTGTAAGTGTGAATCTCTTAATTTAGTATTTGGTCTAGAACCTTTATGTTCACTACGGAAATGGCTCTCTGGCTCTTCATATTGTCCCTTTGACACACATACACAGACACAGAGAGAGATACTGTGTACAATTACTTCCTGAAACCTGATATCAAAGAAGGTTTGCAATCGAAATACAAATCCCTAGGGAAAAAAAGTGCAAAAAGAAAAAAGAGAGAGAAGACACATCAGAAAGACCAGAGCATCAGAGATTCCACTTCAGATAAAGTACCAGAAGTTAAGAAAGCAAGAAAACAGACTCTAAAGCTCAAATTAATTTTATTTTCTAAAGTCACAGTAATTTCTGTGTCACCACCATGCTAGAATAAATTAATAAACTACCTTGAAATTACAAATCATTCATTAATATGCTGGCTTACTTCCTAAAAAATCTAACTGGTTATTCGTATATCTGCTAGGCCACAAAAGAAATATAAATAAAATGAATAAAAATAAAATACTTAGGGGACTCTCCAAAACTTGATAGCTTGAGATTAAACCTGAGGCAGAGAAGTCAGGGTCCAAAAGTCACTGCAGGTCCTATGTTACTTGTGTTTCAACTTGGGAAAATTGATAAATACATAAAAGTAACTAACTTTATCTCCCTCCTCCTGAAAAGGAAAGACAGCTATAGTGAATCTTATTTTTATTTTCCTAAGAAAGGACTCCAAGCTTATTAAAATAACCAATTAATTAATTTAGAGATTCTTGTTATTGTTTGTTAAAACACCAAATTATATTACTAACAACACTCACATTTTTGTCTGTTTCACTGCTTAGTACTTTAGAATAACTCTAGTGCACAAATGTGGTAGTAATGTATTATCCCACATATATTAAATCATTATTATATTTTAAAAATCTAGATAAAATACATAAAATTGAAAGTTGTTAGCCTCCTAGCATAAGAAAACACAGAAATGTCAATCAATGAAAAATGAAATCAATATTCTGTGTCTGTTGAATGCATTCTTCTTGCTGATAATTACACTTAAAAAAATGAAAAGGGAGAAAGCCATAATACCTTGTTGTCATAGGATATTTATGCTTAAAGAAATATGGGATATAAAATTTACACTATATAAATGAAAAAAAGCCACAGTTATAGTATTAAAATGTGTGCCCACAGACATGTGTATACCTTTTGACTTTTCTCTGCACAGTTTGTATAAAAATCCCAGAGTCCACTTTGTTAATCTTGAGAATGTCTGGCTTTCTGCATAACCTGCTAATTTCTTTCCAGCCCCCTAAAATGTGGCATCTGTTATACTGAATGAACCCTCTCCTCATTGTTTCTTAATGGTAGGCACCACTATTATTTACTTACTTACTGACCTATTTATGTATTTAAATAAACAGAAGTTGTCCCTAAGAGATTGCCACTTTTAGGCATAAGTTACACCAGAAGCTGCCATCTTCTCTCCTTTCTCTCATCATTAGATATCCTTAGAGAAAGGTAAACTACTTCCAGCCAGCTCCATTTTCTCAGCTCCCATTTAATTTTAAGTCCCTTACACTTTAGCCTATGCCTTTACCATGACAAAGCAATTGCCTTGAAGGCTTACAGTGATCTCCTTTGTAAACTCAGTAACTGCTCAGCCTCATCCTCCTTTAACCTCTTGAAAATATTAACTAAAGAACTTCTACACAGCAAAAGAAACTATTATCAGAGTAAAGAAACTATTATCAGAGTGAACAAACAATCTACACAATGGGAGAAATTTTTGCAATCTATCCATCTGACAAATGTCTAACGTCCAGCATCTACAAGGTACTTAAACAAATTTACAAGAAACAAACAAACAAAAAACCCCATTAAAAAGTGAGCAAAGGGCAACATGAACTGAGAGTTCTCAAAAGAAGACATTCATGCAGCCAACAAACATATCTTAAAAAGCTCAACATCACTAATCTTTAGAGAATACAAATCAAAACCACAATCAGATAGCATCTCACACCAGTCAGAAAGGCTATTACTAAAAGTCAAAAAACAACAGATGCTGGGGAGGTTGTGGAGAAAAAGGAACACTTTTCCACTGTTGGTGGGAGTGTAAATTAGTTCAAACATTGTGGAAGACAGTGTGGCAATTCCTCAGAGACCTAGAGGCAGAAATACCATTTGACCCAGCAATCCCATTTCTGGGTATATACCCAAAGGAATATAAATCATTCCATTATAAAGATACATGCACGCATATGTTCATTGAAGCACATTATTTTATGCCAGATGCTATGGTTTGAATAGTTGTCCCCTCCAGAACTCATGTTGAAACTTAATCCCTAGGGTAACAGTATTACGAGATGAGGTCTTTAAGAGGTGATTGGGTTATAGAAGCTCTGCCCCCATGAAAAAAATCCATTCACGGATTCATGAATTAATGGATTAATGCATTATCATGAGAGTGAGTTGGTTATCATAGGAATGGGCCATTATATAGGCTAGTTTGGCTGTCTCCTGTGAGCCCCTCAGAATGTGATACCCTGTGCTTCCTTGGGACTCTGCACCAGCAAAAGGCCCCTCACCAGATGTAGCCCCTGAACCTCTGACTTTCCAGCCCCTAGAACGATAATAAATATGTTTCTTTTCTTTATAAATTACCCAGTCTCAAGTATTCTGTTAAAGGAACAAAAAATTGAACAAGACATCAAACTTTACAGTAATTCCTTTATGCACATTATTTTGCTGAAAACAATCTCTTTTTTTATGTTATCCACCACTGATCATCTGCATTTTTCAAATGGTAGTTTTTACACTTTACTATACATCACATTTATTTTTGTGCAATTGTCTCTCCCTAAAGAGTAAAATTTTTGAGTTTGACTTCGATATCTAATCCTTCCCCAATGCTTCCCACAGGACCCCAAAGAAACTAAGTTAGGAGTTAACTTACAAGACTCCCTTTTCTTGAAACGATCTGCATAAACGATTCATAAATATAAAATACACACACACATACCCATATAGACACACACGCATGATAGTTTTCATAAATTATTGCAACACTGTTCATCAAAAAAATCAAATATTCTCCATGTCAATGTAATTAACAGTCATTAATACAGCATGCAAAGATCAAAAAGAGATTGGAGAATTCTACTGGGAAAAAATATATGGTTGTTCTTTATAACAAGAGTATCTGACTCACTGCTGTTACTCTAATTTGATGACTAGAAGGGAAAGCATTGCTTGACTTTGCTATCCTCCTATCTTATCTAGAAAACAGGGATGAGAGAAAATGACAATCAATCAAACATATGAATAAAAATCAAGCCTTGAAACATGCTCATTCAAATGATATGAATGAGTGCTCTGCATTTCTACATTACTGAGGCTGCACACTCAGCCGATGAAAACCTCAGTGCCCTAACTCACTGCATACTTTGTCGATCAGAAACACTAGTATCTTGCTGCAGAGGGAATGCTGCCTGGATTCACATGATTACCTTTTTGATTAGCTTTCCTACTCCCATTGCTACAATTTGTCCCCTGTTGCACACAACTCTCTTGAAGGAAAAAATATTTCACTTCTATGAACAGAAAACTTTTTAAAATTCTTGGTTTATTTTATGCCCCTTGGATGACATTTATTCCTCAGAAATAGTAAAAGTTGCTTTTATAAAGCAGCATTATTTTTTTAAAAAATAGCCCAAGCCAGTTGGTGGCATTTCTGCATCTTCATCATAAAGAAGCATATTGATTGGATGAAAACGCTACATAAACAAATTGCAACAGCCTGTTTGAGGGGAAATTGCCCTGCCCTAATGAAAATGTAAATAACTAGCAAAGCAATGCCAACTGAAACAATGGTCTAGTTGGGGACAATTCTTTTCGTTGTAGGACTGCTCAATGCAAGGGGGTGGGGGGTAACTTTAACTGGCCTTCTGTGTCGTGCTCCTTCAGGATTTTGCTTAGAATTGCATGACTTCCAGCACTTAGGAGTCTGTGGTTTGATTTTCACTTGTGAAGTTGAAAATTGCAGCCATGATAATTAGCAGTGACTGCATTTCATCATGCTAAGCAAGGAGCATGCTCTTTAAAATACACCAAGTAGAAGAAAGCAAGGTGAATAAAAATAAAATGCCAGTATTTGAAAATTAAGCCAATGTATTACTAAAATATTTTCATCACTCAAAAAATATCCCCGGAATAATAACCAAGCAAACAATTCTAAAAGCAGTTAGACAGTACCATACACTAGGTAACTCCCATGAGAAGAGACACTTCAGAAGAAAATGGATATTGCACCTTCTTTCAGGAAGACGTATTGGTAGAATTTCATCCTGAGACTCACATAAATGGATAAGCAAGCATAAAACTAAATCCCTTATAGAGTTGATGTTCCAAATTTGTGAAGTATTACAGAATTTTAAGGATGGAGATTATAATGCAAGCCCCGGTAAACAGAAGTCAGCACTGTCAAAAAGCAATTGTACTTTTCCTTTCTCAGAAAGTGGACAAATATTTTTCAATGTTTTTCCACAACTCTGTAACCCCATGTGCTTTTCTGGTCCAGGATTTTTTTTTTTTCTCAGCACACACATCATTTGAATGGTGGCAAGCAGGAAAACACTTTTAGTAACTAACTGGCAGATGATTTAGCTTTTCTTAATTTGATTTTTAGTTTCTCAACCAACAAAATATGCCAGAGGGGATTTATCTGGGAAAATTGGGTCTTAAAAAATAGTCTTTTTTTTAACTCAAATTGTTCGTATTTTTAGGACATCACTGAATTTTGAAGTTGGTTTAACATGTGATGAGTAAAGGCTTACCTAATGAACTGCTGAATGAGTAAATTTTTGCTTCATTTTTACTTGGCCAACCTGGCCTAAACTCAAGAAATGTTTTTAGTTTCTGATTAATGGTGAATATGCCCTATATACCGAAATGAAATCAATTCTCGTTTATTTCAACTGATACAACATATTAGTTTGAACTAAGGTTATTTAAATCATTGTACATGTACAAATTTTAAGTGAATATAATTTTACAGCAAAAATCAATTTAAGAACATCCTTTCCCTTTATGAACACCATGCACATTTAATTGAGCAAAAGGAGCCAGATAAAGTTTACATCAGCATGCTTCCATGTATATGAAGTTCAAGAAATGTCAACACTAAAAGATGGTAATAAACATCAGAACAGTGATTCCCAGATGAGTCAGGGAAGAGTGGGGAAGAATGGAAGAGAGGATTCAAAGGAGGCACAAAGAAATTTCCTGAAGTGATAGAAATATTCTATATCCTGATTGGAGTGGTGGTTACGTGGGTATACAGAGTTGTCAAGACACACTGCAGTATACATCGAAAAACATACTGTGCATTTAACTGAATGTAAATTATGCACATTATTTCAATAAAGTTGATTTAATTAAAGTAAAACAAATATTCAGCTCTGGGCATTTGCACTACTGATAAAGAAGGCAGCACTATATCATCTTGGAACCCCTTTCTGAAGCCCCCTGTTTGTATCTACGCACATAACCTTTAAACTGAGTGCAGATTCTACATGAGGGGAGAACAATCTTAGTTTGAATGTCTAGAAGTTCTGTCTATTGGCTTGGTATTAATTAAATTTACCTATTTTGTTTTGAAGATATAATCACGAGATTATTGCTTATAATTTACTCCGTGATCTTAAGAGGAAATTTGGCTGAGTTTTCATTCCGTTTTGAACTGTGCCTATACATACATACACCAGCAAAACAGTTAGAAAAAACATAAGTCTTCCAGTTGCTCTTCTAGAAAAGTTAGAATGTGTAGAGTCAAGGAATTCTCTTATATTGTTCCAGAGATCAGAATAGGGGTTAGTCAGCAGTGGCTATTGGGAGCTATGACTGGGCACTGTAGAGAAGAGGCAGCAAGACTATAAACTATGGCTGGGCAAAGTCCCATTGTGTGCCTGTAGTCCCAGCTACTTGGGAGGCTGAGGAAGGAGGATCGTGTGAGCTCAGGAATTCAAGGCCGTAGAGCACCACAGTCATGCCTGTGAACAGCCACTGCACTCCAGCCTGGGCAACATAGCAAGACCCCATCTCTAAAACAAAGCAAAACAAAACAACAACACTATAAACTGTACCCAACAGACTATTTTACTTCAAGACATGTTCCTTCTTCTTAATGAGGAAGACCCTTCAATTGGCTTTCAGCCTTTAGAGCAGCTCTAATATTTGCCTCTGATGGTAGAAGGAGTTGAGATGGACATTCAAATATCCTAACACTGTCACAAAAGTGCAGTGAACTTTAAAATGCTAAAGGAGAATGCCAAATTGAATCTTTGATTTTGGAGCTTTAAACCACACTGAGCAGAAATGTGAGCTTTTTTTTTTGATATTTAGAATTGATAATTCTTACAGAAATTATTTCATTGCTTTTGAGTAATACTATTAATAATAGCTAATATTTGCTTTGCACTTATGGGGAGGTGTTATATTAAGCACTTGGTATATGCTAATTTACTCTTTGAAAACACTATCTGGTAAGTTACTGCTGTCATTCCTATGATACACACAAGGAGTCTTCGACTTAAAGTAACTTATCTCAGGTTTAACAGCAGATTTATGTGGACTGGAACTTTTAAATACAAAGATCATAGAATGCTGCAAGAAAGTGTAGGTAAGAGCATTGATAAATATAGCAAAGAACCAGAAAGGATTCTAATGTCCATCAATAGAAGAATTGATAAGTAAATTATCACAATGTTTTCCAATAACATACAACATAAATTGAAAATCAGGGAACTATAGCTACTCACATCAGCATGGACTAATCCCACAAACAGAATTTCTGATGAAGAAATCAAGTCACAGAATATATACAGTGTAATTACATGTATATACAATTCACAAATGAAAAATATAAAATAATATCTTTTGAAGATATACAATTCATTAAAATTATAATGAAAAATAAGACAGCAGTAAACTCTATTTATTTTCTGCTTTATAATTTCTTATTCCATCTCAAATAGTCCTCTGGCTACCTTTGTATTTATTTTGCTTATATTTAAGTTTACCCTTCTAAGGAAGAAATATTTGGTTTCATCACTTTGAGATTCTAATAGTATATTTCAATAAATGTTTTGATTTATCATGGGTAATGTAAATAATAATTATAATACAATTTTAACATGAACTTCAGGAACTAAACATACAGAACAATATTTAAGAAAAACAAAGCATGTGCAACCTTCCTTTGGTACTGATAAATCTTAAACACTGATCTAGAATACTAGATATCAAACAATCTCCTCGGAACTCTTCCCCAGAAGCAAGTAGTTTGGCTAAACCCTTGAGAATACCTGTCTTTTCCATATTGTGCAATTTATTTTCGACAACAAGATCTCTGCCTTAGCCATAATTCTAGAATTGCAGGTCAGGATTGCTCTCCAGAGTCTTGGCCTGGGCCCTGACCATCTGCTGCCAAACCTTATTGAATCCATCTACTTGACTACCTGAATTCCAAGTATTGCTTGTTGCTGTCTTTCTGTGTCAATGAACTCTGATCATCAGCCAGAAAACACCCATCATCTATCTGTCACTTGTCACATAGACCTGTCTACTTGAACTGCTGCCTCCTTCTTTCACCATACTATTATGATATTATAGTTCCTCTAGGTTTCCAGCATTTAAAGCAAAGTCCACACCACAAATGCTGGCCTCACAGCAGAGAAGGGGTGGGAGAAGTGAGAACTGGCTAAATGTCTCTAGAGTACACTCACCAGCATTTCTTTTAGAAAAGAGAGCAATGGATATGAAAGAATGATTGCTTTCAGTGGGAGAAGGTAAAATATTCCCAACTACTATCAGCCATGTGTCTATATTCTAGAGCATTTCTTCCAACACTTGAGACTTTTGAATATTTTAATCATTGAAGATACAGGAAGAAATAACACATGGCCCATATTCTCAAGGCACTCATCAATTATTAGGTTCCCAGTAACATAGAACATGGCTAGACTTGCAAATAGAAGTATGAACACAGTGTAGTGGGACCAGGGAGATCCCCTTCCAGGAGAGCTCCTGATATCTAAGCTGAACTCTGAATATCAATAATGGCAATATTAGCAAGTAATCGCTGCTTAACTAGTATATGCTAATAATTAAGCAAAATATTTCATGAATTTATTTAATTTAATTCACAATTTTTAGGTTACATTGTTATTCCCAACATACAGATGAACAAACTGAATTTCAGGGAGATCAGGCAAGAGTTTTCAAGGATAGAGAACAAGGCAGAGATGGGGTTAGAGAAATGCAGAAAATAACATGAGACAATTAAATAACATTAACTCAAAACGCAGGAGATGATGTTGGAGAGGTAAAGATGGTAGTAAGGTATTGATATGGTTTGGCTATGTTCCCACCCAAATCTCATCTTGAATTGTAGCTCCCACAATTCCCATGTGCTATGGGAGGGACGCGGTGGGAGGTAATTGAATCAGGGGGGTGGATCTTTCCCACACTATTCTTGTGACAGTGAATAAGTCTCATGAGATGTGATGGTTTTATAAAGGGGAGTTTCCCAGCACAAGTTCTCTTCTCTGGTCTGCCACCATGAGAGACATGCCTTTCACTTTTCACCATAATTGTGAGGCCTCCCCAGACATGTGGAACTGTGAATCCATTAAAACTCTTTCTTTAGTAAATTGCCCAGTCTCCAGTATGTCTTTATTAGCTACGTGAAAATGAACTAATACAGGTATGGAATTTTCAAAGTCGTACTGACTTTAGAGTTACAAGCACAACAGAGTATGCTATTAGTGCAGTATAGTGTTTTGCACACAATAAATAATCAAACATTTTCGATGAAAGAATGAACATTATATAGTTCACTCTCTAATTCAATTTTCTCTTTGTAATTTGCCAAGTTGACCTCACATGTATGTAAAAATGTTAGTTTCAGAGTCTTTTGGGGATAGGATCTTCCATTATCTTTATACTTCAAGAACTACAGGCTGGACACAGTGGCTTGCACTTATAATCCCAGCACTGTGGGAGGCCGAGTTTTGGGCAGAAAACTTGAGGTCAGGAGTTTGAGACCAGCCTGGCCAACATGGTGAAACTCTGTCTCTACTAAAAATACAGAAATTAGCCGGGTGTGGTGGTGCACACCTGTAATCCCCGCTACTGAGGAGGCTGAGGCAGGAAAATAGCTTGAACCTAGGAAGCAGAGGTTGCAGTGAGCTGAGATTGCACCACTGCACTCCAACCTGGGTGACAGAGTGAAACTCCATCTCAAAAATACAAAAAAAGAACTACAATTTCTCAGTTTCTATGTTCAGTGAAAAAGACCAAATGAGACTTAGCAAAGTACAGATTAAGCTATTATAACAATAAACCCTTCACATTTTGTGTAAAACACATTTATAATACCTTATAAAGTTTCTATCTTAGCACTTCCTAAGATTTTGTTCAAGTTTAAGGAACAAAAAGCATATTAACCCAGACAACATGTGCTCTGGTAGGGAAAAAATCAAAGGTGAAAGTCCACTTACAGGTCTTATGAACATTTAGTGATGTCAGCCAAGGAAACCCTTATCGCTACCATAAATATATTTCTAAAACCTGCCAAAAAATAATTACACACAAACATTTTGAAATCATTTGAAAGCCAAGAAAATCCTTCCACATCCTCAAGGAACTTTAAAGAAAACATGTTTTAAAATAATGAACTGCCTCCCATTTTCCTCTATTAAATGATTATCTGATGTCAGATACTTGTCATCAGTTGTAGCTTAATTACATGGTGGCACTACCATTTGGGGAATTATATTCTAATGTCATGCTCGCCTAAAAGTAATTTGCATGCAACCTGCTCTTTGGTTCTGAGGATGATATCAGCCACTACAGAAGCAGAGAGCAAAAGTGTTATTAAGAAACATAGATGTGGCCGACGCTGTGGCTCAAGCCTGTGATCCCAGCACTTTGGGAGGCTGAGGCGAGTGAATCACTTGAGGTCAGGAATTTGAGGCCAGCCTGGCCAACGTGGTGAAACCTCGTCTCTACTAAAAATACAAAAATTAGCCGGGCGTGGTGGCACACGCCCATAATCCTAGCTACTCAGGAGGCTGAGGCACGAGAATCGCTTGAACCCGGTAAGCAGAGGTTGCAGTGAGCCGAGGTTGTGCCACTGCACTCCAGCCTGGGCAACAGAGTGAGACTCCGTCTCAAAAAAAAAAAAAAAAAAAAAAAAGGGAAAAAAGGAAAAAAAACATAGATGCTTGCTGAGGTCATATTGAATTGATGCTACCGCATAAGCTAAGGACAAGTACATATCTTACTGGAAGAGATGCCATCTCCATGTTTCTCCCATGAGAGCACAGATTCCTAAAGAACCTCATCGATCATTCAATGAAAAGTGACCTGAATTCTAATTTTCTTCTGCAAAACTCTTCTTTGAAATATTAGAAAAGCTGTTGATTCTCTATTCCCTAATCTCCCTGTCTCAGAGTTGAGGATACAATCTCCCACATCACAAGGGTGCAATTAATTAAGGTGTAAGCATTTTCCAACCTGTGGATGCAGGTAACAGGTGTAAATTACCATTTGAAAGAGTGATTCATGTCACCAAGACTAACTGCTGACTAGGGAGGCTTAAATCAATCCTATTTGAAGTTCTATTATTTTTTTTAAATGCTGACAGAGAATCCACACTTACATACAGCATTTCACAGATAAGATATGCTCCCTGCCCTCTGGGTCTGCCATGTCAGTGAAACAGACGGCGAGATTATAGGATAAATGTGGAAGCAATGGGCAGGGAAATGATGAAATGACGATAGATTTTTACAATCCTAAAAAAATTCTGGAGTAGCATTACTAGTAGGTAAAATGAGACTTAGATAATATTAAAGTAGCAATTTCTAAATTCTGATGTTTATCTGAAATTTTGTAAAAGTACTGAGCGGCTACGCTTTAGTTGTCTTCATTGTAAAAATGTGTTTTCAGAATAGGTAACATCTCCCCTGCTATATTTACAATGAAATTTGAAAATCAAAAACCATAATATTTAATGCACACAATTTCTGTTTATATCGTAATTATTGTTAAAGTATATTACTAATAATGAACAATCATTTCCTTTTAAAATTAGGTAACTTGGCTTAGATTTTTGAGGTGATGCATGAGGGAAGGTAATTTTCTATAAAGAGAAGCATTTAATATGCCTCTGAAGCCAAGGTCCAACTCGATGTAGAGAATTAAAGTAAGGGATAGAAGATGAAAGGGAAGATGATGGAGGCAGGAGAAATCTATTAGGGAGGACTATTGTGGCAAGATAGGATAAATTGAGTTTTTGCTGGATGGGATAAATCTGGATAGTTTTTTGTTTGTTTGTTTGTTTGTTTTGAGACAGAGTCTCACTCTGTCACCCAGGCTGGAGTGCAGTGGTGTGATTTCCACGCACTGCAACCTCTGCCTCCCGGACTCAAGCAATTCTCCTGCCTCAGCCTCCTGAATAGCTGGGATTACAGGGGCGCATCACCACACCTGGGTAATTTTTGTATTTTTAGTAGAGATGGGGTTTCACCATGTTGGCTAGGCTGGTCTCGAACTCCTGACCTCCGGTGATCTGCCCACCTCAGCCTCTCAAAGTGCTAGGATTACAGGCTTGAGCCACCACACCCAGCCTAGATAGTTTCTAATATAAAAGACAAAGAGCTACAGAAAAGTAGCAACTGAGTATAAAAGTGAGTATGAAAGTGGAGGTGAGAAATTTAGGAAGCACTGGGAGTTAAAGGATTGGATGGAGAAATGATTTTAAAAGGGGGATGTCGGGTAATGCCTGTAATGATTAAACTGTCTATGCAAGTAAGGGGCCATGTTGAATAAAAAGCATTGCCAAAAGCTTGTTTTTATATCGTGAAGTGAGTTTTTGAATTGAAGTTTTGAAGCTCTGATGTAGATTCCAGTTGTATAACATGACGCAATTGGAGTTAGCATGTTGAAGCAAATTCTGCAGCAAAAATAGTCCTCTCGATATTTCTCCCCATCCTCTTACTCCATTTTGTTATATTTCTATTATTAATACAATGCATTGAAATGCTATCTTCTGTTATCTGAATAAAGATTCTCTAATTTTACTATCTTTTCCTGGTGAAGCTTAAAAAGACATGCTATCATTTCAATCAATATTTTACAATTTGTTAGGCTGCTGCACATAGTTTGATAGACCTATTGATGGAGCATGCTGTTAGCATGTTGCTGTAAGATACCATCCGTGAGGTCCACTTTTAAGGACCTAACAAACGTACATTTCTATTGGCTTTACATGAAGCTTTAACATTATTTTTATTTTGCATTTCATATTTTGTACTTTTGGGAAACTGCCTTATAAAAAAATCAGATAATATTACTTTAAAATTACTCATTCCATAAGTATTTTCTGAATGCTTACCAACACACTATGATTCCTGTCCAAAAGTAAACTTAAATAAAGAAGAGTCAAGAAGAATTACAAAAAAAAAGTCATAAACACTATTATGTGAATAATTACCAAAAAAGGCAGAGACTTGACCAAAGGAAAAGTTACTGCACAAAATCTATTCCTTATTCCCTAACTGTCCATTAATAGATTCTAAGATAAAACATCATTTCATGACAAAATTCTTATCTTCTAATTTCATATAAAATGGATTGTTTCAAGATTTGAATTTTGATTTTAAGATAACTCATTTTGATTATTTGTAAAAATCAAGTGCTCGCAATGACATGTACTCTTTCCCTCCCTCCCTCTCTCCCTCCCTCCCTCCCTCCCTCCCTCCCTCCCTCCCTTCCTTCCTTCCTCTCTCTCTCTCTGTCGCTTTCTTTCTCTCTTCTTTCTTTTTTTTTTTTTTTGACAGAATCTGACTCTATCACCCAGGCTGGAGTGCAGTGGCACATTCTCGGCTCACTGAAACCTCCACCTCCTGGATTCAAACGATTCTTGTGCCTCAGACTCCTGGATAGCTGGGATTACAGTCATGCACTACCACAACAAGCTAATTTTTGTATTTTTAGTAGAGACGAGGTCTCGCCATGTTGGCCAGTTTGGTATCCAACATCTGGCTTCAAGTGATCCACCCGCCTTGGCCTCCCAAAGTGCTGGGATTACAGGCGTGAGCCACAAGGTCCAGCCATGTATTATTTCTTAAATGCAATAATCTTATACATTTTTAAAAGTTATTTTGGCGTTGAAAAAGAATATGAGCCACATGAGGATTCTCTAGATGTATGATCTTGCGTATAATTTATACAAATATAATCCTATAATTAGAGGCCAAACTTTTTAAGAAGGGCGTATCATCTGATAAAAAGTTTCTCTGATCTTAAGAAGTTGTTTGTCATAGCCTGACACATGCAGATAATTATAAACAAATAATTTTACTAAGGCAGATATACTAAAACTTTTTAACAAGTTAATTGAAAATAAAATAAGTAGCTCTATACTTTATCTTGCTGCTTTCGGAGATTGAGCAATAAAATGAGTTAGCCCCATATAGATATTACGTACTACTTATGTGTAATTAAAATAATCATGAAATGCCTTGAAAATAATTAAACATTTAATGGAGGAAAGTCATGAAAGGCTTAAGTTAGAAGAATCCCAGCACTTATCTAAGGAAGTGATCTCTTATTCTTTGTAAGTAAGTTTGAAGGAAACTGGCAGATAATAGGAATATTCTTCTAAAGAGTTAGTTGTATATGTTTCCAAAGGCCCTTTTAATTCCTTACACTGAGATGGAAAGAAATTTTTAAAAAGAACAAAATCTATTGAATATTTGAAATAACACTGAATAATAAAAGTTTTTTTCTTTTAATTTGCATTACATCCAGTGAAATATTTTATTAGTTGGTATTGGGAAGGCCAACAAATAAGAAAATACAATTCTTTAATCTGACATCAACATCTGTCCGCATCCATTCATAAACTATCCTTCCAGCCTTCACTTATCTTATGCTCTTTCACATAATCTATACCTCAGGCAAACTAGACCACACAGAATTTCCCAAAGGACATAAGCCTTGCTTTTGTGAATATTCTTCCTTCTACTTGAAATGATTCTTTATTCCAAGATCGACAGTATTGACAATTTTGGTTGGACCATTCTTTGTTGCTGTACTGTGGATGGCAGGATGTCTAGTGGCATTCTTGACTTCTACTTACTAAATGCCAGTTGCATCCCCGTTGTTGTGACAAACAAAAATGTCTCCAGACATTGCCAATGTCCCTTGGGGGGTCGGGGAGGTGTCAAAAATTCTCCTCATTGAGAATCACTGTTTAATCACTTTATATGTGCTTGATAAAATCTTAACCATCTTTCCTCTTCCAGGCCTACATCAAATATGATCTTTCCATCCTCCTCATATTACCACCACTTGTAACTCTTCTTCAAATAACCCCATTTGTCTTTATATTACACGTACTTTTGTGCAGATCTTACCTACATCACTAGAAAGGAAACTGGTTGAAATCTGGGATGATGCATTTTCTGCCTCAGTATCTTCAAGAGAGCTTTCTTGGGAAAATGCCCTACACCTCTTATTTGCTCAGAAACCATCAAATATTCATTCTGCAATAAACAAAATTATGATCATCAACATGTTCTTTGCCCCTATACAACTGTCTTGTAGTTTTTTAAAAAAGCAAAACATGATTAATGTTCACCAATCTGAAGAATGGTATAGACAAGTTCTATTGTCTTTTTTTGCTTGAAACTGGAGAGTAAGTCATTGTTGTTGAATTCAGTAGCTGTCTTGTCTTTTCTTTTGCAGATAAAGTTCATTACTAAACAAATTAGCTCTTCAGTTACTGCTGCTAAGCCATAAGTAATTGAAATTCACTAAAACTTTCAGTCTTTTTTTCTACTTGTTTTTTTCTTAGCACCAATAATTTAAAATAAGATGAAATTATGCTGTTCATGATTAAAATTATATGTAAATAAAAGTGTAACTTGGCTCTTATCCTGAAGACACAATTTGGAGAACAAACTTCAACTTCTTTTTCTTTTTCTTTCCCTCTTTGTCTATAGCTAACCCTGGCTAGTCTTCAGATAGCATTCCTAAATGCAAAAGTTTGGGTTATTATTGGTAATTGAGCAAATAACTACATGTCTTTCTCCATTATTTGTGAGGAAGAATAACATCCTAGTACTAAATAGCTGGCCCTAAAGAAGACAAAGCAATTTGAGGATACAAGGAAGGATTGCTGAGATGATGCAGCAAGGGTAGGTCTTATAGGACAAATGAATATAACTGGCAGTCTTGCTGCTGAACACCACTCCCATACACACATGCACACACACATGCACACACACATGCACACACACAAACATACACACGCAACCCACACAAAGGCTGTCCTGTCAGTCATAGTTAGAAGTACTAATGACTGCAGAGCTACAAATTCACAATTTGTAGCCCTGCATTGGGTCTTTTGAGTAGCTAATTCATTCATGACTAGAAAACTGAGCTTTTCTTCAAGACTTGTTAGAACCCAGCCTAGTCTAGTGGGTTTGTTTTGTTTTCTAAACTACTTCTGCATTAGTCTTTCTTTCTCTGTCTTTATGCTCAGAACCCACAGAGTTGCCAAGGTCCATTCTAAGACTGAGGCCTAGACTAGTGTATGATCCTTAGGAACTTTATTATGCCTGAACCCCAACCCAGAGCTAAGGGCTTCATACCAGATCTACAGTATCAGGCCTATCTGCCTGCCTGGAGTTTCCAAATGTTGCCCGGATTCTTCATCTGGTATTCTACTCACTTATTAGAATTCTGGACCACTCCATCTAGGGTATAATATGAATGGAGTGTGGCAGATTTAATGTGCAAACCCAAGTATGTCTGACTTCAAAGTCCTCTATAAACTTCCTTGCTAGAGCTATGAGCCAAGACTTGTCAGTGCTAAACCGTTATAATAGCACCGCTATTTCCCAGGAAAATGCTGGAGTAATGTGCCCTCAAAGCCTTCAGCTGTGCCTGCAAATATCTGGTTTTCATGCTCCACTCAGAACCCACTCTAATCCAACACTTTGTTCTAGACTCCATTGACTCCCATCTGCTGAGCGCCCCTCTAGATGTCTGGGCACCTAGGACATTTCTGACTCTGTTTTGATGTTTGAGACCCACCATCTTCAGAAGCAAGCTACTATTTTTAGTTCATGGTTAGTTAAAAGTACATTAGGTGAAATAGGCACAGAATCTCCAACACCAAAAAAATGGACTTATAGGCCTTTAATTTGGTTACAGTTGCTTGTGATGCATTAATGTTCTATAGCTGTTTTATGCTGGTCAGAGAGCACAAATGATTAGCAGTAAAAAGAATTAACAAGGCATTTCAAAATCAAAGAAATGATTAACAAGGCCTTTCAAAATCAAAGAAATATTTAAAATTTGCTACACTTCAGGTGGTAGAGATAAAATTTTGTAATTGTTTCTGAAATTTCTTGCCACCTTTGCCAAAACTACATTTCTTCTGCCCTGCTGAATCAGCTGTTCTGGGCATAGTCAATCATCAAAATATATCAATGTCACACAACCAGTTTGGGGTTGCTCCTCATTACTGGGATAATCGCTTTTATGACACAATAATTTGTTTTTCTATTTTTTTCATAAATATATTATCTCCCAAAGCCTCAAATTATTCTAGAATGAGCTTCTTTTTGGAAGATTAGCATGTTTTTCGATGTTTTTCATCTCATGCATTATCCATCATGAAGAACTGTAGCTCATGTAAGGTTAAATTTAAAATGTTACCTCAATACCTTTAATATTAATCCTAAAGTTTGGGTATTTTTTTTTTTTTTTGAAGCAGGGTCTTGTTCTGGTGCTTAGGCTGGAGTGAAGTAGTGCGATAAGACCTCGCCATAACTCCTGGTCTCAAGTGATCCTCTTACTTCAACCCACCTCAACCTCTGGAGTAGCTAGGATTACAGGTGTACCACCATGACTGGTGAATTTTTAAATTTTATTTTATTTTTAGAGCAGGGTCTCACTATATTGCCCAGGCTGGTCTCAAACTTCTGTCCTTAAGAGGTCCTACTACCTCAGCGGCCCAAAGTACTACAATTTGGGTAATTTCGAAATGAAACACTTAACTTCCTCTATTCTGTTTTAAGGAAGATTTTCACATTTAAATAATTAAGCTTGAGTGTGGTGTACTGCAGGAACTTTGAAACAAAAAAACCCAGGGATTTTAAATAAAAGAACATTCTTAAATCCTCTTATTCTAGGAATATTCCTGTGTATAACACTGCATATCATATAACTTTTTATATATCCTAATATCACTATAGCTATGTCAGCGGACATTATTTAAGGCTACTCAAAGTCAGTACCATACAAAATAAATAATTTGGCTTACCTAAGAATACTTTCTAGAGTATTTCTCTTGTATTAAAAAAAATTAAAAATAAAAGTTATAAAAGGTACAAAATGACCATGGTCATTAATAAGTCATCTAAATACAAAAAGTTGCAGCAGCTAAAATTCAATTGGCTAATTTAATTTCCACAGGAAACTGAAGCATTTCTACAGTTAAATTAAATCAAGTTGATAAAATACCAATAAAGGATAAGCAGGATTGATACAAAGCAGGTTAGTTCACATGGAAATGTTACACACAGTAATTTCAAGGGAACCAACAGTCAGAGACATAATCACTTTTAATAATCCATTTTAATGTCAAATATACTTGTATATAGGAAAGCATATATAAATATTATGCATATATAAATGAAATACAGGCTGGGTGCAGTAGCTCACGCCTGTAATCCCAGCACTTTAGGAGGCCAAGGTGGGCGGTACATGAGGTCAGGAGATTGAAGCTATCCTGGCCAACATGGTGAAACCCCATATCTACTAAAAACACAAAAATTAGTTGGGCGTGGTGGTGCATGGCTATAATCCCAGCTACTCAGGAGGTTGAGGCAGGAGAATCCCTTGAACCTGGGAGGCGGAGGTTGCAGTGAGCTGAGATTGCATCACTGCAATCCAGGCTGGTGACAGAGCTAGACTCCGTCTCAAATAAAATAAAATAAAATAAAATATAATAACATACATACACATACATAACATATAAATGTGAATATAGGAGTTTTAAACTGAATAATGTAGAATATTATAAAGAATAGTGAAGGGTTCTGTATCAAGCAAACAACTAAGGTGTCTGATCAAATGCAGAGCGAAATTTTTCTCACAAAGAACATAATGCCTATTTGTGATGAGGTTCCAAGAAAGCTTAGCTGGCAATTTAAAGAGTCCTTGGGGGGATTAATTTAGCTACTCCACCAAGACTTAGCAGAATGGCAGAAAGAGTTGGGTCTGGTAAAGATAAATTTATCTTACTAGTCAGCAAAGCTGGGGCTGGGTTTCCTTATGGCAAATCATGAACGAAAGTTTGTGGGACTTCAGCAGAGGATTCTAGTGTTATAATTGCATTAGATTAGTTTTTTAAAAAGTTTAGAAATAGATGTTAGCATCTTACTCCCATTTTTACTTAAAATGCAATAATTTGAAGCCTTTGCGAGAATACTACCAATAAGCTGACTTTTATTAATGAACCAAATTATAGATCAACTGAGGCAATCAGCTTTGTGACATCACTGAATGCATTTCTTTTAATGTGGTAGTCATGCACCATTAGGCCATGCTCTTAAAACTTGAGTCCACAGGTGTGTATGTGTGTCTATGTGTGTGTGCAGGTTTTTTCCCCCCAAAGGAAAGCCAAATAGTGCAACATATTTCTATGGCAAAAATAAGAGGTGTTACAAATATCAATAATGTGTAGAAACTTTTAATTATGTGGGAAGCCAAGGTGGCAGAATGTTTTGTCCCAAAGAAAGAAAACTAGGCAGGCAGGAAAGCATGTATGCTAATACATATTTGCTCACAGACATATACACTTTCAGCTTTAAAGGGAATACATAAAAATTATGCTGCAGACAATATCTGCATACAAATTTATCATAGCATCTGTCAGCTCCATAATATGTTCATAAAACTACGAACACGTGTTGTAACAGTATGCTCATTTCGGTATGCCCACTGTTGTTATCTCAACTTCCCTTGCTGCTAGCCTGGCTGTTGCCGATCAGATCATAGCCTCGGGAATCCTTGCTACTTCCACATCAAAATGCAAAGTTTAAATTTAAAAACATCAAAGGTACAACTTGTGGCACAGAAAATAGAGGCAAATGACACTGTACTTAGAAAGATAATTCAAATAAAATGTCTAAAATTGGAAGGAACTCAAGAAAAATGTCATAGATTAGTGGGTATAAAGGGAGAAAATGTTAGAAGGTTAATGAGTTATTGATAAAAGTCTAATGCTGGCAAATATTTTGGTTGTACCAAAGTCAATGTGACCTCAATGTTATTTGGAATTTCTCAGTAATGGCAGTGTAAGACATGGCATATAACAGTGCGTGGTAAATTGTTTGACACATACTAGTAATTATAGCTATGTGAAATTCAAAAAACATGTATACCCACAAGTGGTTGTCTAAAAACGTTTGAGTCTTATATGTTAAGCATTGTTACTTTTTTAGTCTGTATGTCCTGGAAACTTCCAGCATTTTCCACAAAGATTTTAATAGAGAAAGGGTTTTTGTTATATTCATACTTTCAGTGGGTGCCATAAAATATATTCTGTAAGTTTTACATTTACGAAGACTGGACTTGCAAAATGCAATCTTAATTAAAAATCACTAGGCTTGGAATCTCTGAAATAATGGAGAAACTGGTTCTTGATATATTTGGGAAAGAACAAGAAGCACTTAAAATGCATGATTGTGGATGAATATTATAGTGTGAAAAGATAGGTTTTAGATTAATTTTCTAGTAAATAATAGGCAAGTGGAAACATTTCTTTCTTCATGCATCTGTTAACTACCTATGATAATTAGAAAATAAATCATCTACTTCAAAACAATCTCATATATCTCCTTGGTACTTAAAGAACAACGCAAGACTGAATCCTTGTTAAGTGGGATCAAAACATTTCAGCTGAACAACAAGAAAAGAAAAAACGAGAATCCTCCAAATACTTCCACTCTGCCAGAGTTGGGATTTCTTCCAATTATTAGAAGAACTACATAAGAAACAAGTCACTCTCCTAATGCTGTTTGTATACTAACAGCCATTTCATTTAGCTTTTCGTAGCTAAAAATGAAAGGGCAGATGCTATGCAAGATGTTAAATTCAACATGTCCTATACGTGAGACAATTTCTCTGAAAATACTGAAAAAATGTATGTTAACCTTTCCTTTTCTTGGATATCTCTTGAGAGAAAATGACACAGAATTGTGAGTTTCATTACACCAGCTAAAAAAATAACAAATATTACCAGCACCATAAACAGGATCACGATTTCTCCATAAGGTTATTCACTGAATAACTTTTAAACATTTAAAAAGTCACACAGGCCGGGCGCAGTGGCTCACGCCTGAAACGCCAGCACTCTGGGAGGCCGAGGCGGGTGGGTCACCTGAGGTCAGGAGTTCGAGACCACCCTAACCAACATGGTGAAACCCTGTCTCTACTAAAAATACAAAAATTAGTTGGGCATGGTGGTGCGTGCCTGTAGTCCCAGATACTCCAGAGGCTGAGGCAGGAGAATCGCTTAGAACTCAGGAGACAGAGGTTGCAGCGAGTGGAGATCGCATCACCATACTCCAGCCTAGGCAACAGAGTGAGACTCTGTCTCAAAAAATAAAAATAAAAAGTCACAGAAAACCCAGGTTCCTATGAGAATTTCTTTAGTAATTATAAGTAAAATCACACATTGTTTCTCTGAATAATATCTCTATAGTATGTAGATTCAAAGAAAAAAATGCTTTGAGAAAGTCTTTGAAGTGAAAAATAAATGTGATAAATTGGAAAGAATATATCCATCTTCAGTATTATACACAAACAGGTTTAAATTATGGTACTGATTCTAATATTTATTTATGTCATAATCTAGAATCATAAAATTTTCTTGAGCTTCAAGTTCTGTATTTCGTAAATAGAAATGACAAGAATAATTATAATAGCTACCATTTTTAAGGAGAGCCTAATATATTTCTGGCACTGAACCAGGAACATTGAATAGTAACCTGTAATTTTTTCAATTCTCCTATTAAGCAGATATTAGTATCTCAGTTTTTAACAGGAATAAAAACTGAACTGAGAAAAGGAAAGTAAAATATGAATAATATCTACCCTGAAGGTTTTTTCACGTATTAAAGGAAATTGTGTTTCATTCAATGATTAGTTGAGTGCTCTGAAAAAAGCGCATATTTTTCAAATATTATTCTCCACAGTTCTCTATTCCACTCCACTTTTCTGGAGTATATCTTTCCTCAAACACAGAACTCTCTTCAAACAAATCACTACCCTTCCACATCACAGAAACTAGCATTTCAAAGTTTTAATGCTCTTCTTACTGAAAAGCATCAATCCCTGATTCCACCCAAATGGACATCAAGGTCTCCAAAGCGTCTGACAGTGCTTCTTTTATGCTGTGTCTCATTACATTCCCTGACCTTGAGTTCTACTACTTTGTCCTTGCTGGGTTTGGAACGCTTTCTCTTTTACATGTCTCTGAACATTCCTTCTGTATTCAACTCCTCCTAAAACCTGAGTATGATTTCTAGGAGCTTTGTTTTGTATTCAGTCTTTCTTTGCTATAATAGAATGTAAGGTAGAGAAATCCTGTAGCCTAGCTTTTATGTACAATCATTCTTCTGTAATTCTAAAATAAAATTTTTAAACAGGAAGGAAGGAAGGAGGAATACAAAAAAGGAGGGAAAAATTGACCCTTACATGAAAGTAGGAGAGCAGCGAAATGAATAGTCATGTCAGATCATTATCATACTTACGTTGTTTTAGTTTCTTACCTGCACACACATATTATTTTGCTTACTCCTAACAATAGTCCTGCAAATGAGGAATTCTCCTCAGTTTTACTTCAGGTAATTTTAGGTTTAAAAAAAGAAATGTTGAAATTATACTGCTAAATTAGAGAGAGAGCAGGAATTTGATTCAGGTCTGTCTGACTATAAAATTGTTGTTCTTCCCAGCAATTCTTTTAGAAGGGGAAGCTTTAGATGTCAGGACAAGAATAGGGATAGTGAAATATAAAATACACGCAGGAGCCTCATCTGAGTGTCATAGTCTATTTTTACAACCTCCAGACCTCTTTAAACCATAACCAGCTTCCATGCAAACTGCGATTCTGGTGTTGCCAATAATCAGGTCTGAATGGGAGAGTCAAAGACTGTACTTTTTCATTCCACATATGCTTTGCCAATTAAATGCTCTGCTTTTAAACCTTGACCTCACTGCCTAGCCCACTATCTCCTTAAATTCAGAAGTGCCATACTAACATGTCTTAAGTTTTGTTTCAATGTCCATTGCAAACATTTGCCGGTTTCGCTCTCATTTCCTTTACCTATGAACGCAATCCCCTTGTTCTGAGCAAAGATAGTTGGCATAATTTACCTGATTATGTTACTTCCATTTCCTGTTTCTCCTTTATCTTTCCCGTGCTTTTCCTTCATCTTAACTGTTGGTCTATTTTATTTTCATTTTCCTTATCACACTCACCGTATTATTCTACCTTGCACAGCAGCTTATGACACTTAGTCATAATTTCTACCCCTATGTGTAAGCTTTTTGAAAGACAAGGGCCAAGTTTGACTCAACTCTGTATTTTTCTAACCAGGTAGCCTACTCATAATAGTTTTCAATCAACAGTTATCAAAATACAGACAAATTTGGTATTCATACTTTTTTCTATGGAAAAACTGAAAGTAGGAATGGAGGAAGGTTTAAACATTCTCCTCACCTCTCCTGATGATAAATATGATTTACACTTGCAATACCTGGGTTAAAATCTCTTTTTGACATTTATGTGGTCTATCTCTGATCCAAGAGTACGTTTCAATTAAATAAACATATAAGAAATGTACGAAATATTCAGTCATGCATTATTCTTAAAGTATTTTACTTTCCCACCAAGCTTCAGAAAATGTTTTGCCTCATTACCTAAATAGATTTAATGATACAGTAAGCAAAATTATGTACAATAAAACTAAGCACTAGGAATTTTCAAGCTTATAGTGTGAATTTTTAAAGTCATTACTTACTCTACCGTTAGAAATAATCATCATCAACTGTGAAAAATCACAAAATCTCCATGGTGCTAAGAATACCTTTATCAGTAAACCTAGGAGGTGTTTTCCACATTAAACACATGAGATTTTTAAAAATTATTATTAATCCCCAAAGGGCACTCTCATACAATCTGTTGCAAACAGAGTCTACTGCTACAGAAAATCAACTCTCACTACTATTAACTATTAAGAAGCCTTTGCAGTTTAAACACTGACTTCCTTAAAAGGTAATTCAAAGGAAGTGTTCTTTATTTCACATATTTAAACGACAATAATTATCCCTAGAACATCCATTAAGCAAAATAAGCTGTGTTAAGTTGCCTAACCTAACCAAAGGTACATTCACCTTATAATTTCAAAACTAAAGATACACTTTACAAAGATGAACGTTGCTGTTTTGTTTTTATTTTGTATCTTTTTATTTCCAAAAGAAAATAACTTCCTCAGTGAATTTTCTTCTGTCATAGCAACTCACTAGATGCTCATCCAACCATATTTTTCCCCTTCCACATCTCTAGATTAGACCATATTTACTCACCTTCCTTGAAATTAGAGACACTCGTGTCTCTGGACCTGAAGAAGTGTGCCACTCCCAAGACTGACCCATTAAAAAAAGTATTGGTGCTGCACTTCCTTTTCCTTATCTCCTTGAGGAACAGAAAAGACTCCAAAGTCTTGAGAGAGGCTGGAATTACAAGAGGTAAGGAATCTGGGTCTTTGAGTCCCGCAGAAAGCCACCCCCAGGACACCCACACTGAATTATATAAGCAAACAGTCAATGTATGTTGGGTTAAAGCACTAAAATTCTGGGGCTGTTGATTACAACAGTTAGCATATTTCTGACCATACAAAAGGTCAGAACTGCCTTTTTCAAAGAAATATAGTCCTTTCATTTGATTAGTTTCTTTCTAGCCCATGTTGGTCGAGACAATTCCTCCATAGAAGGTCTGAAAGAGAAATCAGGAAATGAAGAATTTTTGTTTGTGTGGTGATGAATCTAGTTTCTGGTAGTTATAACCTGCATTTCCCTAGGGGCTATGTAAGACCACTTGAGATAACAACTGAAAGTGTCTTAATGAATTAGAGGTAATGGCATCTAATTCTCTGGGCCTAGTGCCATTGGAGACCCTTATCCCATGACTTAATCAACAAAACTGTCAAATGTAATCAAGACTTATGTTTTCTTTTCCCATGCACAGTTTTATCTTATAAACTGATTAAACATGTATGAAACATTCGTTGGTCCACATATTTCTCAGAATATTTTCATAATGTGTTATTTTTATTTTCAAATGTAAACATAGGAAATATTTTCTTCCAATACACACAAATATCTTCTTGAGTTCTACCATTCAGAAGGCAAAATAAAGAAAACGGAGGAGGAGAAAAAAATAAATCAATTTGGATGAGAATCTTTACACACAATCAGTGGGTAGAAATCAATGTGAATCCTAATCAAACATGGATTTCACAGTGGGAATATATACAGCCCTGCATTACTCAAAGAAATGGCTAGTGTGCTGTGAACAGTAGTAATTAGGCCTGGATTGCATTTGAATTAAAGTAGAGAGAATCCTACTGTTAATTTACTAAACTAAGATTGCTGGGGTGTTATGGCTTGTGCCACTTTATAGAAGACAAAGTGTTTAGTTTCTGAATCCACACCCTTCTGCACACAGGTCCTGAAGTACTTTTTTTTCTTGCTTTTTAATTGTTTTCTTTGTTCTGGAAGCCAGCACTGGATATCAGAGAAGAGCTTAAGAGGGCTTAACAACCGCAGTGACTCCGAAGTTTACAGTGCAATTGTGAATTAGAACTTGATTCGCCTACACTTTAGAAGCTGTTTTAATATCCAGTGTCTCTTAAGTACTCATATCAGACACAAACACACACATACACACACATAGCAAGGGTGAACGTGCATGTGCACGCGCGTGCGAGAGAGGGAGAGAGAGAGGAGAGAATCTCACGTACCTGTACCTTGAAATAAAATCCAAATAATGAAGGGAAAATGCTTTTTATCTCTAAAGAATTTATAGTCACTGCATGATAGAATTCTCACTAAGAGATTCCATTCATTCTGACCTGTGTTGGGATTTTCTGAGGAATGCCACTGTTTATGTTGATCCTCAGCTTTTACAACGTTGAAATGGAAACACAGATGAAAAATTAGGTTAGTTTTTGTTTGTTTCTATGGGGTGTCCAGGATCAATGGGACTAGGGGTCTGTATAGTTTTTACACATGGATACATTTACTTTTCTATTTTTTCCTTAATACCAGGCCACGGTTATTTCTGTTTCAATAACAAGCCACTTACTTCATTTTGTTTGCAAAATTGCTTTCAAAATGAAACATTTTACTTCTGCTTGTAAAGACCTCTACCTTCTTTGCTTCTCTCATCAAAACAATATCCCCAGCTCCCCACTCCTAGCATACCAGGTACTATTCTTCCAGGCAGCTAACAGAATTCTTCTCTTATGTTATTACATGCGTACCTGTGGGTGTGTGTGCATGTGCGTGTCTGTACATGTGTGTATATGTGTCTTTAATGAATGGTTCCTCTCCTGTAGTTAACTGTGGGTTCCACAAAGGCAGAAATCCTATTTCTTTTTTTTTTTTTTGACAGAGTCTCGCTCTGTCCCCAGGCTGGAGTTTAATGCCACAATCTGGGCTCACTGCAACCTCCACCTCCTGGGTTAAAGCCTGCCTCAGCCTCCCAAGTAGCTGGGATTACAGGCATCCACCACCACACCCGGATAATTTTTGGTATTTTTAGTAGAGACGGGGTTTTACCATGTTGGTCTCTAACTCTTGACCTCAGATGATCCACCCGCCTTGGCCTCCCAAAGTGCTGAGATTATAGGCACGAGCCACCATGCCTGGCCAGGAATCCTATTTCTGTAGGCTAATCATTTTATCCCCTGGCCCAGACATGTGGCCTCATGCAAGGTAAAATTTAATCAACATTTTTACTAAATAAATGAAATATGATCATGCTTTTTAATTTTTGAAAAGCTCTTATGTTAATAAATATAACTCTAGCAAATCATTTTAAGACTATATATTTAATTTTATAAATATATCATAATTTGTGTAACTATGCCCACATATATATAGACATTTATCTTTTTTTTTCTTTGCAGTTACCTACAATGGTGTAATGGACATTTAGGTAAATACATTTTGAGTACTAATTCCCTTCTTAGGATCAATCCTCAAAATGGAATGTTGAGTCAATAGTCATATACAGTTTACCTGTGATACATATTTCTGAACTACTCCATTAAAAGTTGTGCAGATATATACACTCTCACCAAGTATAAATCAAAGTGCCTATTTATCTTAAGCTTTAATGACACTGTATACCATACCTATATTTTCACTTTTGCTAGTTATGTGGTGAAAAAGCAAGGCTAGAGATATTTCATTTCCCTATATCTCTTGGCCATTTTCTGATTTTTTAATACATAAGGATTTTATTTTCAAAAGTATATTCTGGTATTTTTATGAAGTTGCTAGGAAATAGAAAATCATGGTTGGAGAAGCAGTTTGTAAAAACAAATACATAAGCAAACAGCTGCCTCAATTTCTGTCAGGTATTACAAATGAGATGCTGCAAATTGTCAGTGGATTTAGAGTGCCAGGTAGTTGCAGATTTTGGCTCAATTTCCTTATTCTATCGAAATATACACGACTTAGAGAAACTTTATGTCAAATCTTACAGGAATGCAGAATAAAATGGGAATAGCCTCAAGGCTTTGCTTTTATTTTGGGATTGAAAATGATCAAACCAAGGAAAGAGAAAGCTAGATATCATATATAGGTCCTGAATTGAAAGATGTTGATATAGAGACAGGTACATGCCAGGTAAATTGAAGTTTAAGGATACTGGTAGTAAGTGAGGAAAAGGTTTAAAGGAATCAAGAATGTTGTCTTAGATAGATGTAGTTCACTTCTACTTAAAATTTGACTAGGTTCAAACATCGTGGTTTTCTGATCAGAATCTTTCTCCCCAAGTTACATTGGTGAATATTTCCTTTTAGTGATTCAGCTGAACTAAAAATAAAAATGAGATAAGTAGTGATATAGGGAGAAACTCAAGTCAGACTAAACATATCAGAATTTTGCAGAAGAAAATTTTCATTATCCTGTCAATCACCACATGCTGATAATCTTCTTTTTCAGCCTTTTCACCAAGTTAATTAAGGTTTCCAAATATTCATAAGATTGAAAAATGCCAAAGGTTTGAAAAATAAAGTTTCACACTTTGATGTTACAAATCTGGGGATTATTAAAACTGTCTAATTTATAATTAAAACAAGACTGAAATTGTCTTTGAGTTACTCAGGTAAGTGGAAAGTTTTATTGCTTAACATTATTGGGTATAGGTATCATTATATTAGTTTTCAGAAAAAAAAGAAGTCCTGTATTAGTAATGCCACTTGAATGCTGCCATGATTACAAGCCTCTTATCTATTGATCATCATTGTATCTATATTCAAAGATAAAATCAATGTACCCTCAACTCTAAAAAGAGTTCTTTATCTATCCCCGCCTTGAGCTAAGTATTAATTTTATTTTATTTTTTTCTCTCTATATTGTTTTCACTACAACAGCCAATCAAATAGATGACACTGCTTTCATTATACGATCATTATTGTTGCTTTTTGGTGGTAGTGGTGGTGATAGTGTGTATGTAGGTATGTGTGCATATGCATATATATATGTGTGTGTGTCAAATGAATCTTCATATCAGAAACTTTATTAAATAAAAGATTATTCTACTTAATTTCTTCTACTCTGGATATCTTCATTCAGTCAATAAGTGATTCCGAAAGTCTGTTAGGCATTATGTGCAGGGAACTGTTTAGATCCTCCCATCTCTATGGGACCAGTGTATATATGAACAAAAACAGCTAACAAAGTCCTTGCTGTATTGAGCTTACAGTATAGCCCTTATCACAATGCTGTGCATCAAATGGATGTAAATTATTTTTTAAAAAAATAAGAATAACTATTACTTAATTCAATTTTGGATTAGTCCCATAAATTATGTCTTATGTTAACTCCAATCCAAAAGATAGAATTAAAAGCAGACATTTGGAAGATAGTAAGATTCAGACTATGCCTAGAAGGTAAAGGTGCATAATAACTGCTTCTTGGGCAGCTTTTACAGTTGGCTAACTGGGTGTACTTCTCTGACACCACTGGCAACATTGCTAACGCTTCTCTTAAATGGGTTTTCACACAAATTAAATAAATCTTCCTGTCACACATAGTCCAGAAGAGCTCAGTGTTGTAAACAAGAAGAATACCCAACTCTCTCTCTCTCACACACACACACAAACACATACACACACCCAGCACATGCACACACACCCAGTACACACACACAGCACACACACACACCCAGCACACACACATATGCACACACACTCAGCACACACACACACCCAGCACACACACCCAGCACACACACACACCGAGCACACACACATGCACACACGCACACACACACACACAATAGCCCTTATACTCAATTATTTGCTTTGAGACACTGTATTGAGACAGCTCATGTAAGAGTCTTTTCAATGAAATTATCCTACAAATGGATTCCAGGGTTATTTTGTCCATTTAATTTTATACAAACAGACCACAAAATTATTATTTCCTTAACAAATGCTACCCATCTTACTATAACATTGCTTGTGATAACCTGCTACTTCCTACTGATACCACTGCATTCCAGGGGTCCAAGAGCACCAATCCCACTGTAGCCTTTGTAAGTGGTGCCCCCTGGAGTTGCTCAATGCACAATCTGTGGCTGAATCATTGGTTTAGATGATGGCCTTTCCCCCTCTCCTGTCTAATAAAAGCAATAGTGATGTTCTGCAAAAAAAAAAAAAAAAAGATCTGTCTTTTTCAGTTACTTGCTTAGCAAGCTCATGTAGTAAGTCATATGCTTCTAAAATTAACAGGAGCCAAATTTTCTGAAGAAATTATTCAAAAACACCTAAAAGAATGTTCACAACCTGTTTCTTAGTCAAAACAGTCCACCCAGAAAGTGGTTATAAAGATCCATATGGTCCTCATAATCTAATAATTGTGAATGAAAAAGTAGAAAGAACCTGAACATTGGTCATTAATAGCTGTTACTTTAATGTCCTTGGACATTGAGAAACCACTTCATTACATTTTTGTAATAGTTGGTTGAATTTGGCAGGTGGAATGTTGGCCTGGAGTGATTTAGTTGCATAAAATAAAATGAATTATATTAAACTCATCCGCCATTCCAGGCCCATCTTTTCTGTCACCAGAAGCTATGTATCTTGGTAACCATACCATAAAATTAATCTGTGAAACTGAAAGCGTGTACACATGAACATAACTAATACATTCAATTTCAAAATAAATTTAAATTAGATATTGACATTTTATGTGTTAAATAAAGTCTGTACTTACAAAAGTGATCTATAATTAATATTTCTAAAGATTCTCCTATGAATAAGGCATTATGCTGGGTAGTTTGGAAAGTGCAAAGAAAACAAACATTGTCACTACCTTTAGAGACTTTATGATATAAAGTTATGTATTAAAGACCAATATACTAATAGTTTTACTCTTCTAGAAAAGAACGTGTTAAATGATATAATGCAGACATGGGTAAAGGCTTATGAGGGAGTTCAGAGACAGATTCTGGGTAGTGTGAGATTTTAGAAGAATTAATAAAGGAGTTGGAATTTGTACTGGGCCTTAATGGAGGTGCAAGGATTTGACGTGTCACGCTTGTAAAATATGATTTTTATATATGTATTTTCATGGCAATTCTTGATTGATAGGGACAAAGTGTTCCATGGTTTGTGTTATATGTTTCCATTTGACAGACATATCTTACTTATTATGTCAATAAAACCTATAAAACACACTGGGAATCATCACGTGGGATTTCACAGTACACCTCTGTAAGGATGTATTCTACAACTGTCATGGACTTGGCATTTCATCATAAAGTGCGATGTGGATTGGATTTATTTGCACAATAAAGCAACTGGTAGTTTGCTGAGTTTATGCATTCTGATTTTCTGACAGAAAAAGACAAGGGCATGAAGTAGCGCTGTTTCCATTATGAGAAAGAACAAGAATGAAACTTAAAGGAACTTTCTCATTGCCAAGTCTGGAGGGTCAGCCATTGACATATATTCAGGTCAACTTATGGTGACAAGGTATTATCATTGGTGATATGGAAAAACACAGTTTCATTGAAAAGGAACTTCATCACATTAAATTATATTTATTTATCCATTCTTCTAATAAATATTGATTGCCTTTGCTGTGCATGCAAGAGAATTTCTCTCCTCTCACATTAGCTTATATTCTAGAACTGAGACACATATAAGAAACAAACACATAAATAAACAAGTATTTGCCAGGTAGGGGTAAATCCTGTGCAGGAACTTAAAATCAAGTGAGAGAAAGTGAATGAGTGGCTGGAGAGGCCTCTGTAAAGGGACATTTATCAGAAAACTAAATGATACTCCAATTCTAAGAGATCATTTTTCTGTGATATCATTTAAGAAAAGTACATTATTAATTTTATAGAATACATTACATATCTCAAGTTTTATAGCTTTCTCTACATCGTGGGTAAGTGACAGAAAAAAATGTATTCTCATTTAATATTTTAAACATAACATTTTTTGTTAAGATAAAAATCGATGTGGAATTGCAAAATATAGGTGTGATTATCTAACTGGCTTACGTGTAGTTGTGCTTTCCCTTCCCTTGCCTTCTGCTCAGTTCAGTCCAGTCCTGTCCCATCCTCCTCTCCACTTCTCTTCTTTTGTCATCTTGTACATTCCTGTCTTTCTTTCCTATCTAAAATCTCAATTGGTGTCATGCAAACTGCTTATAATAGAATAGCTATAGAAACAATTTCAAAATACATGGGTATAAGACTTTTCAGGTAACTTTTTCAACAAGTCAAGTATATTTCATCATTAAATGTCTCATTTTTTATGATTATCACATTAAATATATACAATTCATTCTTTAATGGCAGCATTCCAAGCATTTTTATAATTACGCTATTTTTTTTCTGTTTCCCTGACCCCTCTGGGTAGATTTTTGCTGTATAATTTAAATAGGCCACTTCCTTTTTTTTCTATAGCAATGCAAACTTCTGTGTAAATCAGGATTTTAAATGAGTTTACCCTACATTAGTACTTTAGTACTGAAAATAAATTTACTATCCCCAAAATCATAATTATTTGTCTATTTTATTCCAAAGTCTTCATAAAGTTTTTATTGCTGTATGATTTCTTTGCAAATATTAGCTAAAATCCCTGAGATAATTAGTTGCAAATCATAGCCTAAGCTGGAAATCCCCAGGAAGAAAAAAATATGTTCCACTTACAGGAAGCTATAAATAACATGAATGCCAATGTAACAGAATGGAATTCTATGTGACAGGAACATTTTTTAAATCTCATTTTTCTATATGTAAATTATAGAATGCTAGAGTTATTCCATCCTTGTCTCCAGGATGGGTCCCTCCCTTGTCTTATATTACAGACAATTGTAAAATATACAGTAAACACATAACATTTATGTGAAAAATAAGTCAAAATAGCTCTTTATGCACATTCATTATAGTCTCCTCTCCCAGAGAAACAGTATGTGCAGATATATGTGTGTGTGTGTGTGTGTGTGTGTGTATAAAATATATATATGGACATACTCTTTCTCTGGGAAAGGAGACTATAATGAAAGAGTATGTCTACATATATATGTATATATACATACATAAGCATACACACACATATTATATATTATATATGCACATATTATATATAATATATGAAGATATATGATATATGTGTGTATATATATACGTGTATATAATATGTATGTCTATATATATAGGCATACTCTTTCTCTGTGAAAATAATACATACATACACAGATATATAGTATGTGTGTATGTGTGTGTGTGTATACATATATAGTCTTAGATATATGTACACATAGTCTTCATTAAATACACAGAAATACTTCCATGTGTGCATCCATAGTTGGTTATTTCCTTTAATTTAATGTTTCCACTCTTTTTCTTTAGAGAACAGGGTCTCCTTCTGTTGCCCAGGCTGGAGCACAGTGGTGTGATCATATCACAGCTCACTGCAGCCTCAAACTCCTGAACTCAAAGTATCCTCCTGCCTCAGCCTCTAGAGTATTTGGGACTACAGCCATGTGCCACTATGCCTGGCTAATTTATTTCATTTTATATTTTGTAGAGACCATCTCTCACTTTGTTGCCCAGGCTTGGGCACAGTGGTGAGATCATTTCATAGCTCACTACAGCCTCAAACTCCTGAACTCAAAGGATTCTCCTGCCTCAGTCTCTAGAGTATCTGGGACCACAGCCACATGCCACTATGCCTGGCTTATTGATTTCATTTTATTTTTTGTGGAGACCATCTCTCGCTTTGTTGCCCAGGCTGGTCTTGAACTCCTGGCCTCAAGCAATTCTCCTGCCTAGGCTTCCTAAAGTGCTGGGATTACAGGTGTGAGCCTGGACATCTGCTTTCAATTGAATAAAAAAGTTGGAAAGAAATCTCTGTTTTCTAGTAAGATAATTTCTTATTTTTACTATTTTAGTAGAAATAACTTTTCTGGCAAGATTAATGCAAGTGTTAATTTTTTTCTTCTATAGAGAGATCTTATCTGAAGTTATATATCAAATACATTTACCAAATAAAATGTAGATTTTTATGCCTCATTGGTACAAAATGTATTGAGTACCTTGTACCCAATGCCTAGTAAATAACAAGACTCTCTAAAAGCATCAAACCTTAAGTTTAGACAAGTATTCTGTGAGTGTTGCTGTTTTGCTTTTCTAGAAGGGGGCAGTTTGTAATGAAAATTGAGACATCTTCTATATTTAGTAGTCAGAGGATAAATTCAGCAATAATAAACCAACATGACAAATAAATTAGAAAAATAAAACGAATATTATTTATATAACCTTGAAAGGAAGTTTGTCTTTTTGTTTTGTTGTTTGTTGGTTTGTTTCGGTGTACTGACCGATTTTTATTTCTTTTGTATTTTCCACATGGCCAAAAGGAAATCAAACCCGAGAGATGGATGTAGCTTTTTTCTTGCAAGAAACTATGTTTGCCAGCTTTAAATCCACTTATTGTCAAAACTTTCAAAAGAAATTATTGAGGTTTTTCAAACTATACTGTTTCTAAGAAGATTTGGTGCTGACTAAAATTTTCCTAATTCATTTGATGCCTGAATAAAATATAGGGTATGTAATTTTTTAGCAAATGCTTATATAATTAAAATATTTAACTAAAAGGCAAGAATGCTACACTAAAAATAATCATTTGTTTTTGTTGATTTAAGTGACAGTATTATTAGAAAAGTAGACCTTAAAAAATAATTATGGTATAGGAATGCTGTATTAAAAAAAGAAAATATATTACAGTTTTTCCATATGTAATTTGTCAATTTCCTTTAGTATAGCCCCAAACATTAATTTTAAATAAATAAATGTGTTTACAGTTTTGAACTATGGTAGTGATTAGATAGGTAATTACCTTAAAGTTGAGAGTTGATGAAATTGTACTTTATTATTTATTAAAAACAATTCAGACAATTCATATATACCCCAGCCTTTTCTGTGATTTTCATTCTATGGGTCCCACATCAGCATGTTGTAAAGTTCCTCATTTTAAATGTATGCAAACATTAGAACATGTCTTATCTGCAAAGAAGAGAGAAAAGAAGAATAGAAAAGAGAAGGTCGGAAAGAAATGGTTCTAAAAGCTAGAAATCTATTACAAGTATCCATTATTAGCTTGTAATTCAAGATACTTCACTAGACACATGCCTGGAAAGGAGCCAAATATCAGGAATAAAAGATCCATGTTGAATTTTACAAAGAGAACAAGTTCCAAGAATAGTGACCGTATTTCAACTGACATACTGAATAAAAAAGCAATTTGATGTACTTTCTTACAGCGGCACAGTACTTTAATATCTTCTTATAAAATAGCTTAATGTATCTGTTATCTTCCAATTTAATTTCTTTTATGAATGATCTATCTATATATTCCACACCTGCTACAAAACTGTAACCTTGTGGTTGCCCTTGTCTATAGAACCTACTGTCTGCTATTTACCTTGACTTATTTTGATCACAATGGTTAATTGAGGGATCTTATACATATTATAGAAACCCACAGAAAAATGATGGGCTTGATTTTTCATGCAGGTCCAAGAAAGAAGTCTGCTATTGTGATATAGGGGAAAAAATATTTCAACAGATTTATCGGGGGAAAGAAGGAGGCTGGCATTTATTTTCTATCCAGTACCTATAATGTGTTGTTTACAAAATTGCTCTAAAGGCTGCAATTATCATGCTCATCTTTTTATTTTTTAAAATATGACTGAGAAAAAATGAGGCTTAAAATCATTGTATTATTTTTGAGACCTTTTTTCTTCTTATTCTTATTATTTGCTGTAGGTGGAGGTCTGGTTAAACATGCTCCTACCTGCCTTGTTTTTGAAACTATTACACCTATTTAAAGCATGTGACAAGAGTTGAAAATTAGGCAAGTTATTAGATGGTCAAATTATCTTCCAAAGTGCTTAAGAATATTGCTTTAGTGTTAGGTGAAATGCAAATATATTTTTAATATACAAGCAGGAGCTTTGAGGTAGAGTACTACAAAGGTAATTTTGACTTCTAACTCATGGCATCAACTCAGTAGAGATATTCAAATGAAGTTAAAGTTGATTCTTATTGATATATCTCATATAATCTTACCTTTTCCAATTTTTTTAGATCTGTTACAATCCTTAAGTAAAACATTGCCTTAATTTACCTATTTTCTCTAAAGCTAAGGAGGGAAAGGCAAAGATTTACAGAAAGCAAAAAACAAGCAAGTAAATTAATAACTGCCTCAGGCCTAGATAAATGATGGTTTATTTAAAATATGTTACTCATATTTAAACCTTTGATTTTCATTAAGTTTCTAGCTCTTAATAAAGTTCCATAATAGAGTGGTTGGTTTGAGAAGCCAGGAAAAAATGCTTATATGGTGCTCATCCAGACATGAATTGCAAAACCCTCCCAGCTTTATAAATGTGAATGTGGATTGCTTTTGCTCTCAATACATTTTTCTCAATACAATAAGAAGGACAGTATTCCAAGTTTGAGGTTTATACCCACAAGGCATTTTTGAATTTTGCAGGCATAAAAAACTGTTGAAATCTTATGATTCAGTAGGGAACACATTTCCTCCCTCTTCCTTTCTAGCATATAATTCAAAAATGGCAAAGCCAGTTTTATCTAAGCTCCCCAAAATATTCACCTTTGGCCCTATGTCAATAAAAAGTTTTACCTCCTAAGAATTGCTTTCTGGAGTTTTACTAGAAAATTCATCTTTACCTCAGCAGTCAATGAATATCAACTATTGAGCTCCATCTTTATCACCCTCAACAGTATGCTTTGGGCCCAACTAAAGGTGGGGTTTGTTTTAGTACAGAGAATATCTTATGGCTAGTTATTGGGAGAAGTCAGCCCAAAATAAATTTCCTGAAAATATCCCCTACATTCTTGCTGTGTAGACCAAGGATAGAGATGATGAATATATATAGATATATAAAAAATACATCTGATAACAAAAAAACAGTTGAAAATTAATGACATATCTAAGTCACAGAATATATTCAATTTTAGTGACTGGAATTTTGCCCCATTAGAAGTCATCAGAACTTGCTACCACAGTGTTGGTAGTCTCTGCTATGACTCTTGGCCGGTACTGTGTAGATTTTGTGTTTTCTTTAACAAAAATATATAATGCGTCTCTGTGTGTATGTGAATGTATGCACACCTTCATTCTTAATATAAATGTTACTGCACTTGCTTTCAGTAAAAATAAAACTCTCTACTGACATTCTAAACAGCTGTTTCCCTATTTCCACTAATACGAGTGAGATTTTTCCAATGCCAAAAAGTGGAAGCAAGTGGAAACAACCTAAAAGAAATACTGTCCTGCTAATCTCATATGTTTGACAATTTATCACATGAGTAAAGCTGATCTGCCATTTTACATTTACAATAAATAAAACATTACACAATATTTCCATGTTAATATTATTTTACATTTTAATTACGCAGACCAAGTGTTATAGAAAATTGGATTCATTCTCAATGCCTTTCACTTATGTGTCAATAATTTTCCAAATTTCTCTTTATCCTGATTATGAAAGCACCCTGAATTGGCTGAACGGTTTCACAGGAATGAAGTGACTTTGTATATTATGTGATGGGACATACAGTGTGGCAGTAGTAGGTAACAGCCAGGGGACTTATCTAAAATTACATAACTCTGCAAATTTGAGAACACAGTGGAAAAAAAAGAACTGAAGTTGAAAATAGAAGAAATAAGAACTATGTTAGCTTAAGGGGAACTTTCTCCTTTAAATTACTTTTTGAAGGGATTTCTTTTAAAACAAACTTTACTAAACTGCAGAAAATAAAGAGAAGAATGGACAAAAAAACATGGCAGGCAATCTGTGGGTATAGGAGTTAGAATAATACAATGCTGTCCATTTGGTTTTAGAAAATAGGACAAAGAGGTTGCATTAGATCTTCAAAGGATAGTTTACAGCTGCTATTTTTTTTAAGAGGAAACCCTGTAAATTAACAAGAGAAATACAGGAAGAGAAAGAAACACTAATATTCATTTAAAATTTTTGTATTACTTATATTTTCACCATATTGCCCAGAAAATCTAACTTAACAAAGTAATAACATTCATCCTGAGGATTAATTCATGAATTGAAAAACAAACATTTTGGATATGATCTGTGAGAATGACTTTTAAAAGTAAGTTATTCAAGTTAACTAAGTTAAAATAAGTCTATTTTTACGAACCATCATATCATTCTTAAGTTAATCACTTAAATAGTATATTTTTCCCCAAAAGCTATAATCCAAATTGTTTTTGTCCAAGTAATAAACTGACCAAAATTGCAACTAATGAATATATCTCAGAAAGTGAAAATACTCAATAGCATGAAGAAAATGTTGGCACCTCTCTGGAACTTGATTTCATTTTTTTTTCATAATTCATTTGACTAATGCACCTTTTCTCCTCTCCAGCTGCTGTGCAGAGTGTCTGCCTTCTGTCTTAATATCTCATCATCTGCCATCTCCCAGAAGTAATTTTCTGACTGTTTCTGTTTATTGTCGACTTTTCATGACATTCTCCCCTCCCTTCTTGCAACTCCTACCCCATGTCATGCTGCAGCGATTAAGTGGTGTGCAATAGTTGTAACAGGAAGGTTTATTTTACAATGAGATTTCAGGGTAAAGCATGTTCAGGCAGTAAAAGAAAAGAAAGCTGATTCTGTAATTCACTTTTCAATGAAGCTTCAAGGGTAATCACAACATGGTTGTCTTTGAATCCTGAGGTCATATACTAAAGCTACTACAAATGATTTAATAAATACATATTTAATTATTGAATCATTTTAAGTGCACTATCTAATTTTCTTACCACATACGGCACACAATTACTAGATTTACTCAGGTTTCTCCAAGTAATTTCCATTAGCATATATTCTTGCTCCTTCTTTTCCAGAATTTGGAAAACTATTTAGACAATTGCCTTAGAGAGCATCCACATATTTAAAAAAAAAAAAAACCATAAAACCATATCTTCTAGAAACTGTGTGAAAATATTGCATAGCACTTTCAGAAAAATTCAACAATTAAAACTGGACATAAGTTATTTTATACTAAAATTGTATAATGTATTCTTTTATGCTAGGACAGTCTTTGCAATGCGAACAATTGACAAGGTACTTTGACACCAAATTCACAGGAGGAAAATAGAGGAAGAAAGGAACTAGAAGAATTCTCCAAAGTCACAGTCAGCCACTTCAATACTCTTGTCTAATATTGATTACAGTATGTATTGCATACCCTAAGAATCAGGCATTATACTTTAAAAACACTAACTAAGTTGTTCTTCTCAACAAATGCAAGTGAGTATTTACAATTATTATCTCCATGTTACAGATGAGAAATTGAGGCAGAGAGAGATTAAATAATTCTCCAAGCCAGACAGCTTGTAATGTAGGAGAGTCATTTTGTCCAAACCATCAGACTCCATTTTCTGTGCTTGTAGCCACCAAGTTATACCAGTGCCTCACTTCCAAGCAAGTATTTCAGGCTTCCCTAAACTTATTCCTGGTAATTTTTCCCTAGATGGTTAGCAGGGCCTGCTTTTTAAAATATAAACAATAGTAGGCTGTTAAAATAGCTATATGTAATAGATCATTTTCTGCCATTCTATAAGGTCTTGTTTCTTTTTCTTTTTCTTTTTTTTTTTTTTTGAGACAAAGTTTCAGTCTTGTTGCCCAGGCTGGAGTGCAGTAGCGTGATCTCAGCTCACTGCAATCTCTGCTTCCCAGGTTCAAGCTATTCTCCTGCCTCAGCCTCCCAAGTAGCTGAGATTACAGGCATGCACCACTACACCTGGCTAATTTTGTATTTTTAGTAGAGACAGGGTTTTTCCATGTTGGTCAAGCTGGTCTTGAACTCCTGACCTCAGGTAATCCGCCCACCTCAGCATCCAAAATTGCTGGGATTACAGGCATGAGCCACCACACCCGGCCTAGTTCCTGTTTCTTATGAAGCATGAGTTAAACTCACATTATACGTGACTGCAACCGTGAAACTTCCTACATCCATTTGGATCTCATCTAAATTAAACAATAAAATAAAATTAAGATTATGCCTAAATATATGTCTCCCTTTGGCCATAACTACTAGGCCTCTCAGCTAAGATTTGTTATTGTGCAATTGAAATAGCATCCTTTAACTATGGTCTTCCATATGATCTCATTCTCATCCTTCATTTTTGCCTTATCTGCTCAAAATTAGGTTAATCATTTTCAATTTTGTGCATTTGTGCTTTAAAAAATGTTTAGTGGCCTCAAATCTCCTTTGAAAATGGAAAACATATATCTGAATATATGGAAGTGAAAATGTGTTACAATTAAACATTATAGGGTCCTACTATCATGTTGATTTTAATCCCAAAATGTACAACTGGTCCTTTTATAACCAATCAATGACATTTGATTTAATGGCTCTAAAAACATGACTAGTCCCTAACAACAGTAGCCAAAATTTATTTAGCCCTTTATTTGTATTGACCTAAGTACTTTACATATATTTTTTCATTCTCCTGACAGCTATATGAAATAGATATTATTATCGTCTCCATTTTGCAGATGAAGTAGTCAGGCTCGAGATGAACTTGTCCAAAGTCACAGTGCTAGTAAGTGATGAAGTTGGGCTGCAACCCAGGAATTTATCTAACTTGACCTGTTAACCACTACTCTGTATCAGCACCATCCAAATGAGCTTTCTCCGGTGATAGAAGTGGGCTATAAAACGGAACTGAATTTTTAATTTAAATTGACTTTAATTAGTTCATATGTAAATAGCTGTACATGGCTAATAGTGACCACACTGGACCTATACTGCCTCATGTTGCTATGTTTCACGTATTTTACAAAAACATATAAACTCAACCTGTTTCCACTTCTACTTGCAAAACGGTTAAAATCTTTCATCCGATTCTCAACAAAATAATGTTAACAAGCACAGGGAGAAAAAGTGTTATATGGTTTTGAAATCGTATCATGCCGATAAACCTAACAGAACAGAGGGAACACATTGGCAAATCATTACTTCCCAATTTTATCTTTTTTTTCACACATGAAACCTATTTCCAACCTGGTTTCTCCCTTTCCAGCTGATCTGTTGATCCCTTTTTGAAGAAGGGTTGATGACACAATAGTGAAGCAAGATTCCTTATGTGTTCACCAGCAGACAGCTACCACTGCCCCTGTGGCACCTCCACTCATGCCCATTTCCTTCCTTCCACATCACTTTCAGTGTTAAACTCTGTGACTGGGGAAAGGCTCACAGCAAATAAATGCAAAGGAGTGTCGCTTCCAGCTTCCCAACCTTCCCATTATAAATAGCCCAAGCAACACTCAGTTCCTCATAACCTCAACAACAGATAAAACAACTAACATCTGCCGAGCAGTTTGTTTTCGTCCAGCACTTTTACAAGATAAACCATTTGAAATTCAAGAAATCCTGCAATCTGGAGGCCACATACGCTTAACTACACTTTATGAAAAGGAAGTTAAACTCGGAAATTTCACTTGCTCAATTTTACAGAAGTACTATTTCACATAGTAAATTCACCAATAAAGATTTGAGGGACTTTGGCTTTATTTTGTTTTTTTCGTGTGTGTTTCATTTTGACCGCTACTTATACTAAATCATCCTGTGTGCTCAGAGGTCAGACTGCTTGGGTTTGATTGTCGTTGTCACTATTTAGCTGTGTGATCTAGGGCATATTAATTAATCACTCTGTGCTTCTGTTTTCTCATCTTTAAAAAGGAAATAATATTGTTCCTTCTTTTAGGATTGCTGAAAAAAAGACTACTTCAAACAGTATTTGGCATGGTAGCAAATGTTCAATAAATATTGGATGTTATTACTGTCGTCATTCTTTTTGAGATGAGAGTTTCGCTCTGTTGCCCAGGCTGGAGTGCAGTGTCGGGATCTCGGCTCACTGCAACCTCCACCTCCCGGGTTCAAGCGATTCTTGTGCCTCAGCCTCCTAAGTAGCTGATCAGCTAATTTTTGTATTTTTTGTAGAGATGGGGTTTCACCATGTCGGCCAGGCTGGTCTTGAACTCCTGACCTTAAGTGATCTGCCAGCTTAGGCCTCCCAAAGTGCTGGGATTACAGGTGTAAGCCACCACGCCCGGCCTTATGTTATTCTTATTGATCAGTCTCACTCCTTATTTCAGTACTGCCTGTACTTCCTAGGTTAGTAAATAAAGCATATTTTGCTGTGCATTGTAAATGAGCTATCATGTGTGTATGGCTTCTTCCTGTGACTTTTTTTCAGGCCGGGGCTCGGTTTCGTATTTCTCTCTCTGTCTCTCGTCTGACGCACAAAACTTAGCAGAAAGCGGCACGTGGGATATAACTATCGATTACATACAAACCGAAGTTAAACGTGTCTCTCCAATGTAACAGTTTTTTATCAATGGGACTTTCCCTAGCCACTGGATAACAGGAAATGTGGTCACAATAGCTGTGAAGTAAAACCTCTAAGGACCCCAAGGAAGCTCTTCTCCTTGGAGACTTTAGGACATTCACTCATCTGGGCCTCAAAAGATTGTGGGGAGAATGACATTCTTTTTCCTAGACAACCTAAAATGCTGATGTCAGGTCTGTACAAAAGAAAAGAAAACCTACTTCATTTAGTGTTAGTTAAAATGAAGAAACTGGTACAGATTGAGTCCCTAATCAGAAAATTTGAAATTCGAAATCCTCCAAAATCAGAACCTTTTTTTTTCGGGTTCATGCCGTTCTCCTGCCTCAGTCTCCTGAGTAGCTGGGACTACAGGTGCCCGCCACCACGCTTGGCTAATTTTTTTGTATTTTTAGTAGAGATGTGGTTTCACCCTGTTAGCCAAGATGGTCTCGATATCCTGACCTCGTGATCCACACGCCTCTGCCTCCCAAACTGCTGGGATTACAGGTGTGAGCCACCGTGCCTGGCCCCAAATCGGAACCTTTTTGAGCGCCGACATAGTGGTCAAAGAAAATGCTCTTTGGAGCAGTTCCGATTTGGGGTTTTCAGATAAGGGATACTGAGCCGGTAATCACAATGCAAATATTCCAAAATCCAAAACAAAATCCCAAATCGGAAACATTTCTGGTTCCAAGAACTTCGGATAAGGAATTGAAAAAAACGAGGACTAGAAGGAGTACAGGGCAGTAGCAATTGGTAAAGAAGAAAAAAAAAAACAGTATTTTTGTGGTGAAATGTTTACAATGTGGAAGCTTCTTTCAGAAGTCAATGTCTCTCTAGACATAAAATTTCTTGGTAAGATGCTACTACTTAAGATTCACTTTGTACATATTCATTGTCAAGATAATGACAATGAATATGGAATGTCTGCAAAGAAGAAAGAATCCAAAAGTTACATATTTAAATGAAAGTATGCTTCTGGGAGGGAAGTTACAGAGGTGATCAAGAGGCTTAAAAAAATAAGCATGGTAAGTATTTTTAAAGAAATTTTAAATAAGCATGATTTTATTTCTTCTAGACTAACTGTGCCTTTTCAGAATTCTACTCATGAATGAATAATGTGAAAATAGTTATTACGTTTCAAAGGATGCATTTATCTATGAAAGTGTTAAGATAAAGTCATCTACTCAGAGCTAAAGTTTAGGCTAATTAAAACATATAAATTACTTGTCTTCTGACCTAAAGGAGAGACGCTCAGGCTGGTATGAGCACAAGCTATGATCTCAGCAGGGGAATTATGATTATAAATGGAATGGAGCTTCAGATATTACAGGAATGCACATGTCAAAATATTTGGGGCTATAACTATAGATAGAATCAATATAACAGATACATGCATCATTCTTCCCCTTAATTTTTCTATTAAGTTGAACTTAGAATACCTCAAGCAATAATTATTTCATGCCAAAATTACAGTAAAATTTGCATTAATTGCTAAAGCATAGTTTTATTTAAAGAAATATTCTACTTTACTGAAATTTTGTTATTTGCTCGAGTAATGCATTTTCTAGTTTTCTGGGATTACATCTCCATTCCTATTCAAGTCATGCACCAGAAACTAATTTTGTTAGCATCATTGCAAAAAATCTTTCCCTCCATACTCAAGAGCAATCTAAGTAGAGTCTATAACTCTACCAAGCTTATTTATGCCAATTTAATTTAAAAACTGGTCTACATTAAATATACTGGAGGCTTGTGAATGGTGCAGTGAAACTGCTGGGCTATTAAATGCTATTAAATTGTGCGTGTTGCTGCAAATAGGAACAATGAGTCTGCTGTGAAGCTGTGTGAACACGCACTGCTGGTGAAACCATGGTGCCTGAGTGCTTATCATTTTATCCCTTTGAAAGGCTAATATACCCCCAGAATTACATTTTTACTCAAATCAATATAAGGATCACTCGACATTTTTGGCTAATATTTTCCAAGTGTGTGCATTTATAAGCATGTTGAGGATTCCCAATTAGGTGAAAAAATTCAGGTTGACAGAGTTTGTAGGGATGGGGGAGCAATTGTTATCTATGGTTGTTTAAAATAGCAAAGCAGCTTGCTTTAAATATTAAAAGAAGCTACATTCTATAACATTGGCTCAGCGTATTTGATCCATTATTATTAGGAGTTTATAATTAGTTTAAATAGTACAGTCCAAAAAACGCTTTTGTTGTTTTGTTCTTGTTTGCAATTGGTTAATAGGACTTCAATATTATACCTGTTAAGAAAATAATTACAGTGTTGAACATAGAAGTAGGGGTAAATAATTTTGTTCCCAACAACAAATATGAACATATTGAACTTTTCCTTTAATTTATGTAAATATTCTCAACAATAAAAATAACATCAAAAGGAACTGTTCCAAACAGCTTCTACATAATCAGAGTTTTGTTCATTCTTTCTTCACTACACGATTTAATGACTAGGTTAGTAGATGTGCTTTTTTAACTTCTTTTTAAAATATAAATCAATGCTTATAAATGAGTGTGTCAACCGTGTTTTAGTGAATACAAGTTAATGATTCCTTATGTATTTGAATGTATGTACGTGTGTGTGTGGGTATGATGGTCATCAAACACATTAGATGTGTAGCTGTATATAGAAACACAAACATATACTTTAAAAAAATTTTCACTCTGATTTAGTGAAAGCACTCCTCAGATACATGAGTGCAATTTTAAGTTGATTTTATGTGCTCTTGTTAATCTTATTTATGTATATATAAGCATGTGTTTAATGTTTTATTATGAAAATTTTTAACTAATATTTATTTAACCAGGTTTAAAATATATTCTGAAGATAACTTTCAGCACTCATACCTACAAAATGCACAAAATCTGCTTATTATTTTATGTATTGGGAATCAAATTATACTACATGACTTTACCTAATATTTTTTAATTAGGGTACATGAGTCAAGCCATGGACTATTTTATGAACTTTTTTTTGTCCGCAGGTTTTTGTTACAGATGATTGCATATGTAGCCCAAATGTCCTTACTGTAATCATTGAAAAGAAGAGCTTATATTGGATTTAAATACATATTAGACATAAATTTGTATTATCAACATTCTTTTGCCCACACTGCCGCCACTTACATTCCTAGTTTCCCCGTTTAATTAATATACTTTTGATGCTTCACCATCTATATAACAGGGTGTATTGGTGTGTACACATAGACTCTAAACTGTATAAAATATGCCATCACAGCATAAAGAATAGTTTACACTAAAAACAATAGTAATAGCTCCTCCATTTTGTCACCATTTTACTAGCTGTAAGAGCCACCATTTAGGTTATTTTCTGGTTTCAAACTTTGTTTTACTATGTTTTACATAGATGGAACTTGTGTTGTTTCTTTTTCTGTCCTTTTCTTCTCTTTTCTTTGTGTCACATGTTTTGTAGGAGAGAAGGAAAGAAGAAAGGCAAGGAGAATTGAGGAATAGAGGGAAAAAATAAGAGAGAAGATAATAAAGAAAGCGATGAATGGGTCCTACCATTTAATTGACCTCATACTTATTTTAACCTTTTTCTCTTTTCCCCATAAACAACAAATTTCCTAATTCTTACATAATGCTAGCTAAATACTAAGGACATAGAAAATAATTTTCCAGGATAGCAGATCTTTTAAACTGCCTATTTTGGTGAAATATAGCAATCTATTCAAAACTCAACTTATTTGTTGTGTTTAAGATATACCTTGTAATTGAAGGCCAATACGTTCAGATATAAACTAGATGTCTGTGTATATATTTCAGACTTTCCTATAGCGAGAGTAACTTTGTTCCATATATAAACTGTTTTTGAATATGAAAAAAGTTCTTCTAGCTTTGACACCTACTAACCTTATTTTCTAAACGTTAAAATTGACAGCAAAACCCTACTACTGATTTCCATAATCCTGTAAAATGTTTGCCCTCTTCAGCCTTCTCAATTGCAAAGCTATTCCAGATGGGACCATGAAATTTTTGCAGCAAGTCCTACAGCACATAATTTTGTTCAATATAGCTATTATGCCACACACAGCTGTATACTGCCACATAAATGAGCATATATGCAATAGAATTCTTGCATTATAAGTTTTATAAAACTAAAATTGAGATTAAACAGCCATAAACAATAATTTATTTGAAACATCAACATGTTTGTTGCTCTAGGGTTATACAAATGTTGCCATTCCTTATCCAAGAGAAAACGTTTGTCATTTAATATTCGGTATTAACACAAATGTTTTCCTCGGAATTATAATCTAAATTAGGTGCTTTAAAATACATCAATATATCATTAACTTCTTACTTTAACACATTAGATCTATAGAAGAATCAATTCTCCCTAACAATGGTGAGAGAACCTAATCACTCTCTAAATTTACTTTTAATTAGCATCATCTGCATTAATTGGTGTAGCTGATAGCAAAACATTACAGTGCATTGCTATTTTAAATTTAAAATGTAATGTATCGTTTGGTCCCGTGTCTTTACAAAAGGCCCTTGCTCATTTTTCTGCACTCCCTTAGTAACTATTTTTAGATATATTGCCGAATAATCTTCTCCAGGAAACTATATGAGGCTGTATTAAGGATGCTCTATTCAAATTAATTTTCAGGCGACAATTTGGTCTTTATTTCCCCTGCATATTTGTGAATGTCCTGAGAAATAGTTTTCTCTCTCCTTCATCCTCTTCTCCACCAAATTTTTGGATAAATCAAAGGAAATTTTGTGTAATCAACAAATAGCCAAGAAGGATGTGCCTACCATCTATTAAGTGTTTCCTGTTGACTATGCTATGTTTTCACACACTTATTATTTTCTCACAATAATTATGCTCACAGGCAACATTTTCATTGTCCTGATAAGGAGGGGAAACAAAAAACAAAAGACTAACAAAACACCTGGGTCTCTAAGTAGTTAACTAGATCTCAAGAAGTGACTTTCCAAAGGTAACACAATTAGTATTCACGGCCAGGTAGGGTTATAGATGTTATAGGTCACAGCCAGAGTTCAGGTCCTCTGACCCCTAAGTCCAAGGCTCTTTCTGCTCCATCACATATTCTAATGGCGTCCCACCCTCTATCCAGGTACCTTCACTGTAAAGGAAAGCTACAAACATTAATAACAGACTCTCCAGTGCAATGAAGACCAAAAATTGGTTTAATCAAGACCAATTCCTGACATTTAATTCTAGACTTATTATTTTGTTTCCATTCCAATGACAGCTTCCTTTCCAATTGCATATTTTCAAAAGGACCCTTTTGGCCTAACCTAACTCTTCTTTCATATATCTTATCTCATGTAATGACGTCCCTCTCCACTTTCTACGATAGAAATTCTAGCTGTTCCTGATTATTCTACCTTCCTTATCCCCAAATCCTATCAATTCTTCAATTCTGAGGGTTCTGCTCTGAAAATACATCTCTAAGACTGTTGTCTTCAAATATTAGTATGCCTCAGATTCACGTGAGGACTTGTGAAAACATGGTTGCTGGACCACACCCTCAAAGTTTCTGATTCAATTGTTCTGGGATACGCCCCATAAAAATTGGCATTTTTGGCCAGGTGATGTCAATTCTTCTGATCTGAGAACCAGATTTTGAGAAAAACCATTCCAGGAGATCCTACCACTTTTTGCCCACATGTACTGCATTATATTCTCATCTATATCTCAGTCAGACAACTACAAAAAAACACCAGCTGGGTATTTCAGTCACTACCCTTCCTCCCTCCATTCCTCAACTTATCTTGTACCATTTTAATAAGTACAAACAGAAATCTGAGAAAGTTATCGAATAACTCATGAATCTCTTCAATGGCATTCCACTCTCCAGAGATCAAGATGATCACCTTAACATTCTGGTTTTCATCTACCATGATCTACTGTTGGTTCTGGCTGTTTCTCTTGCACAAAGTTTCACCTTCATCTTAGTCTGGCCAACTCTTCTGTCTTATTTAATAAATGAGCACATGGGCAATAGAACTCTTGTAATATAAGTTTTATAAAACTAAAACTCTATTTCAAAAGTCATATTCTTTGTGAAATATGCTCAAGCTTCCCCTGGCAGAGTTTGTAACTTCTTACTTTGATTCCCTCTTTTGCTTAGAAATAGCTCAATTGAACTGCTCATTATATTTAATTCAATTAACACTTGGTTCCTTTAGAGGCTTATTTTTATTTGCTGAAGCCTCCACACACACAAACACACACACAAAATCAACAACTTTATATATTGGGTACTTTATGATTATTTCCTTCTGCCATCCCTCAATAAAAATAAAGAGAAAAAAAGATAATTTGTTTGGCCTGATGACTTCCCTTTATTAAACGTTCTTTTAAAATGTCTTGATTACAAATATATCATTCAGCATATATTATCACCTCCAACACGCTATGCTAATGCCAAACTGTACTAAAGAAAGAGTTCAACATTGTCTGCATGATTTTAGGAAAAAAAATTGTGTAGGCATGTGTCTCTGAGACACAAATGTCTAAATCAACACACATTTATTTCTGTGTAATTTAAATCACCATCTTTAAATATATACAGAAATTGCCTTGATCAACACCTCATGATATGGTCTGTCCTCATCCTCAGTTTTAACGATTTTACTTGCTGCATGAAAATTCAAAATTTACTACCATCCACATTTATATTTTCTAAATTATATAGTCATAGGGTAAATTCTAAAGCTATTAAAACACAATCTTCAATCCTAAAAGCATTTTAAATTCTAACAAAAATAACATCCAACTGGAGGTTGAAATTACCATGGACTAATTTTTATAGCCTTTTCCTTTCCTGCCATATCACATGTTATTATTAATAGTTCTATACTTTCTAAAATAACCATTTATAGAATTTAAAAGAATGTCATAGATTACAGAATTATAAATACATTTATTTTGTTTTCCTCAACCACTTTATTATATCGCTCTTTAGCTGGTAAATTTTCCCATAAAGATCACCTATGTGGAAATAATGCAAAGCTTTCAGAAATAGTACACTGATGTAAAACAAAAAAAAAAAAGAAAAGAAGGAAAACATTCAGCTTGTGTTTAAATCACCATGTTTAGGGTTCACTGATTTTACAGTTATACCTCTTGGCAATTAGTATCCAATTTAATGTTGTCCAATAAACAGAGTAAATAGGCAGTTTTCCTAAGTCTAGTTAAATCATTGTTATTACTGAAAGCAAGAAAACAATTTAATCATTGCAATGCAGAGTATAATATGTTAAAAGACGTGTTTTACACCATGGATTATTAGCTTTGAAAAAGTATTTGAGTCTTTTTTGTGTAAAAGAAAAAACTCAATGGCCAAATTCTGACTCCTAAGCACTGTTCTCATCAATTGTCTTATAATTAAACCTAGTTATTCCTCAGTATTATAAAAACAATGGTGAAATATGTCTAATCAACTATACTATAAAAATAAAACCAAGTTTCCCCAGTGTCTGACAGGGTAAAAAGATGTTAGTGAATGTCTGCCACATTTCTACAGTTTCTGAAGGAACCCACTTTTCAACTATCAGTAGCATGTCCCAAGATGATCTCGAAAGGTCTGAGCAGGTGTGCTAAACCAACAAAGTCTCTCGGAGGGGAAGAAAAGTCATTTTCCTCTTTCCTTTGTTTGGCTTTGTCTCAAAGCCCTTTTTTCTTCATGAAAGACCTACTGATTCTATCCATGCTGGAAAATGTCCTCGCGCATTGGAATCACTATCCTTTCTTTATGGTATAGCTGCTGTTACAGTTATTAGTCTACCTGAGGAACATTGCAAACAATTCCAAACTCTGAGGGGTTTTGCCCTAGTTAGAATGACCATATTAAAATGGATAACTTCATTTGTTCATTCAGCATGTGTTGGCCTTTGGCTATGACTATTTGGGTGAGATAGTCAGCATGTGTTAGACGATAAGGAAAATTAGTATCAAAAGGGAAACAAAGGAAAAAGTCTAAAGAAAGGCACTAAGGTTTTGTGAAAGGGCGAAGACAAGACAGAGATAGAAAGAAGACACATGGATTTTTATATATTTAATTCGATGTGAATATAAATATATGTATAAACATTGAAGAGGCACAATAATGGCCACCAAAGAGGTGCATGTCCTGATCCCAGGAACCTGTGAATACATTAGGTTACATGGCATGGGGTGGAGGATCAAAGTGGCTGATCACCTGACTTTCAAATGGGGAGATTATCCTGGATAATCCCGGTGGACTCAATGTAATCAAAGGGTCCTTGCACGAGAAGATGGAGGCAGGGAGGGAGCCCTGGGGAGATTCAGTGTTAGAAGTATAAGGCTCAATATGGCTTTGAAGACAGAAAAATGGGGCCACTAGCAAAGGAATGTGGGAGGGCAGCCTTCAGAAGCTGAAAAAGGCAAGAAAAGGGATTCTCTCCATTAGAGTCTCCAGAAGGAACGCAGCCTTACTGACACCTTGATTCTAGTTCAGTGAGATACACTTTGGACTTCCGAACTCCAGAACTGTAAGATAATAAATGTGCTGTTTTAAGCCACTAAGTTTGTGGTAATGTGTACAGTGGAAATAGGAAATAAACACACCCTTCCTCGTTCATCTTTTTTTTTTTTTCCTTTGGGAGGGAGTCTCGCTCTGTCGCCCAGGCTGGAGTGCAGTGGCACGATCTCGACTCACTGCAAGCTCCACCTCTCGGGTTCACACCAGTCTCCTGCGTGAGCCTCCCGAGTAGCTGGGACTACAGGCGCCCGCCACCACGCCCAGCTAATTTTTTGTATTTTTAGTAGAGACAGGGTTTCACCGTGTTAGCCAGGATGGATCTCCTGACCTCATGATCCTCCTGCCTCTGCCTCCCAAAGTGCTGGGATTACAGGCATGAGCCACCGTGCTGGGCCGTCATTCATCTTTAAATTGCTGTTTTTCTTATTTGTATAAACTGTCAGCACCAATGTCGACCAATAGAAGAAATATAATGTAAATCCCACATAAGAACAACAAACATAATTTAAAATGCCCTTTAAGCCATGTTTAAAAAATTTAAAATGATATTAATTCTAAGAATGTCTTTTGTTCAACCTAATATATCCAAATATTGTGTCAATATGTAATCAATAAAAAATTATACATGAGATATTTAATATTCCTTTTATTTCTACTAAATCTTCTAAATCTGGTGTGCTTGTAATACTGACCACACATCTCAATTTTGACTAGCCACATTTCAACTGCTTAATTGTCATGATTGGCTAACAATTGCTACATTAAACAGCCCAGATTTTATATAGAGATATTTTAGCTAACACCCAAAAGCCAATTTGGGTGATAATTTTGAATATACCTATATTAGAAAACTATAAGTTTAATATTGTATCTTTTTTAATAAAGGATAGTGATTTTTTATACATTTTCAAAGTTTATATGCTTTGACTTTTACCAAAACATTGAATAAATAGTCTAAACCTGAACACAGAAACCTAAATGTTAATAGGACCATCTCAACATATGAAGTAATTTCAAATGACTAAGTAGAAGTTTGAAGTATTTACATATCAACAATGCCTTCAGGAAGGCATATTAGAAAGCTGATTTTCAAATTCTATGCAAACTTGGTTTTTATCACCTATCTTTTCAAATTTGAGTTTCTGCTTACTCTATTTGGACTCTGATTTTTGTGGTACAGAACGAAGATAAAATGAATTTGCTTTTTTTCATCTACTTCTGAATGGCTGCTTATTTTGATCAAAGCACAGGTACAACAAAGCTGTCATGGGTCATCGTGTCAGTTCAGAGATACTGAACAGAAATAGTCAGAGTATTGGGGTGAGAATACAGGTATTTCAGGGCATCCTTTCCAATGGCTGGCTAAATTCTACAGCTTTCCATTTCTTATACTTTGAGATAATTTACATAAAGGCAAAAATGCATAATTTATTCTTAATGTAATTTTATAAAGACATTTAACAAAGATAGAACACATAATTGTAGATTATAAGAATCAATAATGTTTCTGAAGGTTTTTATTCCAACCTAAGCAGTTAGTAGGATGCCCACACCACTATTATACTTATTTGTCTACATAAAATAACTGTATTGATATTTTGAAATGTTTACTGATAATACAGTCTTTTTCACTGCCCATGTTAATATTCTATTCAACTAGTTACCAACTTAGCATTTTTTTCCCTTTCTGGTCTCCAGACTTACACATTTTGGGGATGTTATGAACTGTGAATTTATACCCACACAGACACACTCTCTCTTCTAAACATTTAGTGGGCATTGCAGGTTTTAAATAAAATTCATTACAATCTTCATATAATTTACAGTTGAATAAATGTTCCAACTCTCAGAGTTTTTTTTAGGATTATCACTATTTGGCCAAAAAAAAAAATCTAAATTGAAGATGGTCTTCAAATCTCTTAAAGTATTTTTTCCTATAAAAATAATAAAAAATAAAACTTCTACATTTTTTTTCTTGTGTACTGGCTTTAGTTCACTTTTTCTTGTAAAGCAGTATCAAAACCTAAAATGACAGCGTATCTAATGCCCTGATATGGCAATGCTGTTTTTTGACAGTTACCTAATACTTACATTAGGAATGGGTTTTCCCTACAATTAACGAAGTATCACACTTTATGAACCATGTTATTTATCATTATTATCATTTTCATAGCATCTTGCTGCTTTGAAAGCTCCTTCTGTTTATGTTTTAACTCAGTCTCGATTATGGTTTCATTAGACGTATGGAGCATGGCGACATCTTGGAAAGGTAAAGCATCATGACCAGACTTGAATGTATCTGAACACCTTATTTCTTCAATTTACTTCAAAAAATTGTCAAGCACAGTATCTACCCATGTGGGATCACATACATGGGAAATGTAGAAACTAGCATTGGAAGAGCCATAGGTAGGCATATACCTTAGCTCCCCCAACTTTACACACAGCACATGTGAGATGAAGGAAACATCTATAGAAGTTCTGAGTGGCAGTTTGCTCTCTGAGGGTTGTCTATCAAAAACGAATGGGACAGGCCGGGCACGGTGGCTCACACCTGTAATCCTAGCACTTTGGGAGGCCAAGACGGGCAGATCACCTGAGGTGAGGAGTTCGAGACCAGCCTGGCCAACCTGATGAAACCCCATCTCTACTGAAAATACAAAAATTAGCCAGGCATGGTGGTGGGCACCTGTAATCCCAGCTACTCAGGAGGCTGAGGCAGGAGAATCACTTGAACCCAGGAGGCGGAAGTTGCAGTGAGCCAAGATCATGCCATTGCACTCCAGCCTTGGCGACAGAGCAAGACTCCGTCAAAAAAAAAAAAAAAAAAAAAAAAAGAATGGGACAGTAGTCCTCCTTGGCCATTGACATTAGCAACAGTAGTTGGGAGCAAGGAGTGAAGAGCTTGTTATATGTATTTTATGTATTTTAGCATTCATCTTTTTATTTTTTCTGTCTCTTCTGGTAACATCAGCTCCTTCTCCTATGGCTAACTCTTGTGATTTATAAGATGATTTACGAGGTCTATTCCCTAAGCATGGCTACATTAAAGAAATTAGCCCCATCTGAAAGGCAAAGGGGACATGGCTTGACAATAGCAAAAGTAAAAACTGGAAGCTCAAGAGGAAGCATCATTACATTACATTTATTTCTTCTTCCTTGGGACAATTCTTCAAACACTTGAAAATACTACCATTTCCCCCTAACGGTATAAGGTTGTTGTTATACTGAGGCACCCTGTAAGATCATCTCATATCTTTGTGTGGCCAGTGGAGGAAGAAGTGCTGAAACCCAGTGGCACTGTTGATATTCAGCTGGATTGGGAATTATCCATTGTGAGCCACCATAAAGAATAAAAGTTTCCTTAGAGGACATGTTGCATCATATGACCGTTATGCAACATTAAAAATAAGACTACCTGACATGCTGATATTTACTTAACAAACACTATAAGCCAAGCACAATGCTCCCTGCTTTATATTACTAGTTCATTTATCTTCAACACAATTCTACCATGTACAAAGCATTATGATCCCTGTTTTTTGATAAGGAAACTGAGGCCTCAGAAGGCTTCATTATTTGCCCAAAGTCATTCACCTAGTCACAGAATTAGGACTTGATCATTCATCTGTTTGATTTCAAAGACATGGCTCTACTCACCACACAGAATAAGTTTTAAGTGCTGTTCCATGCCAAATAATTGCATGAAGTCTTTTCAAATATTTAGTAAAATTCTTCTAATAAAGAAAACTTGTGTGTATATGTGTGCTTATATATATGTAAATACTGTCTTATATCTATTTAATACATAAATATATACATTTTATGTAAATCTTAATTTTAAGCAATACTTTAATTATTTTCTGTGAGGGAGGAGGCTAAAACCACAGGAAGCCAAGAAAAATAATCTAGAATTACCAAAAGAAATACTGATTCTCCAAAAGAACGATGACCAGTTTTATTCTTTGGTGTCAATTTCAAATACTAAATTAAAAACATTTAACCTTTGCCTTTTAAAGTTAAATGAGAACCCGAGGATCTAAATCTGCACTGTCCCATATGATAACTACTAGCCAAATGTGGCTATTTAAATGTAAATTAAGATTAAATAAAATATTAAAAAATCAGTTCCTCAGTCTCGAGAGTGCTGATCTAAATGAAACTAAGGGCTAAGTGCTGATTTTATCAGGGATATCCCTCTTTAACTCTTTTCTTCTTGTCTAGCCTCTGTCCTCTTTCCTCCCTCTCACAACAGTGTACTTTGGAGGAAGATGAACTGTTTGTCATTTTCACATTATCTTTCATAGGATCCAGTGGGAATGTTGTCCATTTAGGTAAAAATGATGGCTGGCAAAACGAAAACTGACCTTCTGACTTGGGGGAGGAGTGAGGTTCAGCCAATGGCATAATTTAGCAGACATCATTTTCAAACTCACAACATTTCCATGGTGACTTGAGTCTTGATTGCTTCCAGATTATATTGGAAGAGAACAAGTTTTAAAAATAGATGGCTTTTTGAAAAACATAACATCTAGATGGAAAGAACCCGGTGTATCGTGAAAAACAGATGAAGAAGTGGACAAAGCAGTGAGCATTTACATCTATAGAATCCCCTTTTCTAAAGTGAAGAAAATGGAATACTTCTCTTCCTTGCTATACCTGACCTCAATTTTCTTTCATTATATATGTAAAGAATTATAGATAATTATTTTATACCTACTATAAAAAAGAGGATGGATTATTATTCTTAACAATATGCATAAATAACTTATAAAAAAGTTTGCATTTTAAAAATGGGAAGTTGAGCAAGATGGTAATTTGGATTGTGAGGCCATTAAGCAGAAGTGGGATCATATAATGCTGTGCCCACTTTTAGCTCTTGAAAATGGTTTCAATGATGAAGGCTAATATCATTGACATCAATATTTTTAATAGCATTAATGATTTTCATAATCACAAAAGTATTCCCTAACTCTAGCAAGTCTGTGGGATTATAGGAGTGGTTTGCCAAAGCCGATTTAGTAGCTACTTAATAAGTGTTTACCCAAGGTAGATTGATTTATATTCTTCTTAAACATTGTACCATATATAAAAGAAAACATCTGTAAACCAAAGTGACTATTTTGAAAAAGAAAACAAAAGCACTGGATAGAAAGGGTAAGAATTCTTTCTTTTTCTATCACACATGGAATTTACAGGTATTAATGCAAAATCATAGTAAGTAGCATTCTGGAAGAGAATTCTCTATCATTCAAGTTGCTATCATGCTGAAAACATTTCTATAGTGTATATATTCTATATATATTGTGTATATATAGTGTGTGTCTATATAGTCTGTGTACATACATATATAGGTAGATACATAGACAGATATATGCACATTGTTCAATTTCTTTGAGGCTATCATTGCATGTTTTTTTTTCCTCTTTAGGCACAAAATTTTTAAATTTTATAAAGAAAAATGTAGAATAATGCTGAATGCTTGCTCTTATTTGACTATATTATATAAAAATTATACTATAATCATAAAGAGAATCTGCCAAATAGAACTCAATATTTATTAGTGTAATAAATTTTGTATATGGTCCTTCAGTCTATTAGTCTGTATTTGTCAACATTCTAACCTGATTAACTTCTGCATTCTATTTCCAGGTACCACATATATTATCAGGAACTCTTTGAAAAGTCAATGGCATGTGAATAAATTCTAATACATTTTTCTAGACATAGTTTGAGGCAAAACTTTTGACAATTTGATACATAAAGTAATGATTAATTGATATTTCTCAATCTCTCTCCCTCTCTCTTTTCACTGAAATTTATACATTTTTTGGTGGGGAAGGGTGTCAGATAATCAGTGATATGTTGGAAATATACAACATAACCCCTATTCAATCATTAGCTACTCCTCTGTTTCACTTCCTTAGCTTGGTTATGAATCTCTAACTCATTGAGTGTTAGACCAGTGACCTCCAAAACATTGCCTAAAAGTAGGCAAAAGGAGAGGTTAGAGCTCACAAGGGTTCTGTGCCTCTACTTTGTAAGTACTGCCCATTCTTTTAGTACCTGCAGTTCCTTGGAATGGTGCGGCACCTGTAAAAGGTTAATGAGCATAGAGACTTTCAGGCATAATGCAAATTACAGACACTACACAGACATTTCATCAAGAAACAGACAAGCAACATGCACGCTGCAGGCACACTACAGGTGGCCGATATTACTGCAGCTCCATCACTGGGATATCTTACAGATTATATAGCTATATGTACTAGTGAGATGTATATATTTGGAGAGATACCATTCATAAGTACTATTTAAAAAGAGAAAGAGAAAAAATTGTTTTTCAACAGGTTTTAGGAGTACCTATCTTAGCTTGTTTTGCAGTCAGATATTTACACCATTCTTGTGACAGATCATGAGAAATCTCTTCAACTTTATCAAATAAATCAAATAATCTAAGAAACAAGTTTCTGGAAAAAAAAAACTGTGATTTGATTCTGTCCAAAAAGTTTTGCATTCACAATTCAGGCACCTTGTCTTCACATAAAACATTTTTAATGCTAAAAATAAATTGTGGTCTAAATCATCTACAACAAATATTTTAAGTAGATTTGAAGTCTCTGACCTGTTAAAAAGGAAGGTGAGGACTTTTTGATGAACTTTCAATTAAAAAAGAGAAATCAAGCTGTCAGTTTTTCTAAAAATCTTGAATGATTTGCCTTCAAAATCACATTCATTGTTCTATAAGAATCATCAGGCATTAATGTACATGCATTAATACTACCATCATTGCACAGGGCCTGCAAAGAAAGAGTTCTTCCATTCCCAGTTTCATTTAAAAAATAATCTCTTGTTATTTTTGTAACACTAAACACTAATACAAAAGTAATCAAATTAGCATTAGCAGTTCATGTTGCAAACTTCAATTTGTATTGCTACAACATCAAAGTAAAAATATTTGCATATCAAAAGTAAAAGAGGTGGGATTTAAATTGATTTAGTGTCTTAAACAAAACTAACTCGGCCTTGATGATAACTTAAATGATAAATAGTTCACAAATATAGAAATTGAATATATTTATATTTCTTGTTTCAACAATCCAAGGCCTGTGTACTAAATGCTAATGAAATATGAATATTAGAAAAAATGGAATATGACAGTGCATATGGAAAATGTTGGGCTTCTCATAAACTGAGAATTCTGTTTAATTCAGACTATAGTGTTTACAACTGTTTATAACTAAGAGTATGTAGGTGACTATTCTGTCTACCCATCTATCTAACTAATATATTACAATATTCTGAGTCTAATTATTCTCAGTAATTCATCATACAGAAAAATGTAATGGAGTTGATACACTTGTGGGCAGAAACATGCCAAAATAATGTGTTTTCTGCAGTATGCATCCCTCATTTCCTATCACATGGTACTATCGTGCAGTTTCTGCCTACCATGATGTCTAACGTTTTCATATTCCTTTCTCACGTGGTGATTCAGATGGCCAAACTGAATAAAACACACAATTTTTACAAATGAGTATTTTTATGCAACTCATGTCTGTGTGCTTTCTAGGGAACAGCATGTTTTCACAGATGCAAATCTGGCCTTTAAAATAACTTATATTCTTGCCTTAGCTCAGTCTCATCTTGACAGTGACCTGGTGAGTGACCACCATTTGCAGTACAATACCCTCCCTAGAAATTAAATGTCCCCTAATATACTTCTAGGGTTCTTTCCTCCTTGGCACACACTCCTAAATTGCCCTAATAAGAAAAGTATTTCTTAGGTTTCATTAGTATGACTATGCACCAATATTTTATTTCGTTGTTTCATATTCCAACTAATATTTAAAAATAAAAATATTCTTATGGTACTATTATGTCTCAAAATATTTCCAAAAATATATCAGAAATAAATGTATTCACATTTATTTTAATTCTATATAGGCCCCTAGAAAAAAGAAAACTGATTTTTTTTGGAGATAAGTTCTCACTATGTTCCCCAGGCTGGACTAGAACTTCTGGATTCAAGCGTTCCTCCTGCCTCAGCCACCTGAGAAGCAGAGAATACAGGTGAGAAAAATACTATTATACAAGCCATTTTCATGATTTAAAATTATGTAAAATAATTCAAGAATTACTAATGGCAAAACTTCCCAGAGATACTATGAATAATATCCACCTCATTTTATAGCTATTAAATGAGGTTCATGGAGCCAACTTGACGTCTGTACTTAGAAGCTTTTGAGGCAGTCGCTGGGTGTCCTTACAAAAAAGACATACCAGTAATATGTAAATAAGAAAAAAAAAAGATTTTCAAGTAAAAACCTGGTATAAAATAGATATGGATTATTACTTTTTCCTAACCTTCTTACTTAGGTGATCTGTAAATTAATTACATGATATACTTGGATTAAGTTTTGTTTTTGTTGTTGTTTGTTTAATTTTAAGAAGATTTTGGAGTAGTGTAGAAGAATAATATGTATTAGCTTTCTCATCATAAAATCATAAAGGAATGGACTAGAAAAAGGACCAATTTCTCTAATTTATGATCTATGAATACTGTGATTTCCCTGTAGGTGTAAAATGTCACACTGTATTGTAGAATGTTATGCCCAAAGATAAAGATACTATCTTTCTTATTTTTTTTTGAGACGGAATCTCGCTCTGTCGTCAGGCTGGAGTGCAGTGGCGTGATCTCGGCTCACTGCAACCTCCGCCTCCCAGGTTCAAGTGATTCTTCTGCCTCAGCCTCCTGAGTAGCTGGGACTACAGGCGCCCACCACCACACTCAGCTAATTTTTGTATTTTTAGTAGAGACGGGATGTCACCATGTTGACCAGGATCGTCTCAATCTCTTGACTTCGTGATCCGCCCACCTCGGCCTCCCAAAGTGCTGGGATTACAGGCATGAGCCACCGCGACCGGCCAATAAAGACATTTTCAAACGGATTCTGATTATAATAAAACAGTTTTAAATTTCAGATAAGAAAAATCAAATTGTGCAAAGATCACCTTTGTCATTGTTCAACCATTTCTTCATAATGATATTATAAGGTCATTAGACTTTTCTTGGTGGGAGGAGGTGAAACCAGGATTATCTACACGTCTCTGACTGGTTTGGCTTTTCAGATTTGCTACAATATCTATATAATAGTGAATCATTTTATGCTTATGTAGAAATAGGTGGGTTTTTTCCTTGTTTGTTTGTTTTTTGCTTTTCTGTGTGCTTTTAAGAAAGGCACTCATAGCTACAAACCATCTTCATGGGAAATAATTATTCTCAGGAGAAAATAGACTAATTTTTTTTAAAAGACTAAAAATGACCTCTTGGGAAGAAAGGACAGACCTGAATATTAATGTCATCAGCAGTTATCATTTAGTAGGCAAGGAGAAATCAATTGCAGGCCAAAAGAAACTGTAAGTTAGATGTCTCAGACTCCATACTAGAAGGAAAATTTCAACTTTTAAAGAAGAATTCCATATGCAGATTAATTTTTCTTGGTTTTAGAAAGAATTGAAAATGCATATCTCAAGTCTTTTAACTATTTCAGGTAAAAATTATCCTGCTTTTCAAGGTGATTCTTACAAAAGACTAAGCTTTGAATTTAAAAAGTCACAATAATTATGATAGTCTTGGGGTGTAACACACCATTGTTGTTACAGGGTCAGAGGATGGTAGTGCATCTATTTTGTTGTTGTTATTGTTGTTATTTTAAATCTAAATAAACCAAAAGAGATAAAATTTGATGAAAAGACAATGGAATATTTAAAATTATCTAGCTCAAACCCTTCTTTTTGCCAATTAACACTGCAGCCCCAGAAACAATGGTTTACTCCGGGCCATACATCCCTGTGCAAAGCAAGGATTAAGTCATAGGTTTAAACGTTCAAAAATTGGAAAATGTGCGATGAGTTAGCTGAAGGTAGATCAACTACGTATTGATGGGCATCTACTTTATGATAAGTACTATGCTACATGCTTCATACAAATTTTTTCATTTCACTCTGTCACAGTTCAGGAGGTAAGAAATTTTGCTGAGTTTTCAAACTAGAATACTTAATGTCAAAAAGATTAAATAAATTGTCCAAGGTCACAAAATTAGTAAGTTGACTGCATAGTCACCACTGAAACCTAAGCCATTCTCTTTCTTAAGCCATCTTCTTTCCATTTTACTAGATGTTAAAGTATCTCAACTCAAGGCCTGTTCTATAACCAATCTAGCCTGGAATAACATTTGTTGAAAAAAAATGAAGGTAATAGTCTATAATGTTTCCCGAAAAGGAACCAAAATATAAATCTAATAAATAATTAGTAGATCTTCTGACTCAAAACAAAGACAAATGAAGTTTCTAAGCATGATGAAATATAAGGGCCGAGCATGGTGGCTCATGCCTGTAATCCCAGCACTTTGGGAGACCAAGGTGGGCAGATCACTTGAGGTCACAAGTTCGAGACCAGCCTGGCCAACATGGTGAAACTCCATCTTTACTAAAAATACAAAAATTAACTGGGTGTGGTGGCAGGCACCTGTAATCCCAGCTACTGGGCAGGAGAATCATTTGAACCCGCGAGGCGGAGGTTGCAGTGAGCGGAGGTCACGTCACTGCACTCCAGTCTGGGCGACGGAGCAAGACTCTGTCCAAAACAACAACAACAACAAAAAGATGAAATATAAAACAGTGCACAAATGTCCCCTTCTTTTTTTTTAATGGTATTACTAATCTAGCCTTTGCCCCAGAAAACAAATGTAACTAAAATTTCAGGGACATTTCTCTTTACACATATTTATGCTCATCTGTTGCTGGCTTTCTTTCTCTAAGATAAACATTTTATTTAACCTTCCTTTGCCACATTCTACTGGAATTACCTTTATTGCCCATGGTGGTCTCTTCTATATTTAACCTGGAAATTTCATTGTCATAGAAGCAGCAAACTGGCCACCTTTAGAGGTGACTCACAAGAACACACAAATTTTGGGAATTACATATTGGCAGGCAATTTGCTCCTGCATACAATTCTAAACCTTAAGTTTTACCCTTTCTTTGGGGCACCAGTCATCTTACAGTAACGATCACAGAATCACAGCCTTTAGAGTTAATTGAAAAGAACTATACTGTCAGTGAGTCCAACTTCCTTATGTTTATGTGTGAAGAAACTAAAGACCTGAGAAGTAAAATTGGCTGGGAGAAAACGTTCCCAAGGAACAGAAGATTCAAGACCAAATATAGGTTTCCTAATCCATTGCTCTTTCCATATGTTCTCACAATAAGCGTCGAACAAACACTCTGCTGACAAAGATTCCCAAATATTTAAGGATGAGAAATGAAGGCCAGGCCTTTATCCAAGAATATCACTTTGAAGTCTTTTCTGTTTCAGCAGTCTCTAGTTACGAGGCAAGATTTTATATAAAAACTAACCCTTGCATATGAACCCCTCCTCTGGGCCCACTTTTACCACCCCCAAAGAATAGCAAGGGAATTTTTTCTGTTTTACATATTTTTATTAATTAGTATGTTTGAATTTGGAATGTGTTTTACTAATTTCCTTAATCCTGCAACTCTGTGAACATGAACACAGTTGTTTCTTGCAATCAATCAATCTTAGTACTAGGGATACTAATGTCAGTAAAAAGGTCTCAGAATTTACTACAGAGAAGTGTGGAATGCTTTTTGTGAAATTCACACAAAGCCCTTTCTTCTACTCAGTGGTGTGGAGCACTATGACAGTACCCAGCAAGTATCAACAGACAAATGGAAATATACTCTTACAATGCTATTATTAGTATTTATAACAGCTCTAGTGCTCTTGATAAATGAAGCCACATTAATTAGTTTCAGGATCTTATTCTGACTTTGGCATATCCACTAGCACTTCTGAACATGCAATTAAAATATTTCAAAATGTCACTTATGTTTCCATTCTACAAGGAATGCATACTGATTATGGCCACTTGATTTGTACTAAGCCACATAGTTTTAGAAACAAAAATATGTTAACATTTTAGGGGTTAAGTAATCCCTCCAACACTATTTGAAATAAAGTGTGATGAAAAATAAAGCTATGAATGATCATGCAAATGTATAAGTATGCTCTTTTTCTGAATTTGAAATAGCTTTTTCTTTGAAATTCCGTAAGTTAAAGTTAGCTTTTTATTAAACAAATGGTATAGTTGATTTGAAAGTTAAATGCTGACCCGTGCAGTGACTTTAAAACAAACTAGTCCTCCACTCAAGTTTTTAGAGACTGATTTTCATCTTTGTCCAAATAATAGCAGGAATCCCTTGGCTCATAGTAATTATAGTTTAAAACAAAATTGCTACTTTTTTCCCATTAAAAAGAAAACTAAATTTTAGATTAGATAGATGAAGATAAAAATACACTTATAGATGTAGACACAGATTTATATCTACTTGTAAATGTGTATGTATGATTACTTAGATAATATTCTTTTCAAATGATTTGGCCAATGTAACTCCAACATGGTCTTAGGTGGAAGCAGTCAGAGACCAAAATTAAGCTGTGAAAGATGCCCCCTGCAGCTACCTACTCCCTTGATCCTAACAAGAGGCAGGTGATGTCCAGGTAAGAGTAGAGGCATGTTATCAATTACTTACCTATATGACAAACTTGATTTTGCAGAAAGATTATGTCTGTCAGATCCCAACTGCAGTTAATGTTTAATGCTTAAAACAATGAAATATTTTTCTTTAAATTTTTAATTCTCTCTAAAATCAATGTCACAGAAAATGTCTACATTCCTCCCCAACTCTGCAGTACTCTCTCTAGGTACTATCAGAAGTAGATTCAAGTGTTCTTCCCGTTCTGGATATGTGAGGGACAGTAGAAGAGATCATACAACGGAAAGAGTGGATGCAGTTACTGTTAAATGTGGTGAGGTCAGTAAAGTAACTGGGAAAAAAAATCAACAAAAGTCTGACATCCTTCATAATAGCATTTTATATATAATGCACCAGGTCATATGTATTACACAATGGGTTAAGAGTTGTTTTGTTAATTATTTTGAAAAGGAGGAAATATAAAAAAGGATTCTCAAATTAGGAGTCTGAGGGGAGATGCCAGCCCTGTTCGGAAGAACAAGTCAAACCTTGGTAACATGCTTGGATGGTACCACAATTCTACCTCCTATGAGAGAGAAGGTGGTGAAGGTTTTCTTGAGAGAATAAAAATAGGGCATAAGTATACGAGCCAGGAAAAGTGGGATGAGGAAGAGAAGTAAGCAGAAACTGGGAGAGAAGTTGAAAGTGAGAGAACTGGCTGAAAATGCTTGTGAAGACTCCTCAAGGAGAAATTCACATGAAAAAGACAACGGGGCTAGAGAATGCCTCCTCCTAATTTCTCTTTTTCCCTTCACACTCCCCTTGGCACACTGCTCCTGTGTGATTCTCTCCTTTTTAAAATTAATTGAAATTTTAAATCCACAAAAATTATATATTTTTCATGTGCATGATGCTTTGAAATACGTACACATAGTAGAATGGCTCAATTGAGCTAACTAACATATACATTATCCCACATAATTATCGTTTTTTGTGTGGTAAGAACACTTTAAATCTACTTTCTTGGTGATTTTCAAGAACACGATACATTGTTATTAACTACAGTCATATCTATGGTACAACAGAACTCTTGAACTTATTCCTCCTGTCTGTTTACTTGCAATTCTGTTCTAACGTGGAGTTCATGTACCAATAGAAATAGAACATAGGCTGCCAACAATGGTGAATGGCATTCTACAGTGTAAAATATATGAACTCTGACTATCATTTTAGAGGGCAAAAACAAATGAGAGTAGCACTTTTTTAAAAAGAAAAAATCAGTGATATACAACACAAAGCATTTTCATATCAGATCGACACTGGCATGAGAAGACTTCACATTAAGGAGGAAGGTTAAGGAGAGTGAAAACTGAATCCTTTATTATTCTTGGAAGCTGTATTATAATACCTAAACTGATATATTCTATTAATTTAAAAAGGATTCTTTGAAGAGCTTGTATTTTATTCGCTGATAGAATATGAGCTTTTTATTGTCTAAAATTGATTTGATTTCTAATAAAATATTTGCTTCAACCTTGGGCTGCAAGGCACCAGATAGTTCAATGTGAGAGAGTAATATTATGAAAAATCATGATATTTTTTCATGCAGCTCAAAGCTTCATGTGCTACCCATCAAATTCATTTCCTTTGCAACTAAATCTGTCATAAATCTCGGCATCCAAATATGAAATATGGTTCCCAACAATAATCTACTGTCAATAAACTTAATAAAGCCTTCAAGTGATACAACACTTTCTGGTGGCTTTAAAATGCCTCACGCATAGATCACTGAGCTTTGTAGTTCATGATGGCATCAATAATAATCTACAAATAACAAGGAAACAGAGGAATGGGGGGAGTGTTAATTAGTCCCAACCACTGGAGCTCTACTTTTCTTTTAAACGTTCATGATTAAAAATAAATAAATAGGCCAGGCGCAGTGCCTCACGCCTTTAATCCCAGCACTTTGGGAGGCCAAGGCGGGTGGATCACAAGGTCAGGAGTTCAAGACCAGCCTGGCCAACATGGTGAAACTTCCATCTCTACTAAAAATACAAAAATTAGCTGAGCGTGGTGGCACACGTCTGTAGTCCCAGCTACTGGGGAGGCTGAGGCAGAAGAATCACTTGAACCCAGGAGGCAGAGGTTGCAGTAGCTGAGATCGCACCACTCTATTTCAGCCTGGGTGACAGAGCGAGATTCTGTCTCAAAAAAATAAAAAATACTAAATAAATAACTAAAGAGATTCATAGGTAAATTCAAATTGTGATAGAAATTTCTATTTAGTCCACAGAAATTAACGAAAATTGATTTCACTTTTAAAAATTTAACAATTGTTTAAAAATTGGATAATTTTTGAAAAGACAGAAATTGTTTCAAATGTAGATATTAGAGGCCTTTGATTTTTTTTCTCACTCAACAATGAATGAATTATACATATTTAAGTGAGTATGATACTCGATGTTTCTTTGTGAGCCTTGTGTTTTCTTCTCTTGAGGATCAATTGGAGAAAATACAACATGAACACTGGAGTTAGAAACAATTCTTAATGCTCATGTTCAGCTTCATTTTATGTCTGCCAGTATCCATTGCCTAGACTAAATTTTGCTAATCAGGGAAGGAAATCCCATGTTTTTCCCCAATAGCTAAATATGTGCTTCACAAAAACAAAACCAAAAACAAAAAAATAAAAACCAAGAAACAGACACACACACAAAAAAAACAATTTATATTAGTTGTACCATCTTAGTTTTGATAATGATGTAGCATGTTTCAGATTATTGTGACTTTAAATTATTACTCTTATATTTAGAAAAATGTGTTTTGTTACCAGAAAGCTCCACTGTAGTCCTGTTGAATACTTTTATGCCTAATTGTTTTATGATGAGATTTGTAATACGTGAAGTGAATATAGGCACTCTATCTTAAAGCAAGAAGCATCTTAATCTTGTATATAAAGCAACAAAGAAATCAGAAGGCTCCTTATTCCCTAAAACTGTTAACGTTGCTAGTCTAACAGTATAACAAAGGGAAAGCACCTAGGGTACAGTTGTTGAAACTGTTAAAATCACTGTGACAAAAATTCCTTTTTATTGCTATGTCCCACCATAGTGTCAGGGTGGGGAATGGGATGCCATATTAGTGATTAGGACAATAAACAATATCAGATAGCTGTGGACAAAAATTTGCTAGTTGGTAATATTAAGCAGTGTGTGGAGTGTGCATTTACTATTGAAAAATCAGGCTCAATAGGAAATTAAGAATACAATTCATTTTATGCAGGCTTGTGACCAGGTGGGAGAGATACAAAACAGTAATGATGTAGTCCCTGACTTCAAGGCCTTTGACTTTAATTGGAAATCAAAAAACATCTAAGTGAAACGATAAGTAACACTATTAGACAGAATAAAATAAAGACTGGCATTCAAGATCATATGATAGTGCATGTCATATTATGCATGTCAGTAGAGTGATGTTTGAGAGTGCAAAAATTTCTGGTATGACATGGAAGAAAATACGTTCTCTATTATCAGATTATATTGCAAAAGTCAAACCACTTTTGGTCTACTGCTGAGAGAGCCTATCAGAATTGATATTTGTAAATACCAATCATCTCATTGTATATTCTCATCTTTAATATTTCCTTATTTGGCAAAAGGATTAAATAAATTATCAATCAAAGCTTCAGCTTCAATTTCAGGTAGTACCAAATTTTTTTTTCTTTTTTTTCTTTTTTTTTTTTTTGAGACAGAGTTTCACTCTCTGGCCCAGGCTGGAGTGCAGTGGCACCACCTCGGCTCACTGCAAGCTCCTCCTCCTGGGTTCACGCCATTCTCCTGCTTCAGCCTCCCAAGCATCTGGGACTACGGGCACCCACCACCACGCCCAGCTGATTTTTTATATTTTTCGTAGAGACAGGGTTTCACTGTGTTAGCCAGGATGGTCTCGATCTCCTGACCTCGTGATCTGCCTGCCTCGGCCCCCCAATTTTTTTTTAAGGATCACTCATTCAGCCATCTGATGCCTCACTAATCTTTTCTCACCAATGAAAATTGTTATTAACTTGAAGAGTTCTAAATATTACACATGGTTTCTTTGTGGTTTTGTTTAATAATAAAACTTTTTATTAATATCCAGAAATAATAATTAATTTATCTCGCCCCCTTCAAGATGGACTTTTCATTATAATCCCCTTATTTTACATCAGTGAAAATTGTGTCTTTGTTATTTAGCAAAGAGGAAAAATAAATATCTTGAATTTTCAACAGTCACTTACATGTAGTACATTAATTAATAGTTGATGTATTTTATTACAGATATTACTAAAACAAAAGAAGTATATTGTATTAGGGAGAGAAAAACACTTATTGAATGCCAAATATTGCCCGATAATGGTGTAGGTGTTTTAAAAGTCACAACAACTTTTAAAATACTATCATTCCAATATTTTTTTCTTGCAAATTATAAAATCAGAGCTCAGAAAGTTTAAAACTTGCCTGAGATCACGTAGCTAAGAAAATTTAAACATATGCACGTTTGAACCAAATCTAAACTTTCTCACCAAATCACAGCACTTCTCAATATAAAAATATTATTAAAAAAAGCATGTTTACTTTCTTCTGATACCAAGGCTATATGGGCTATTAAACAGGATGCTAAGATTCTCCTGTTTGAGGGTTTAAATAATTCTTAAAGTGGAATTTCAGTGTGGAAATAGTATTTAGAAAATAATTAGTGACTGACATAATCATGATTTTTCAAATGAGGAAATTAAGGATCAGAAAGGGAAGATTTGTTCTCCAAGGTCACGCCCAGCATTCTGGAGGCAGAGGCAGGACTGAAAAATCATTTATCCTGGATATTAATCAGTACCGATTCGTTTATAAGATGTTTTCTTATGTAATCTTAGGATAAGGGAGTCAGGATTCTGTGAACTCAGATTTTTAACAGAATGTTCCTCTATTAATTGGGGCATACATATAATATTTAGTTCACTGCAACATTTAAATGAACTTTTGAGTGATACTCATGAAATATGGCCAAACATCAAAGAAAATTCAGAGTATGGAAGAAAAAAACCAGCTGAAAAGTTTTAGATTTATACGAAGCTAAGGAGCATGCATCTCTGCATCACTATATACGCAACGCTCTCCACCACGTTATTTTAATACCAAATAATTTTCATTTCAAAATGGCCAACATGGGAAAATACAATTGTTCAGAATTCTTAAAACATTAAAATAACTTGATCAGATGACACTCCAGAGATCCTCAGAGGACTAGGGAAGGGGAAAAGTTGGGGACTTAGGCTGAGTGATAAAGAGCCACAGGCCTACACAAAACCTCCATGACTCACACTATGAAGAGGAAAGGACAAAATGAATAATAGGAGCTCCAAAGTGAAATTCAAGTACACAATTTCTGAGAACACTCTAGTGCATGAAAATGTGCACTTGGTGAAAATTTTTAATGTACCACCATATTCCAAATTTGGCTGAAATACAAGTCATATTTCCTCCTAGAGATGGGAGGCAAGGAAGAAAAGCAAAAGGAGAAAAGGGGAAGAAGGAAGAAGAAAAATCTTATTTTGCCTCCAGAAGAAAGTCTTCCATTGATGACTGAGGTTGGTCTCGTTCTGACATCAAAAATCCTGCTAATTAGTACCAATTCATTTAGAAGATGTTTTCTGGAGCACTCCACAGATAGCAATGGGCCAAATTATCTGGGGGAATAGGTCAGGAAAAAGAGGAAACCAGGGATAAGGGCTTCTAAGTATAATTTTTATTAAAATGATAATTGTAATGGAGTGGCAAGACTCCACTCTATTGTAAAAGTGGCCCAGAGAATAGAACCTAGGGCTACCTATAGAGATAGTAGTTCTAATTCTTGCAAATAAGAAAATTCAGCTAAGTATTGTTTCTCATACCTGTTGTATATAGAAGGCTTTTAAAGAACGATATGACAAATGCCTACTTATTTATCAATCTTTTATGTTTAATGTGGATTAAAGTCTTCAATATTAAAATACATCCATGTATTAAAATAACCATATATTTTCAATGAAAACAACTATTTACAAACAAACAGCATAGATTTAAATGACTTGCTATTACTTATGAGACAACTGGGTAAATGTTTAATAATTACCCAGTTTCCTGATAAGATGCTGATTATTTTTAATGAAATAAAACAATTTTTACTTATTAACCTGAAAAATCAGGTGGCATAATTGTTTACTCTTGTTTAACCATGAATTTTGTTCTAAATCCTGTCAAGAATGAGATAAAAATAGTCAACAAGACTTTGTCAATGGCAACCAAACGTGTTTCCCATATTATTGTGTTTACTCGCTTTTCTTTAAGAATTTTATGGGCCGGGTGCAGTGGCTCACCCCTGTAATCCTAGCACTTTGGGAGGCCGAGGTGGGCGGATCACGAGGTCAGGAATTTGAGACCAGCCTGGTCAACATGGTGAAACCCCATCTCTACTAAAAATACAAAAATTAGCTGGGGGTGGTGGCAGGCGCCTGTAATCCCAGTTACTTGGGAGGCTGAGGCAGGAGAATCATTTGAACCCCAGAGGCAGGGGTTTCAGTGAGCCAAGATCAAGCCATTGCACTCCAACCTGGGCGACAGGGTGAGACTCCGTCTCAAAAAAAAAAAAAAAAAAAGTATTTTATGGCCCGGCGTGGTGGCTCATGCCTGTAATTCCCACACTTTGGGAGGCTGAGGTGGGCGGATCACCAGAGGTTGGGAGTCCAAGACCAGCCTGACCAACATGGAGAAACCCCATCTCTACTAAAAATACAAAATTAGCCAGGTGTGGTGGGTGGAGTTAGTGGTGAGCCGAGATCACGCCATTGCACTGCAGCCCCTGGGCAACAAGAGCGAAACTCTGTCTCAGAAAAAAACAAAAATAAAAATAAAAGAATTTTATATTGAAAGTAGATATAAAACCTCCTGGAGTTATTACAAACCAAGCCTGTATCAGATACTAAAGCCCACTGATGTTTTGATTTGCATTTTGTAACCAGGGAAATCCTAATTGTGAAGTGATGGCATTTAGGAACAACCACATTATGAGGGCTGCAGATTCTTTCAAAGTAAGACAAATGTTCACCTGAGCAGGCAAGGATTTACTAGAGCTGAAAGATATTGAAGGACATAATGGAAATGCTGTTAAGGGTTGTGGTTAGAGACCAAAGTGTGCTTGGGGAAGCCTGACATTCTTATTTGGCTTAATACACTCAAAGGGATATGGGAGTGACACCAGGCCAGCTTTAAACATTCATAGAGAGTAAGTATTGATACATTTTGAAATAATTGAACTTTCAGGACCAAGGGCATTTATTTTTACTATGCTTGTAATACACAAAGTAAACCAATTCGAAGCTGCTGTCAGAGTATAGAATATGGTCAAGGGCTAAAAATGAAGGAATAGATGAGTGAATACATGTAACAAGTAAAATTGGAAATACTAACATGTTGCTTTACAAAATAAAAGTAACTTAAAAACATAAAACAGATGGGCCAGATAATATTATCTCTGGAATGTGTCTGCTGAAAATTGAAAATTTGGTAGTCTTTCTAGGATTTAGAAAACACAGAGCATGTATGAGTAAAATATTCTTGTACAATAATGATTTTGCTCGTGTGAAGGAAGGGCCTGTATTATATTAGTCATGAAGGAGAAACATGATTCTGATGATTTTTGAGATACACTATTACTCATGTTTAGAACTTTCCAGAGTGATGTGTCCTCTCTGAAAATATTTTTCATGGCTTTTCATAAAACAAACTATAGGTGGTTGCAGACAATTAATGTTCATTGAAATTTAAACCTTCCTGGGTTTAAGTTTTTGGTAGGAGATTCACCACAAATACACACACACACACACACACACACACACACACACACACACACACAATGAAAGGGAAGGACTGGATGGATTTGATGGGTTTGTAACATATTGCTTTGTCTCTCTCCTCCTCAGGGGGACTGTCTCCTCCTGAAATCTCTGCTGGCAGCTCCACAGTTGGAAACAGTTACAAGCCAGAGAACTACAATACGGTTATCTCCTTGCTCTAATGGTTCTTTCCAGAAAGATGTAACCCTACGTGCCTAACTTAGGCTAAAAAGAATGAGAAAGTCTATTAGAGAAATACAAGCCAACTAAATAAAAGGCCTTTCTCTTTTGTAGTTGTCATTAATTTCTCTTAGCTTGCCTTTAGTCTCATTCCCCTGCCCCCATCGCCCACCCTATGTCCTTTAAGACAGCCCTCTTAAAACCTCATTGAAAGGGTGAAACTCCAGCACTTTTGAATGCTTATTTAAAACTGCTGAATTGGGCTGAATAGAGAACAGTGGGAAGGGATATCCTTTCCAAAGGAGGTTATAAAATATTACCTTACGTGCTTAATTCATCTTGGCACTCCCGGATATTTTGGTTAATTATCAGAAATTAGCTTGAGGGGAAGATTAATATTTTTACTTAGCCAACACACAACTGGTAGTTTCTAGTTAGTCAAGTCCCATGACAGCTTCCACTATTTCTTATCATTATCTAGAAAAATGAGAGGCTTGTGTGGTGGAAGAAAGTCTCTATTATCCAATTTAGTTCATTAAATATCTGGCATTTGATTATGAAATAAAGCACACCTAAATTTAAAAAGAGAGAGAAAAAAAAACCTTTCATGGTTAGTGGGGAAGTATTGTCTTTGTGAGGAAGTTCTGCTTTGTTTTCCTCCCCAGGTCATGAGAAGAAATACATTTAGTAATCAAAGACAGAAATTTATGAAAGGAAAGGAAAGGAAAGGAAAGGAAGAAAGAAAGAAAAAGAAAGAAAGAAAGAGAAAGAAAGAAAGGGAGGGAAAGAGAAAGAGAAAGAAAGAAAGAGAAAAAGAAAGAAAGAAAGAAAGAAAGAACTGCAACACCAGTAGTATTCATGGATACTACTGACAACTGAATTCATAACTGGCATGAGAAATAAGAAAACATCTAGGAGTGTGTGTTTTTTTTTCCTAGAGAAGATTTGAGCTAGAAGACAAGGGTATCTGTCATGAATTTACACTTCCCACCCTCAAGCATACTCCTTCTTGCTATTGCTGTTTTACTAGTGATTTTTTAAAGTTTAGTTTTTCTAAAAGAGAGAAAGTAAATTCACATAAATTCAAGCAGCACCATCTTCCACCAAATTTCAGGTTGTATTTTTTTTTTCTTTTTTGAAAGAAAGTAACTCAATCCATTTGGGTAATTTTTCTCGAGGCGAAATGGAGATAGATTACAATAGAAACTAATACAATTTTCACTCTCAAGCACATATTGGATACAGTGGAATCTGAACTAACGTAAGAATAAAAAAAAAATTGGAGACTGTGACATGTATTGCTCAGCACTCCAGGAATATTTTGCCCCAATGGAGTTTTATTCTGTATTTACCTCATTCCAGCCACTTCCCTGCTGCTATTACCATCATTATCCTCCCTGCTTTTAATGGATTCAGTAATCTTAATGCTTGGCTTTTGTCCCCTTCCTCACATCTCAATTATTACTTTTCTTCTTCCTCGAATGTAAATAAAACAATCTGCCTAAAATTCTAATGTGGTAGTCTTTTATTCCAAAAATGCACCAATCACTCATTACACTCAGTTAAACATTTTGTATGTCAATCAAAGGGTGCTATGATTTGATTCTAAAACATCTATGTAAACTCATCTCCCCAGGTAATACTCTCTCCACTCTCACACCAATATCCCCTGTCTTCCCTAAGCATGCAACAGCATTTCTCAATCTCTGCTCATTCTGTCTTCACTCTGTCTTGTAGTACCTTTCATCCTCCCTTTCACCTATCTAAAATCTGTTCAATCTAGAGGTCTTTTCATAATCTATCTCTATATCAGAAATCTTTTGTAAATGTGATTTTTGTCTCTATTACACACTTGGCCATTTAAAGGCAAACTTATTAAGAATTTAATCCTATTTCCACATTTTTTGGGAATTTGTGACTGTATGTCTTATTTCCTCATCATGTTACCTTTTGAAAGGTTGGAAAAGGTATTTATCATTTCTTCACGTCTCTTAGTAACATCGAATATTTATTCCTCATCTAGGAAGTGTTCAAGAAACAGTCATAAGAATGGAACTGTTTAAACTAGAAAGAACCAAACACAATGGCAAGAAAGGTGGTGAGGGCTAAAGTTTTAAAATAGTTTATTTGCAAATGTATGTGAGTTTATGCTGTCCAGTGAGTCTGACACTCCGTGTGGTAGAGTGGGGTGGGGTACAGTTGAGATGGACTAGGCGTGATTGTGCCTAAATTTTTATATGTCATGTTAGATGATATGAAGCTTAGGGTGTGGGCGATGTGGGTGAGGTCAGTGATTTTATGAGCAAAATAAGATCTCTGAAGTGTAACTGAGTTTTAGAGATAATTTGTTTGTGTTGTAGTGGATAATTACATTAATATAGGTTGGGCATTATAATAGTCTTGATTACCTCACTCTTTGTAAGAGGCTTATGCTCACTGGAAGACCGTTTAGTGTACCTGGACCAGAAATTGACTCTGAATTTTAGGGCTGGCTCACTTCATTCGACTATTTTTTGTAGATGACAGAGTGGCCCCTTCTAGATAACAGTGGTTCACCATTTATAACCTTTGTCTTAACTGTAGGACAGACTTAGAATTGGAAAATCCTTTAGAAGAAATAAAAAAATCCTGCACACAAAAACACAAAAATCAAAGTTTTAAAATAAATGTTAGAAGCCAGCTGAATGACTCATATAAAAAAAACACTATGTTAAATTTTCATAACAGTCCACACATTTTAGCAATGGCAAATGAAATACTGGTGTTCAGATTAAGAAAAATTGGAGCACTCATCATTTCCATAATAATAATTCTGACAATTAAAGAGGGAATTATTTTAGTTATAAAAAAATTCCTTTTCATCTTGAAGAAGTGATATGACTGCCATTTAATATCACACAGCCTGAGGCTTCTTAGGTGCTCCCTAAATGTTAAGTAAATTATAAATAAAGCCATCTCAATATTTTACTGCTCAGATGACCTTTGCAGTTCGTCTTTTTAATAATTATTTTATTTTTATTTTTTTGAGACAGTCTCATTCTGTCGCCCAGGCTGGAGTGCAGTGGTATAATCACCGCTCATGCAGCCTCGACCTCCTGGGCTCAGGTGATCCTCACATCTCAGCCTTCTGAGTTGTTGCCCCCACAGGCATGTGCCACCATGCACGGCTAATTTTTGTATATTTTGTTGAGACTGGGTTTTGCCATGTTGCTCAGACTGGTCTTGAACTCCTGGACTAGAATGATTTTTTAATGGTGTGCTCATGGTTGGTGTAGCTACTTCTAGTCCATCCTCAAAAGTAGACAATTTACCTACAATGTATCACTTACTGTGCATCCTTGTCAAAGTGTTCTAAAACAACTGACAAGAATACTTGTTTAAACAGGGAGAGAGGGGTTAATTCTGATTCAAAAGTTTTTGCAGCCCAGGGATCTGCAATTTTAATAGAGTGACTCTGATGCAGATGGCTTGAGGACTACATTTTAAAAAACACAGATCAAATTTATGCTAGTTACCAATAAAGCCAGAATTATTGAGCCAGCATTACCTGGGACATTTTAGCGAAATAATCCTTCCTAAACTTAATTTACATAAACACACAGCAGGTGTTTGGGTTTATTTTCCTATTGCTTTGCTGCCAGAATTTGCAGAGTAATTGGAGCCTTGGTTTCAGTCTACATGGAGATATTGTTTTGTTTTATTTTCCCCCTAGATTAAGAAATGTGAATATAACCTGTGCTAGTTCTTAAGATACTGCTTATTATATATGCATTTCGTTCATACAAGCTAGTTAAGAAACTCAGGGCAGTACAATTTCTTTAAGAGCTAGTGTTGTTCACCTTTCAACTTAACACAGTTGTAACTTCTAAGTGACCTCTGGCAAGGAAATTCTTTTGAATATTTCCAGTGATGTGGATCTAATAACTTTAAAAAAGTAGATGATTCTGTATTTGGCTAACCTGAATTATCCTACTGAGCTGCACGTAATATTCCTTCCTAAGACTTTACTTGCTAAACTGCAAAATCATTGAGCTGAGAGCTGAAAGTGTCATTTGTGTATGAACTCACTGTACACTTTGCACATGAGGAACATAAAACTTAGACAGATGAAGCAACTTTCACTACTTCACAGAATTGCATCTGAAAACCTGGACTCATACTTTGCACTACAATGATACATTTTATATATGCTCTGTAGCTACAGAAAATATACAAAATCCTTCATCTGCCTGATGAATCTAGTTAACAATTAGTGATGTATTCTGTAAAAGAGTGTTGATTGCTTAGAAGTAATAAAAACAAAACAAACAAAAAAAAACCTTTTCCTTTTGGTGTTCCAAAAAGTGTTAAGAGGAAAGAAAAAAGTGTCTGATATTTAAAAGGTATCATTTGGCCGGGAGCGGTGGCTTATGCCTTTAATCCCAGCACTTTGGGAGGCCGAGGCGGGGGGATCACTAGGTCAGGAGATCGAGACCACCCTGTTTAACATGGTGAAACCTGTCTCTACTAAAAATACAAAAAATTAGCCAGGCGTGGTGGTGGGTGCCTGTGGTCCCAGCTACTGGGGAGGCTGAGGCAGGAGAATGGCGTGAACACGGCAGGGGGAGCTTGCAGTGAGCCGAGATCGTGCCACTGCACTCCAGCCTGGGCGACTGAGCTAGACGCCGTCTCAGGAAAAAAAAAAAAAGGTATCATTCAACACATGAAGTACTATTTGTGCCAGGAAGAAAGCAAAACTATCACTTTGTCACACTTTGTTGTACTTTGTCACACTTTGTTGTGTAACTTACAATAAAATTCCTAGAGCACAATAGGTCTATTTCAGAACTGTTATTAATAAAAACCCATTTATAATTCACATGAAGCAGCAGTATGCACAGTACTTGGGGTTCAGGCTCTGTGGTCTGACCACCAGGATAACACATTGGGTGAGGCAAAATGAGTAACTCTAAGCCTCAGTTTCTCATGTGCAATCAGATTGTTAAGTCTTGATTACATTAATTAACACATAATTCAAGCAGCAATGTCTGGTACACAGGAAGTGGTAGACAGATAATACTTACCTCTTTAATTTAGGTGAAATCTATCTATGGAAAGAGAGGCTTAGTAAGATAATTTAAGGGCCTAGTGTCTCAGCTTCTAGATGCTATAGATGAGATCTGACTCCAGCATCTGTAATTTTAACTACTATCATTATTTAAAACCAGAAAATAAAAACTTTGAATTTTGTTCCATTTACATAGATACAAGATACTTTAAAGTCATATGTTTAGATCAAATTTTAATGCGTGCATTCTCTTTCTCTCTCTGTCTCTCTCTCTCTCATCCTCTCTTACTCTCTCTTTCTTTTCCCAACTATCTTCCAAGCATTCTTAGATCTCTGGGACTTAGAAGTTACATATACATTTAGAGATGAGGCTAAAGAGATGGCTTCTATATTTGGACAACCTCTTTCATTAATCCTTGTTTCATATTGCTAGTCTTCTCTGAATAGTTATAGGAACCAAACGTTGCTTCATTTGGTTTAGCAATTTCCTATATTGCTTTCCCAGTGTGTCCTTTAGCTCCTAAAAGGTTCACAAAACAGGAACTGACATTCCCCTGGAAAGCTTTGAGAAAAAAAAAAAGAGACAAAATCAAGCTTCTTTCTTATCAAGAAATTTGCCACACAGGTGCAGCAGTGCAGCTTCAAGGACAGAAACAGGAATGGCATGTCTGAAAATGTCCAGGGACTCTTTATGCATTGTATAGGGGTGACATTCAAAATCTTTAACTAGCTGGTACGGCAAGGGCATGGAACATTCAGGATGGACGTTGGCTGCAAATAACCAGTAAGTCTAGGTTCTGCATTCCGGCCTAAAACAGCCCTGTCTCAGGAGCTGAAATGGCTCTTTGTTCCTGGTGCAGTGCTTTAAACAAAACAGGCTCTCAGTAAATATTCTCTGACCGAGAGTACGTACAAAATGTTATAAGGGGAAGAAAAGATTACAATTTTATGCAGGATCCTGAAGCTGTTACATAAGTTCATAGAAAGTGATAATGTTTGTGGAGGTTAATGTATGAATGAGTTGTCCAGAAAGAGAAGACAGAAAAATTGTAACAGGGTAAAGAAACAAGATGTATACAGGCACATGTATGGTTCAGAACCTGGAGTTATCCTATGCCACTATAGAGCATCCTATGCCACTATAGAGCATCCTATGCCAGTTTCTGTTTTTCAATATTTAATGAGACTTGTGCTAACTTAGGTGACATTCTTGTTCACACAGAGACATGAAAACTACAAATTGTTAGGCAGTTCTTTATTAAAGCTGGATTCAAAATAACTGGCAAGTGAACTGAATTAATCTTTCAAAATTCAATGATTAAAATATTAGAAAGTTATTTGTGCAAAAAAGTATGCACAATAATGTCTTTAGAAGGTTAAGGGATGAGAAGCATGGAGTTCAGGGATGATTTTAGATTAAAAAGAAGATTCTGATCATGTGCTCTGCTCAAGAAGTCTCCAACCTTGGTTTGAAGGCTGAGCTGTCTTGTCTTTTGTTTTTTAATTCTGACATAATATCCCATATATATATATATATATATATATATATATATATATATAGTGTGTGTATATATATAGTGTGTGTATATATATATAGTGTGTGTATATATATATATAGTGTATATATATATATAGAGAGAGAGAGAGAGTAATTTTTTTCTTTGATCAATTTTTATGTCCTTCTCACTGCATCTTGAATTTGTGTAGGGTGAGGACTCCATATGGTTAATTTTGTTTTTATTACTGGAAGCTAAACAGTACTTGGAACAGTGTCTGCTCAACAAATATTTGCAAAATAAAGTCAAGGAGTAACAGTGGAGACGACATAGTGTCCTTGTGTTTATGACCTAGTTTTTAGGGATATATTTTTAATGAAATCAAGGAACTACATCTATTCTTTAAAAATATATTGAGACACTTTTCAGTAGATGACACTGAGTTGGGAATACTGGTTCCTCTACTCACAAGGCTTAGTCTCTTGGAAGAGTGAGGCACACAAATCAATTTTTGTCTGAGTTATGATATCAGCTCTGCTAGAAGTATGCATGAAATACACCTCAGCCAGTTCCCATTACTCAATTCCAGGGCAAAAGTTGGCAATGATTTGTCTTAATTGGGGGTGTACTATAGATTGGGTACTAAATGTTCAGACACAGAGACTATGGATACCTCATTTCTTAAATTCTTTGATTCCTGTATGAGGTTTGGAAAATGCTACTCAAAACATTTGGCTCAGAAGGCTTACGTAGGTCAACATGCTTAGTTTGAATGTAACATAAATTTCATGGGAGCGAGAGAAGAAAATAAGAATACTTCTAGGATCCCAAGAGCTTCTATAGGACCCAGTGCTTTTCCTAATAAGATCCAGTGATTTCTACTGTTGAGAGCGCACTTCAGTTTATACAATTGTCTATGTTTGCCACCAATCAGAGTCTATGTAGTTTTCATGCAAAAGTATAAACTATAATTTTAAATAAAGAGAGACAGCAGAGTAAGAAAGACATCGTATGCAGACTATCCATTGAAGAAAATAATATCAACCACGAGAATTGCTTGATTCTAAATATGTAGAAAATTCTATTTGGCCCAATTTTAGAAGCTATCTATTGCTAGCTATTAGGCTCTTTTATAATTAGTCTTGAAAATACAGTCTGGCATTACAATTCATACAAACCAAATAACCAAACGGATAAAAATCAATTGTGTTTATGACTGATTTTTTTTTCTTTTTGCAATGTCAATCATTGCTTTTCCTTCTTGCAATTCATCATTCTTCTTAGCCACAATTCTTATATGGATTTAAAACAACTTTTTAAGTTACAATTTTTGTGGTAAATTATTTTCACTTTAAATATCCACATTTTATTTATATTGACTAATTTTAAATATCCAGCACATAGAAAGAAAACAAATTTAAAACTAGCTAAGATGTTAAAAGTCTTTAGCACAATTCCACAATTTTGCAATAAGGAAACTGAGGCATAGAGAAGTTGATGCATTGCTTAATTTATTTCCTAAGAAGAAATTAAAATGGAGACTCTCAGTTTCCATTTTGATGCTCTTCTTACTAAATTATGTTCTCTCACAAGAATAATAGGATTTTGTCCTTTAAACCAATTTTGATAAGTTACATTTTCATTTCAGCTTTAACACTAATTTGATGCATGGTCTGAGGAGAGTTTTGTTCCCTATTTGCAACAAGGCCAAGTCTCAACATAGAGTGCCTCCTGTTTTGTTTCAACAACTGACAATATGGAACCTTTGGGCTAAAGTTGGTGACTCCCTCCTTACAGTTTTTCTTGAAACTAAACACATCCCTGCTTACTCAATTCATATCCCACTCCCCTCAAACAAAAAAATGACAGTCAAAACCCCAAAATAAAAATGTGTTTCTCTTCCTTTACTTTCATACCCAAAGGCACCCCACATTTTTCCTGCAATTTAAGAGCTATTACTCTGTAATTTGGGGCTAACACATTAAAACTGACATGAAACACTTTATGGATAGTAAATCTTGTCACAAAACAATGACACCCATCCCTAATGAATAATTAGAAAAATCAAAAGAATATATTTTTGTCCAGAACACAATTATGGATAGGAAAAGAATGTAACATGCTTTTAATCCAGTTGAGACATTTAAGCATGTGTGACTCAAAGTTGAAATGACTGAGTTATAACTTAAATAGAAATTCTGACAGTGTCGTTCTTGCTTGCAATAATATATGCTGATTGGAGAACAGTGCTTTACAATTACTTGGAGAGTAACTTCCAAGCTCTGACATCTAACCAGCAGCAGTCAAGAATCCGCAATGAAAATCCTTTGATTTAAGCAGCCCTTGCTTTGGAAATCTGATGAGTTATAATGTTGATGGTCAGAAACAGCATAGCATGTTTAACAAGGCCAGGTTATCTACCTAAATCATCTTATGTGCACTGAAGATTAATTATCCTGAAAATTCCAAAAGAAAAATGCATTTTCACTCTGCAGAAATACTTTTAGATGAAAATGGCCATCCTGTCCGGATACTGCTTGAAGATTATCCATAATAACTTGGCTGGATCTGCTTCTGCACATAGGAAAATGCTACTTTTTTAAAAAAATAATATTTTAAACCTTTTCTGCTTGAAATACTATAAAACTTCAGGTATTATTTTGTTTTTGATGGAAAGATACAGATGCAAGAACAGAGAAGGAAAAAATATTTAACATGACCATTTCCAGTTGACAAGTTTTGTACTCTTTTTTATTTCTTTAAATGATGGCATAGAATGAGAAAGAAACCTAATTTGCACTGGAAGATTCAACAGCATGAGATAACATCTCTCATGAAAGATAAATGCTTAGAATTGTTAAAATCTTTTGCTTTGCTTGATTGGTGTAAGGTGATTTGATATCTTATCATGTGATCTATAGAGGGAAAAGCTTGAAGAAAAAGTGGAGGCTTGATAAATACTCTAGTCAAACAAATTTAACATAAAATTGTTTTGATAACAGTGATTCATTGTACTTTATAAAAGGCTGGAAAAAATAAATTTCTTGTTCTCTAAAATTAGCCATCAATTTTTAAATTGTCATCTTATGTAACTAGAATTATAAAACTACAGATTTTTTAACCAATTCATATATCTGCATGCCTTGCTTGATCCAAATTGCTTTATCTCCCAGTTGTGAGTCAGGATGTAAACATAAATTTACATAGAAGAAAACATTTATCACATTTTATTATTCTTTATAAATTAATGTATGATTAAAATGTAAATTACTATACCTTAAAGACCGTGTACTAAATATACTACACTAGAATTGCAAATCGTATTAGAATATAAACCAACAGAAATAAAGAGCTGCTGAATGTAAAATAACTGAATGCAAGCTAATTAACATATATTCATTTCTTATGGATTCTAGAGCATGCCATAAGTGCTTTGTGTGAAAAAGCATGGCATAAAATATGAATTAAAGCGTAAGCACTCAAGCAAAACTTACAGCAATAACTCTGAATATTGCTTACTTTCTCTAAAAGAAAATCTTAGTCAATGGAATAGAAAGCACCTCTCTATTCACCAAAATTAAGAACAGCATACAAAAAACAAACCAACAAAACCTAAGTAGTTCACCTGTAAAATGTGGAAAAGGGAAAGGACTTTTTAGTTTGTACATGAATTGCCTGAATGAGTGGAAATGGATGTAGAACAATTTCATTTCCATCTATTACGTGCCAGTACTTCTAGTACTTCTACTTCTGTTGTCCAAAGCTCTGAAACTGTACATCTGCTGCTACTATTTCTGCCCTCAGGGAGGTTAAAAAAAAAAAAAAAGTCCATTTGTGCTCCTCATATGCAACGATATGAAAAATAAAATTCAGTAAGTCCCCAAATAAATAAAACTACTGGGCCGGGTGCGGTGGCTCACGCCTGTAATCCCAGCACTTTGGGAGGCCGAGGCAGGCGGATCATGAGATCAGGAGATTGACACCATCCTGGCTAACACGGTGAAACCCCGTCTCTACTAAAAATACAAAAAATTAGTGGGGCGAGGTGGCGGACGCCTGTAGTCCCAGCTACTCGGGAGGCTGAGGCAGGATAATGTCGTGAACCCAAGAGGCAGAGCTTGCAGTGAGCCGAGATCAGGCCACTGCACTCCAGCCTGGGAGACAGAGCCAGATTTCATCTCAAAAAAAAATAAATAAATAAATAAATAAATAAATAAAACTACTACTGCTGAGGAAGCTTAATATACCCTATCACTTCCCCTATAGCAAACTAAAGCTATGAATAAGACATTTCCCAAAGAAAATGAACTCTGAAGCACCCAGTGGGTTCCGCTGTATGCCATTATTGGAATAAGATAATATAAAGACAGTTCAATGCCAATAGACAATGCAATATTTTTTACAAAGCCAAATTATATGTATTTCCTGAAGATACATCAAAGGAGCAAGATAAGACATATGTGTTTGAAATAGAAAGATAATATGTTTGTGCTTAATATATTGTAGAAATTGTCCCGGAATGGTTCATCCATGTAAAAATATGGCCCCTCTGAGACTGCCAATAGCCATCAGACTCAGAGTGATCTTCTGAATTCAGTCTTGTTCTTAGAGTTGGGGAAGGCTTTAACTCATGTCAAAATTTCCCTCGGCTTGAAAAGTTATTTTGGAAATGAGAAAAAGGGGTAGTTCACTTGGTTGTGCTGTTTCCTCTTTTTCTCCTTTCTGGCATTCCACTCAGATTTGGCAGATATCATACATTCTAAAATGCACAGCCTATACCATCTTACTCTCTATGAGCTATGAAAAATGCAGGGATATGTAGCCACACCATTTGCATTGTAATAAGAAAAAAAGAGAAAAAACATAACTAGCAGGTTAAGTTCTATAAATTCAATCTAACATTTAGCACAGGGTCAGGCACAAAGGAGGTATTCTGTAGTATTGAATACTCATTGTTAGGTGAAATTAATTACCACTATTTTTATAAAAGTATATCATATTATAATGATGCAAATATATACTTGGTCTTAAATAATCATGGAGAGCTTGGAAAACTTCATAATTTAGGGCTCTCCAACAGTGAGAGGAAGCATGTATACAGACACTGAGAAGATAGTATAATTCAGGAAGACAACTTACCAAAGGTAGGAAGAACTATAAAATCTCCAATGACTTTTAAGCCTCAAAACATATGCTTAGTCAACATACAGCATGTTATTTTATACTTAGAAGGCTTCTTTTTGATTGATTAGATTTAGGCCAAAAGCCAGAGGAATCTGTGAGTCAGCCCTTATCACATCTTCCTGATTACAGTTACTATTAGCCAAGGTTTGAGTTTCATATGATGGCTTCAGTTGTCTACCAATGGCATACCTCTTCTGTCTTTCTCACTCTAACAGCAACTGTAATGAACTTTACCTCCCACACTTCCTCTGATTGGCAAATAACACTGATGACAATGTGACTTATTCCTCAGGCTTGTTACCTTCCTGGTGAAAGCCCAGTTGAGATGTTGCCACTTCAGCAGAAATAAAGAACAACAGGGACAGTTATCAAGATACGTACTAATATTAAGTCAAGGCTCTTACTGTAGTCTCAAGTGTATCAACACTTCACTTATATAGAATTACCACTGTTTTTTTTTTTTTTTTTTTTTTTTTTTTTAAGACTGGGTCTCATTCTGACCCCCAGGCTGCAGTGGCGTGATCATGGCTCACTGCAGCCTCAACCTCCCAGGCTCAAGTGATCTTCCTGCCTCAGCCTCCAGAATAGCTGCCACTACAGAGCACCACCATACCTTGCTATTTTTAATTTTTTGTAGAGATGGAGTCTCCTTATGCTGCCCAGGATGGTCTCAAACTCCTGGGCTCAAGTAATCCTCCCACTTGGGTTTTCCAAAATGCTGGGATTATAAACACAAGCCACCATGCCCATCCTAGAATTACACTTTTAACTAACCATCTTTCCACTTCAATTAGAAACATACATACATACTTACTTTATTGCATGCATACACAGTACACATAGGCTTTAAATAACTTAAAGGTTAGAAATTTAGGAAAAGTATTACATAGGCGGTCCAACTTGAACAAGTCTAGCTGATACATCTTGGCATGTGCTCTGTAATAACTCCCCAATTACAATGGCAGGAGTTTTGCCATCATTTTGTCATATTTCCTGAACTTCTATCAATTCGAGAGTCATTTGCTTATTAAACATTTATTTAACTGCAGAAATCTGTGTTTTAGGACCTTAATGGTCTTTCATAGATAAGAAAGAATTCAATTCAAACAGTGTGTTTCCTCCAAGAGCAATTCAAGTCATTCATAAATAAATGCACTTTTGCTCAACTGGAGTCTGTTGCTCTTGTTATTAAGCTCCAAAGAGGTGCATTAAATAAATTTAAGTGTTGACTAAGGAAAGGGAGAAGTAGATTACCAACAATGAAAAAAATATTACTTTGTAATTAAGAGATGAGTGGGAGAGATTAGCATTAGTAAAATTAAAAGCTTGGAAGTTATTGAGACAAAATTTCAAATACCACCCTATGGGCATATTCTGTTTGACCCAAACAAAAGCAGACAATTTATCCATATTTGCTACAACAGGTGAGATGAATTGACTCTGTTTGCAGCTTAAAGATGGCAGTAAAAACAATGAGGTGGTACCAGTTCAGAAGACCCACAGAAAAGTTTTATGCAAATGAAGTCTGTATTAATTGGCAATAATCATATGTAGAAAGCAAACACCAATATTGCATTTTTAAATAATAAAAACAAGAAGTCAGGGAAAAGAGGGCTATACTTTTGATATATTTAGATATGTTTTGATTATAATCAAACTATGACTAGGTGCCAAGGTTTTTTTTTGTTTTTTGTTTTTTGTTTTTGAGATGGAGTCTCACTCTGTTGCCCAGGCTGGAGTGCAGTGGCACGATCTCGGCTCACTGCAACCTCCACCTCCCAGGTTCACGCCACTCTCCTGCCTTAGCCTCCCCAGTAGGTGGGACTACAGGCACCCGCTACCACACCTGGCAAATTTTTTTTTTTTTTGTATTTTTAGTAGAGACAGGATTTCACTGTGTTAGCCAGGATGGTGTTGATGTCCTGACTTCATGATCCACCCGCCTCGGCCTCCCAAAGTGCTGGGATTACAGGCATGAGCCACCGTGCCCGGCGTGCCAAGGTTTTATAACATATTTTTATAAGCTACTTTAAATAAATTTTTGTAAGATATAATATTAATGAAACTCATTAATTTTAAAAAGTATTATTAAGAATATAATAAGCACTTTACACACATTCCCATAAAAGAAATAATAAGTGACTGTATTCATTTGGCAAGAGAAGATCTGCTGAGAGAGAAAATAGTCTTTTAAAGATCTATAAATCCACATATCTTCATTTTGAGGTCAAATAACAACAACGTCTTTTCTTCATAATTCACATATTTTAGTCACCTAGACTCTTTAATGAAATCAACTCCAATGTTTTACATTCTATATTCAGAGAGAGAGCTAACAAAGTTTACTCAGATTAAAACATAAAACATCTTAAAACTAAATTTTATTTCACATTTCCTCAACTCAGTAGATTTATTTTTGGTCTCTTTTATAGTCCTAGTGTTATTTTCTCATCTCATATTGCATAACATCAGGTGAATGAAACTGAGGTTCTCATGAGAAATGGAAAAGGCCTTCTTAACAGCTAGAATTGATTTGCATCTGTAATACCCAGGAAAAGCCTGAAACAAAAAATGAGACTCAAAAGAAGGTAAATAATATTTTGGTTAACTAATATTTTAGAATTAATAGCTCTCACTTAATTTTTAATCTGATGTTTACACTGTGATTGTTTCTCTAACAGTTAGCATAAAATATATCCTATAATTTCCTCCCCAGATCTTTTCCATGATTATTGTGACTACTGTGTAAGAGTTCTCTAGATGATTATTCTAAAAACATGGCTATGCCAAAGGAATTCCACCCTCAATAAGCAGTAGGAAGTGATAAAACAGGGTAGCATTTTGCTCATTCATAAACTACCTGGTTTACTGGGATGTCTGATTCACTGTTTCCTTACATGACCTAGCCACAGCCAATTCTCATTTTCGAATTCATTCCCAAAAGCATGTCTCGAAGAGATAATCCTATTTTAATGGCAAAATATTCTATTGCACCCATTATCCATGCTCCCTACTTGGATGTAGCATCTCCAAATTGCACTGGGGGACTGATCCTTTTATAAATCAGTAGGAAATCTTTCTTCCTCCCTCCCTCCCTCCCTCCCTTCCTTCCTTCCTTCCTTCCTTCCTTCCTTCCTTCCTTCCCTCCTTCCTTTCTTCCTTCCTTCCTTCCTTCCTCCCCTCCTTTTCTAACTATCTATATAATTTCTGCATGAACCATTGGGAACCTAATGTAGGTTACTGTATTATAATTTCACAGGTGAGAAAATAGAATACAGAGTGGTTAGACTATCAAAATTTAACAAATGGCAATCCAGTGTAAGTGCTTGGCTCTCCCAGACGCTTACTCATTGATTAAGTATATATCCTCTTTCATTTAGGACTTGTGCTAAATAAAATGGAAGCTCTCAATTATTAATTCAAAGTGGAAGAGACAAATAAATAACAACTACCTACCAAAATAGATGAAGGCACACATTTATAGTACTGTAAACTAAGATAAAAGGCAACTTCATTTGCAGTTTAAGTATCTAAGTTTTATTACTTTATTTTATAAACTAAATCCTTAGATGTCATGGTCACAGGGCCTAACGTGGCACTTTAAAATTGATTTAATGCCATCAGGCTTCTGGAAGAAAAAGTAGCCTACACATTTTACTTATAAGTATTATATTCATGCAACTGCAGGAAACATACTTCTGTGCAAACTATAGTCATGTCAAAGTAAAATCCATAATATGTAATAATAATAGTTCATGTTTTACTTTTGCCAAAATGCTCAGTGATAAGAGGTTATACTTTTTAATTGTACTTTTTTTCTAAAAAGATATAATTCATCCAACAAGACAAGATAATATGTATCTCTGATATTTGGACTTTATGAGAGCCCAGAAAATAGTTCATAACTTTAATTGCTAATGGTACTGTGTAAATCACATATTTCCTTAGAGCAAACTACTCTGAAATTTTGCACTTATTTACAATAAATGTTTGGCTTAAAAAAAAAAAAAGACTTTCCAATTGCTAAAATGTTCCTTTTTGCACCCCTCAATTTATAAGCAAATTTCAAAAACAGTCATTCTCATCAGTGAATCTCATAAATACAATTGCAGGTAAAAGCAAACATATATTAAAGCGTCCCTGGAACGCTTGAATTGTAACATCTTTGGAAAATCTAGTGATTTCTATACCAAGTTGTAGATGATTCCATACTTTCTTAAACTTTCAGAACCATCTAATTTTGCTAATCTGGTGCTTTGAGCCTCACACTATTGAAAAGACAAGCTGGCTCCTCCACCCCTACCAAAGGGCTAGCAAATATAGCTATGCTTAAAAAGTATGGTATTATCTACTAAGTAAAATGCTTTTATGCTTTATTTGTTCATAATACTTTTTATTTTCTTAAAAACTTAATCTTAAATTTATAATAAGATAATTTGATTTTGTTTTTTCTGGTCACTATTTCAATAATAGCAATAGTTTATTTATGAAATGACTGGTTTGCTTTTTCTTGGTTAATTTAGATAAATATCAAAATTCTTAAAAAGAAACAAAATGCTACATTATGTACCATAATCATTTATTTCAGTTGCAAACTACTTCAATTTCCAGATTAAATTAATTTTGTTAAAATATTATTAAAACTTTAAAATGTTTTGCCAAAAATACGTGAAGATTTTTTTCTTATGATATTGTTATTCTAAAAACTAAAAGTGGATTGTTAAGAGTTTTATTAGGTGAAATATATTTTATTTTCTAATGTTATTATTTGAATCACCTTAAGTTATTAATTATCATTTAAATATATAAGGGTGTATTTCTTTTGCTATTATAGTATACTTATAACACCATTGAGGCAACATCAATGATGAGAATAGATTATGTTTTCTTTGATAAGTATTGGATATAATGTTATGATTACATGCCACTCATATATCCACGAAATATATTCCGGAAATGTAAAGAAGAGCTTATCTGCCCAGTTAACTATATGAGACATTACAGATGGGCCCTTGGTGTCTTTCCTCCTTCAGTACACTTAATTTCTTGTGTTTCCATTCCACCAGCAAACTATCTTACTAATTAACTAAAAGTTAAGAGTATTTTTAAAAAACTGTAACCTCCTTCCTCACTGATTCTTTCCATGTATATATAGTTTGTTCTGCCTAGTTTTGATCTATCTTTTCCACTCTTTCCTCTCTTCTATAAATACCCTCTGTCTATCACAGTTTAGCAGATATTTTCGGTCTCTAAAGCATAATGACAATTTTCTTAAGTTCAAGTGTCATAAAACATATTCAAATGATTTGAATAGTGCCTCTTGTCTCCCTCATACTGAGGCCAAAAATACTTGGAAATTATCCACTAACTTAATATGACCCAGCAGAGTTAGCAGTAAAGCAAATTAATGCGTTAGCCGAAAGTAACTTTTTCCATTGATTTCCATGATAAAATCAGAACTTCAGTTCCCTGGAAGAAAATTTCTTATGGATATATACTAAAAGACTCTTACAATGTAAAGCCTATTTAATGTATTTAAAGACATTCGATATGCAGTGTCCTTTTGAGAACTAGTTCAGATATAAGAAGAAAAGTCATTGATAGTATAGTGCCTTATTGGGGAACAAATCTTTAAAATAAATGATCCAAAACACCTTTTAAAACAATCACCCCACCCAATGTCAATTTTTGCTCCTATTATAAATATAGAGAAAGATCAGTAAAACTTGCATTTCGGCCAAGCTTATCCTCACCAAAGTGTCACAATTTCAAAATTAGATCCACATTTCCTGGTTGTTTTTAAAATATTTTCCTGCATCTTCTTCATTATTTGAACACACTGGCTTATGTTGCTATTATACTCAGCTAAGACCACAAAGAATTAAAATCCTGAGCAATATGTCCTACTGGTGTCTGAAGACATTTTTCCCCTGTCAAATAAATAATATTCCATTACAATCAGCTAATGTGCTTGTGTTTATAATTCTTTTTATTTAATTGATGTCTGTTATCCTGATTAGAGTGGACAGGCAAGCTTAAATAATGATGGTTAAGTCTGGTTAACGTTTGTGATTGGACATCTTCGGTAATTTGCTCTGTTTCTTTTGTTATAAACTCTAGTGGTGTTAAACTCTCGTGACCAGAGCCATGAGATGGTGGTGATAAGCTCATATTACGCAGCTGCTGATTTTAAGTTGGAATATATATTGTTTTTTACTGTTTTTACTTCTGGCAAGAGTTGTTAGTAGATTACAAAGAATATTTGTAATGTCAAGCTTTACAAAGGGATGCCGACCTCCACGTTCCTCCAGGAACACAGCAGCCTATGCTACCTAGTGTTTTTCTGTTTCTTCTATACAAAATTTTTTGTTTGCTTTCCTATTTCATCTGGCTGATTCAAGACAAGTAGTGCATCCAAGGATGCAAAAGAAAGCCTCAACTCACCAAGATCTGTACTTTTCAGCAAACTACTACAGTAAATTTGGTTACTCTGAATTGAGATTCAGAAAATCTGGATCACAAGTGTCTCACTAACTAAATGACCTTGAAAAAGTTAACGAGATTTCAAAAGGAAATTTTCATAATCCCTTCCAGGTAAAATACTTTATGATTCTATGTGAATGCTTTATGTTCTATATCTTATTAAGTTGAAAATAATTAAATTACTTTTGCAAATGATCTTTATTTTAACTTTTATTATAGTCAGTTATACTTCAATAAAGAAGTAGCATTCAAAATGAAGATACAAAGTGTAGTCTACAGATAACAGAAGAAGTGAATTCCACAAATGAGAATTAGTAACTTTTCCTTCAAAAAAGCAGCTTTGATAATATAAAGCACTTTACTAGAACACTACAGCATTGGCTAACAAGTAGATGGCTTATGTTAAAATTCTAAATCATCAATTCCGATAAAATATTTGATAATTTTATCACCAAATCCAGGTACAAAGTTATTGGTATTATTATGTCTGATAGTTATTATAGAACAACAGACCATTAGCATTGGAATTCACTTTTTTTTTTTTTTGAGATGCAGTCTCACTCTGTTGCCCAGGCTGGAGTGCCCAGGCTGGAGTGCAGTGGCATGATCTCGGCTCACTGCAAGCTCCGCCTCCTGGGTTCATGCCATTCTCCTGCCTCAGCCTCCCTAATAGCTGGGACTACAGGCGTGCACCACCTTGCCTGGCTAATTGTTTTTTTTTTGCTTTTTTTTTTTGTTTGTTTTTGTATTTTCAGTAGAGACAGGGTTTCACCGTGTTAGCCAGGATGGTCTCGATCTCCTGACCTCTTGATCCACCCGCCTCGGCCTCCCAAAGTGCTGGGATTACAGGCGTGAGCCACTGCGTCCAGCCTGTAATTCATTTTATCTAACTTGCTATCTTATGAGGTCCTTTAACAATGGCCTTGGCCGAGCACGGTGGCTTATGCCTGTAATCCCAGGACTTTGAGAGGCCGGGGCGGGACGATCACTTGAGATCAGGAGTTTGAGACCAGCCTGGTCAACATGGTGAAACCCTGTCTCCACTAAAAATAAAAAAATTAGCCAGGTGTGGTGGTAAATGCCTGTAATCCCAGCTACTGGAGAGGCTGAGGCAGGAGAATCCCTTGAACCCATGAGGCGGAGGTTGCAGTGAGCTGAGATTGCGCCACTGCTCACTGCACTCCAGCCTGGGCGACAGAGACTGAGACTCTGTCTCAAAAAATAAAATAAAATGAAATAAAATAAAATGAAATAAAATAAAATAAAATAAAATACAATAATAAAATAAAATAAATAAAAATAGTGGCCTCGAGAAATTGTCAAGCAATCTAAATTTTAACATCTTTACTGATGCAGATTTCACAACACAGACTATTCTATGTATCAACCTTTATTGAGCATTTTCTATAGTAATACATTTTATGCTTATGTGAGTCAGTTTTTTCCCCATGTTATCCAATTGGCTTTCAATCTGCTGCTAAGAAGCACAAAGAATGAGTTGAATCCCTCATCTGTCTTCTGAGTTAAAGTATTCTAAGTATCTAAAGAGGCTGTCCTCTCCTCAACCTGTCTTCCTTAAGAGCACCAAACAATTTCCTGGATTCACACATTTTTAAGCACAAGAATCATCTGTGTATACCTCAAACAAGAAAAAAAATAGAAATTTAAAAATTATAATAATCATTCAAAATTTTTCTTTTTGAATGAGAAGCATTCTCAGAATTTATGATGCAAGTTTGTGACATAGAGGTAATGGAATACATGATCACAGCACTCCATGCCACTCAGTCAAAGCAAGCTCTCAGAATCCTTCTCAAGAGATAGCTTCAGAAAGAAAAATAAGTCAACACATGTTATCACTAAAGATTACATCCGTGATTTAGCTCAGTCTCCTTATTTTGCAGCTGAGGAAACCATGCTCCAGGGAGGTTAAATATAGTTTCCTGGCAAACCTAGAACAAAATCTCAATTTATAAAATTCCTAGTCTTCCATATTCTGTAGAAAGTTGGAATTCACTTTAAAAATGAACTAGTCCAAATCCCCCATTTTAATGGCATTGATGAGGTCTTGAGAGGTTAAGTGATTAATCCCTGTGTCCTGCTTTTCACTCGTCTTTCTATGACACTAAAAGACAGAGTAAAAGGTATCAAATTGTCATGTTGCACATGGCATACCCCTTCAACAGCAGTGATAGCAAAGCAGATACATGTTCCCTGTTGTTTTAAGAATATGGCCTAAGAATCTTATAGATAATCTAATACCTAAAGGGTATCGCTTTGGTAACTGAATGTCAAAAAGCAGAGGGAGGTGCATATATTCATACAATGTACAAAGAAATGTTCAGTACCACAGAGAAAAAATTTATGTCAGCACTGGAACTCTTGAGAATATTGTACAAAGTCACACAATATAATTACCATATGGAAGACTTTCATTAAGATTATATAGGTTCATAATATATGAAGCACATTTGAAAATGGAAGTCTTGGGTAGGGTCAGCAAAAAGGCATGTGGCATAAAAAGTGTTCTCTGCCAAAAAATTAATTAAATTTCCTAGTTCTGGAAAAGGCCATATATTCTGCATAGACACTCACTGAAAGTCAGATGTGCAGGGCCTTGCAGAGTGTGCCATAATCTATCCATAAATAGGCTTCACCAAGGGATATTGACAGCAATTTGGCATTTGTAACAGTTCCCATAAATGAAGAATTTACTTTGCAATAAATTATGTTAGGGAAAGCGCAGATCTGACAGCTCTTGCTTTACACATCTTTTAATCTTGTTTTGCCCTCCATGTAACAATATAATATATTGTTATATATGAGACCATATTATCAGTCAATCAAGTCAATTACTTGCAATGAAAAAATAATTTTTGTTTTGTTGTGCTTGTCTTTTACTTCCACCAATGTTATTATCCACTTAAGGACATTATATTTTGTAGTGTGAAATTTGTTAGAATGATGAATGGACTTCTTAGGCAAAGATTCACCTCAGGCAACCAACACAAACTAAAATATGTATTAAATTACAAAGTAAAAAGTAAAGACTGAAAATCTTTCTTCAAATGCTATTTTTAAAATTAATTATTTAACACATACTCATGTTTATTTTATTTATATACTGCATCCTATACAAACCACACCTTTAACAAATTAATGTCAAAGCCATATGCAGCTTTAATCTGTACCTCTTTTTTTTTTTCCTTGAAGGTGTTCAAATGAAATTGCTAGTTTCTTCAAGCTGACTAAATATAAGAACATAAACTGTGGAAGCCCATGCTGAATTGCTTGTTTTAGGCAAGACCATTTTTCACCAAATGAGAAAATGAAAATAACCAGAATACTAAAAAGATTTGCAATCAAGTAATATAGAAAAATTAGAAAGACTGGGGCTATAAACCAAAAAAGAAAATAGATAGACATTAGATATCTAGACATTATGACATAGTGTCTGTCTGAATTTAAGTCTAGAAATACTTTCATTTAAAAAAAATAGAAATTATTTTGTGCTTCCAAAAGGGAAAACTGGGATAATTGGATTCAAGTTACAGGAAGCTAGAAAAAGCTGGAAAGTTAAAGATGTCCCAAAATAGGAGCAACCTCTAGACTTTGTGTCCCTGGAATTATTCAAGTGGAGATAAGCAAGTCTTATAAATGGTGTTAAGGGGTGCATGCACAATCTAAGACGGGATTTGTTAACCATTAATCTCTATCCACTCTTAAAATTTCATGACTAATTCAGCAAATATTTATTCTACGCTTCAGGCACTCTACATAAAGAAAAACAGATATAAGGTGATACTTTTATGTGTAAAACTAACAGATTAATTAGTGTTATGAGTATCTTGGTAGAGAATGTGGTGGAGAGGGATATTTGGACTTGAATCCTAATTTCCCAGCAAGCCCTGTCTCAACCGTATTCTCTAGGCACAACTATTTTAGTTCTAAATGCATAGCTCCAAATTAATGCATAAGCCCGTATCTTGCTCTCAAAAAAACTGTTGTCACAGAAAAAGTCCTAAAAACATACAGTGTACACAAATCAATGCATCTTAAATTACCCTTTTTCTTCTCAGTCATTTTACCTCAAAGGCTTTTCTAAGAATAAGGAAACACAAACTCTTAAATAAACTTCTTTTTCTCTACCTGCATTGATTTTTTCCCTCCCAATTTAATTCATATTCTTTTAACATCCTTTCAGTGTCTGTGGTTTTTAATGACATGTTTCCTTCATTTTGTTACTCCTAATTCACCTTTCCAAAATTATTTTGCTTCTTTTTTCTCAAAGATTTTTTTTTTCTCCTTAATTTGGCCTCTTTTCCTATCTGTCTTTTTACTTATCCACTGTTTTCCTTTAGTGGTAAATTGATACAACTGTTTTCCTATTCAAGCATAGCCTCTTTATTTTCCTATAATCCCATGTATAATTTTCATAATTTCCTTTCCTCAAATCTTTAAAAAAATTTGGTTAAATTTTCTTCTTTCTGTGTGAGTTACAAGTGTTTCTGTGCTTCCTTTCCTGCCATTAGATTTGATAAATGTTACAGGATTTGAATTACCAATTTCCTTTTCTGGGGATGAAATTATTTTATATTGATTCAGTTTGTAGTTACAGGTCCTAAATTATTTTAGGAAAAGTAATAAATTATTTCTTATAGAAAATATATTGAGTAGTCTATGAAGCTAATAATGGCCAAGAGCAACAAGCTAAGTAGGGAATAAAAACAGAATAGAGAGAAGTATGGGTGAAGGGAAGGGCCCATGTTCAGGAGAAGAAGACAAAAGGCTGTTTTGTGAACATTCATTCATTTAATCAACATTTAGTGAGTAACAAATACTGTGGACATTGAAGAGCTCATAAAACATAAGGTGGAATCATTGCCCTCTAGTAACTCAAGAGGTGAGCATGAACGAGAGTACTGCTTTCCTGGGGAGAAATGAGGAGAAGCTGTATAAGGCATGTCCCACTTGAGTCAATCCTGAGTGATCTTGTCCCCTCTCAACTTCGCCACCTCTCAGTTTTCTTACCTATTACATAAAATGAATAATAATTTCTAACTCATTGTTTCTTTGTGTGGATGAATCAAGAAAATGGAAGTGAAACTCATTAACATTGTGCCCATACAAAATAAATCCTCAGTACATGGTTGCTGTTATTATTTTTTGTATGTGAATTTTCCAAACAGCCATGAGTAAAGTGCCTTCCAGACGGAGGGACCTAACCGTGCGAAGACCTGTGGACATGAAAGATTGCACCCTCTGGGAAAGATGCAGAGCACAGAGTGCAGTGTGTGCTCAAGGTTAAAACAAAATATAAAGGCAAGGAATATGGGTAGAAGTGAGATCATGAAAGATACTCAATGATCAGAGCTTTATCTAATAGAAAGCCATACATTTCTAAATGAAGATTAATGGTCCAGACTAACATCCATTCCCTTTTCAATTTCTCCCGTATTCCAATGCATTCAAATACAGTAGAAAAATGGAATATGATCTTTTAATGTTCGGTGAAAATGTATGTAAATTGAAATGGTTTGCTTTGTTTATGTACACAGACAAGTCTTAATTCTGCTACCGTTTTAAAGAATACTACAAATAATGCTGCTATACACATACACACCCATAGACACACTATTTTTCTAAGTCATCTGCCAGGAATCTTCCTAGCCCAAAGGTAGCATTTTAGTCATGTGTCTCAAAGAACCTGAGAGAGTCACAAGACTATAAGCAAAGCCTGATACATCAAAACAAGCCCCTGCAGGAGCTGGGAGGACTCGTTTCACTAGTGAAAAAAGAAGTCAAGAAGGCGGGTGCTTCCTGGTGATGACTGAGTGTTCATGTTTTATAGGTTATGACTCTGCTGGAGTTTGAGCCCTGAGGGCCTAGCTCCTTTCAAAATATAGCACCCTGAATGAAGGATATCTTGGACTGAACAAACAGTCCCTAGTCCCCTCTGTCTCCCTCAAATGCCACCAGCTGAGTTGACGAAAGAAAGTTGCAGAAAGTAATTAGCATGCATTCAGCTTTCACATCTGAATGGCATAGCTTTGTAGGGTATTTAGATTTATTAAACTAGCTTATACCTAATTTTCTATAACCAGATGAGTATTATAATTATGTGCATAAAATTTTGTGCAATGCTTTTGAAGATGCAAATGCTATTAAATTTTGAAATAAAATTCACAGAAATATTCCTGTTTTATACTTTCAAAGATGTGTTATATAACGATTGTTTGTAGAATGTTGAAAGTGGCATATTCATACATACAAGTTCCATTTATTTTATACATATTTTGTTGAGGAAACTGCATAGCAACTTTCCCTGAGAATAATATCATTAATTCTTCTAAACTCTATACATTGAGAAAAATCTACCACTGTATAGGGATTTAGGTAATACATAACACGGTGAAACATATAAACTCAAGTTGAACAATTCTTCCATATAGAAGGCTCTGTGTAGTGAATGAATGCACCTTGTAAATGTAAGAGACAGACTATTAATGGAGAATGCAGAAGAGGGGCAGCTACACTGTTTCATGAGAACCACCATACCTGTTGATTAATGGAGAGGCCTTAACAGCACTCTTCTTCCATGCGTCTTGCCATGAGGAAAGGGGAGGAAGGGAAAGGTAGTGATGGCAGCAACACCTGGGGAAGGGAGATGGGGAAATATGTAAAGGGAAAATCAGCAGCCCCTATACAATGGTGTCCATCCATAGACCTCGCCAATAAAACAATTTCCAAAAACCCTGAGTTTGTTTGCTTTCTTTAAAAAAAGAATCTATATAAATTTCAAAGACAATCTAAACAAATTAGTATTTTGAAATGTGTTAATTTGAACAGTCTTTCAACTATGATTCTCCAAATCCAGGGACCCAGTTGGCTGCTACAAAATGAGCCACCATTTTATCCTCATTTTTTAACTAGGCAGGACCTTCACATATGGGCATAACTTTTTTTTACAACAGAAAAAAACTATAAGATGACTCTAATACCAAATAGATATGTATTTTCTTTCTAACATACAGTAGGATTATCATCTCATTCTGTCTCTACCTAGCTGTTATATAACTGTCTCACAATGCACCTTCCTTTTCATGTCCTCCTAAGGACATGTAATTTTGACATGAAAACAACTTCAACTTATTAACTTAATAAAAAAAATTAATTTAACAGAATCCCTATATACTGGAGGAGGTCAAACTAATAAAAGTTTTTAAAATGTTCATGTTTTAATTATATTTTTGTGGACATGGTTTAATCTGGACTATGTATACTTTCAAAAAGTATAAATGCACAGAATTTTATAAAAATAAATTAAATTGTATACCAAACAGTTGATGGCAGTAAATTATTTGAATTTTAATAAAGATTAGTTGTTTTAATAACCTCTGCAATACTACCACTGCAAAACAAACACTGGTACAATTTTTTTCTCTTAGAATTTATTTTAAAAGAAATATTTAACTTTGTATGTTTATATTTAAATGCAAATCATATATAAAAAATGTTTCTCTTAAACTGTTTCTTTAGAAAAGCTTTTATACACAGTGAAGATAAACTTGCAAAAATAGATGTGTATTTTATGAAGAAAAGTAATGTAAAAAAATGAAATATAGGAGAGAATTAATTTTCCTGTGTGTGACTTCATACACAAATATGTTTCTTAGTGTATTAGATACACAAGGGCTAGGACATTGATGAATTTTTCTCTAAAGACAGGGCTATTCATGAATACGTGTTTGCATTCTTGTTTCTAAATGTGAATCTAACCTTTAATCCCAATGTTTGGGAAAGCAGCTATCACAAGGATCATTAGGGTTTGGAAAACAATAATTCTTTTCGTTTAGCCTTAATCCTGTTTAGACAGGGTGTCTCCAAATTTCCCAGTTTTCAACTCCTCTGGTCTTTGACACACTCCTTATGATTAGCCATCGTATCTAGTTAAAATAACATGACCCACCTAAGGCTTAGGCAATAGTATTAGTCAGCCCTTGAGTTGAGAAATTTGGAAACTAATTGGTTGTCATAAGAGATTAACATCAAAGAATTCTGAAGGCATATGTAGCATCTAGGCCCTCTGATGTAAAAGAAACAACTCAAAGTAGCAAACTTAATTTTAAACTGATATTATTGAGCATATACTTTTTGCACCATTGCTTGGGATTCTATAAATTTCTATAATTTTGTATTTAACTTAAAACATTAATTGATATTGCATGTAATATTTTAAAGTTTGAATTCCCCTTCAAAGTTAAAACCTCTGCATTTCAGTAAAATAAAGTTGAAAAAATTAAACCTAATTTTTTGTACATTTAAATATTCCTCAGTGATTATTTTGGGATCAGAATTTTGTCTTTGGAAGAAGCAAATGTGGGAATCTCATAAGCCAAAAACCAAAAAGGAGGAGAATCCACATGCTCTTAATTTGTGGCCAGATCTTGCATCTAGCATGAAATATAGCTTTTTTTTTTTTTTGCATATGAGTTGCTAATATGCTAAGACTTTTATGTATAGAAAATTCTTCCTTTGGCTTTAAGAAGGGTAGATTATTATGGGATAATGAATTAGCAGTGCACTGGGAGAGATTAAAAGTAATGAAAAGTATACTTATGAGAAACTATAAAAAGTAAATATATACACAGAAAACACAGAAAAACACTGATAATTTATTAAGATGTAATAAGCAATATAAAATGATTTCATAAATAGCAGAGTTTATAAATAACCAAAACAACATAGAAGGATAACTCCAAAAAATGAAGCTGGAATCTTAAAGCGTCTAATAAACCAGGAATAGAAAGTTAAACACCGCATGTTCTCACTCACATGTAGAAGCTAAAAAAAGTTGAAATCATGGAAGTAAAAAGTAGAACAGAGGATACTAGAGGTTGGGAAGGGTAGGCAGAGGAGGGGATAGGAAAAAATTTGTTAAAGGATGCAGAATTATAGTTAGATAGGAGGAAAGAAATAGGTTCTAGTGTTCTCTACCACTGCAGAATGACTACAGATAGCACTATTATATTATATAGTTTCACATAGCTAGAAGAAGGACACTGAATGTTCCCAACACAAAGAAATGATAAATGTTTGAGATGATGGACATATGCTAATTACTCTGATGTGATTACTATATACTATATGCATTGAATCATCGCTAGGTACACTATAAATTATTATATGACAATTAAGAAATGAAATAAAATACAAGAATTGATAGAGTAGAGAACTGCAATTTCTGGGTGAAGGAAATATACATTTGATGTATTTGAAAGGTAGAGACCAGGATAATAAAAGCATCCCTCATCCCCATGAGGCATTTGGTATGGACAACGATATGAGTTAGATTTTCACCTGGTAACAATAACAAAGGGAAAATGATCCCTATGATTTATAAAAATAAGTAGTAGATGGAGAGACAGTTTGTGGTTATTATTAAGTGCACTGACGATAAAGAGTTTGTAATAAGTTTTTTTTCCCAAAACGACAGGAATCATCTGTCACAGCAATGAAACAATATGAATCGCATGGAAAACACTATTGGTCTGACCACTCTAGAGTCGGCTTCTTCTAGTTTCCATTCTTGGAAAAATGTATGATCATGGTAGAAGTACAGATATTAAGAGGCTGATAACACAAGGCTGTGGGACTTAGTAAAATAAGCCCAGAGACCATGTGCAACTGTAAGCAGAGAAGGCATTGGTTCATGTCCTCAAGGAATGAGTTCTTTAGCTGGGATAAAAGAATAAGGGGTAAGGCTGGGCGCAGTGGCTCACGCCTGTAATCCCAGCAATTTGGGAGGCCGAGGTGGGCAGATCACCTGAGGTCAGGAGTTTGAGAACAGTCTGGCTAACATGGGAAAACCCCATCCCTACTAAAAGCACAAAAAAATTATCCAAGCATGGTGGTGGGCGCCTGTAATCCCAGCTACTTGGGAGGCTGAGGCAGGAGAGAAATGCTTGAACACAGGAGGTGGAGGTTGCAGTGAGCCAAGATCGTGCCACTGCACTCCAGCCTGGGTGACAGAGCAGGACTCTGTCACACACACACACACACACACACACACACACACACACAAAAGAGATAAGGCGTTAAATACTGAGGTAATTGGGGATTAAAATCAAAGATACAAGAGGAGTAAATGTTATTCACAAGAGAGAGACTGCTTTTCACAGACTGGATAGGATGTGTATAAAAGAATGGCAGCAAAAAAAGAGTTGCTGCAGAAAAGAAAAAAAAAAGTTTATGGAAAGGGAAGTTAAAACATCCTAAGGCAGTGTGGTGGGAGGGAGGTGGGTGAGAGCTGGAGAGTCAGCGAAGTTTGTTCAAACAGGGTGGATTTTGTGGTGGAAAAAACAATAGATGTTGAGAAAAACAACAGAACACATCCTTGATAGGTAGGAGAGACATATTAAACATTAATATGCAATATGTTAATATATTACAGGGAGTTTAGTTAGGCAGTGGGACCCCTGTTCTCTGCTTACGTTATTAAACATTTGTCAAAACCTGGTGTGTCTGGTGTAAGGATACAGGAGAAGAGATTATTCCCCTGCTGCATAAATATTCCTGATGACAGTATTGTTTTCCTTATCCTATCAGTAAGGTCTGTCTTAAAAGTAAATTTTCTCTTACAATTGGAAAAATCAGAGATTTTCATTCTGGGTCTGACTCTCGAACTTTCCCACAGTCTGTCATGGTTATACTCAGGGCTTCTGCAACCATAGATAGTCTAGCATATTCCTCAGGGGAGGCCATGCTTTAGGCAGAGACATTTCAGATTTTCTTGCTAGTAGTGGCTGAATAATCGTCAAAAAGGGCATTTTAATAATCATAATGTCCATAATGTTATAGGCAGGGCTGGAGTGTGGAGAGGTCACCTTGATTGTTGGCACTAACTGTGGCCCGATGGAATTAAGATCAGCCTTGGGTGGCGGCAGGATTGGCAACACGGAGAGAAGGAATCTGGAAACCTTTGCAAAGGAGGAATGTCACATGTTTTCACAGGAATCAGGAAACTGCAGATATGCTAGTGCCTGATTTCCTTTTAAAGTGAAGAACAAACAGTATTTTCAAATTACAAAGTGCATAATCATGTAAACCCTGGGTGAGCTTATCAGTCAGGACATAAATGAGACCACATTAAAAAAAATAAATAGAGAATACTTGTTTAAAAAAAAAGCGTTGTGTAGGCATGACCTGAAGCATTTTTTGAAAATTAGTAAGAATTATAAATGAGTTAAAAGAATAATTATGAATTCTATATACAGCTCATTTATTAGGCATTAATAGTGTTTCTAGTATTCCTGAGATTTAAAAGAATAAGTTGCATAGCTTAATGGCAGTAAAAATCAACTGAGTAAAATTTTAAATTTTAAAAGTGTTTAAAATTACCAGCTTTAATAAGCAATTATACAATGAAGAAATTTGTGAGTAATATTTAAAAATTAGGTGTAAATCTAAGCTACTGAATTATATTACAATTGGATTTGAGATAATATACATGCACACACATATATGAAAAGTTGAAGTATGCTGTATTAATAGTAGCATATGTTTAAAATTTCTTAAATCTAGAGTAAATACATAAAATATTATTTTATTTTTCCTTCTAACTGAAGATGCTCATTAATCTTATTTAATATGACATGCTTCTTTTTAAAAGTTAATTTAATTTTCATGACAATTAGAATGTTGCTTTCCATAACTGGAGCTGAGATATATTTTTCTTAGGTGACAACTTTATTAAAATTTCAAGATTTAGTTGCATTAAAAACATTGTAAAACACTATCGGCAAATGTATAATATTTTGCTTAATTGATTTCAAATTTCTAAATTTCACAAGCCTGCTCCCTAAAAATCTCACAATGTATAACCACAATAGCATAACCCACTATGTCCTTTATAAAAGCTAATAACCTACCTGGATACCTAGTTAACTGTTGACTATTGTATTGAGTAATATTTGCTTACAATTTAATTTTAATTAATACATGATTTTACACAATGGACATAATGAATATTCTAAGTTTACTTTTATTCTAACTAATATATGTGCAATGAGTTTTGCTCATTATCTTCCTGACTTACAGTTGTTTGTTAGAATAAGTTTGTAAAATAACGGAAAACCTAAGTCCTCACTAGAACATTTACAGTCTCCCCCACTGGATTGGTTTATTAGTTTGATTATTCAGTTTTGTCAATCAAATATTTAATGGGTGCCAGAGGTTAATTTAGTCAGTGGTCCTATGTGTTTGGTTTTCAAGCCTCCTTTACACTTTAAAAATTATAGAGGACCCTAAAGAGCTTTTGCTTATGTGGGGTATATCTGCTGATATTCATCATATTCAACATTAAAATAAAAACACTTTTAAAATAATTAGTTATATATATGTTTGAAAATAGTCACAATAAATTCATTATATGCTGACAAAAATAATATATTTTAATAGAAAATTACTATATTTAAAAAAAGTGAGAAGAATGACATTATTTGACACTTTTGCACATCTCTTGAATGATTATCTTACTAGAGGATATCTGGATTATCCTATCCGCTCTGAATTCAATCTGTTGCACTGACACAGAGCATGTAGCCTCAGGAAAATTCTTTTGTGCACTTATGAGAATGAGAATTGAAAGAGCAAATGATATCCTAATATTGTCAGGAAATGATTTTGAGTCCTGGAGTTTTGAGATCACTTGGCTTTAAGAACTGCCAGCTTAAGCTCCTTCAATATTGAGTGGAATAAAAAAAATAATAATCCTGCCCTCACGGAGGCCACACTGGAGCAAGAAGAGTGATACATAAATTTTTAAGACCCTAATATGACATATGCTAGTACCAAGATGTGTTATGCAAAGAGCTATGGAAGAGGTGGTGAGCAACAGTTCCACAAAAGAGACCAAACTTGCAGTAAAGTTTAAAGCAGAGGTGTCCAATCTTTTGGCTTCCCTGGGCCACACTGGAAAAAAAATTGTCTTGGGCCACACATAAAATACACTAACAGTAATGATAGCTGATGAGCTAAAAAAAAAAAAACAGCAAAAAAAAATCTCATAATGTTTTAAGAAAGTTTACAAATGTGTTTTGGACCACACTCAAAGTCATCCTGGGCCACGAGTTGGACAAGTTTGGTTTAAAGGAAGAGTTGGCCAGCAGTGAAGAGATGCAGGCGAAAGAGGTTAAGACCACTCTGATGAAAGAAAGGCATGGCTAGATATAGCATGATGTAATGGGAAGAACATGGTTTGGTTTTGTTTTGTTTTGACAGATTTTGTTCAAACTGCATTTCAGCCACTCACTGGCTGCATGACTTTAAGCAAGTCACTTAAATACTGTAATCCTTAGTTTGCTCACTGGTGAAATAATAAAACCTACATAATAAAAATGCAGTGAGAATTAAGTGAGATGAAATATGCAAAGTATTTTCACGTGACAGTTAATTAGCACACCAGTAATATATTGATTTTGTTGCATATTTAAAGAGAGTGAATTGGTTATCATGCTGAGAGCTTAGGGTGCAGTGAGGTGGTGAAGAGAGGACTGAAGTTTATAACTGAAGTTATAAACAAGGGTGAAAAGGGCAGCAATGAAGCAGAATTGATATGGAGGTTCAAGATGAATGAAAGTGATTTAAAAATAGAAATATGATAATATCCAATAAACTACCTTGGAAACTCAGAGAATTATTTCTTATGCAGGTTTTTGCAAACCCATAGCAAATCTTGATTTCCACCCAGTGTCACCCTATGTTCTCCCAGGGAAAAAGGAAAAACAAACTGTAATTTTCAAAAAGTATTCCAGGATATTCATAAAAATAGAATGAAATGTGTAAAGAGTAGCATAGTCAGGAAAAAAAAAAAAAACACTTACTCAAGACAGAAATTTAACCTACCTCTTCCATTGCTTAGGTAGGTTGTCTATACCTGAATCTTGCAGCTGTCTTTGAAATTAGATTTCAACAATATTTTAGTAATAAGTAAATTAATGAATGAATATGTAAATAAATACATACTTCAACGTGTATCACCAATGTAGTAAGAATTCAAATTTGCAATTGTGATGTTCTTAACCTGGGTTACTCATAAAGTTTACTAATCAATACCAACTTATCTAGAAAATAATTTTTTTAAGGGCAAAGTACACAGAGAATGTTAGGACTTTTCTCCATGCTAGGAATGCACCATCATCATGCCATCTTTGATCTTCAAGTCTTTGAGGTCCTCAGATCCTTGAGGGATAGAACATTTAGAAAAACAATTTCTCAACTACAAAATAAAGATTTTCCACTGATGTACCTTAGTTCTGCCAATTAGGACACTGAAGGTAAAAATTTATACCTTGTAGAGAAGCATGATTTTGAAATATAAAGCACACTTCATCAAGGCTCTATAAAGAATTTAGGATTCGCAAATTGAATTTCTTTTTTATACAGTATGTTTTATACTAATCAATAATTTTGACTAATTTCTTTACTAACACAATTCAATGTAGATTAAGTTATAAGAAGAGCAAGCAAAAAATAAATAAAATATTAAAGCATGTGTAATAATGGAAATTGTGAGTAGATCCTTGATTCGAATATTCATTTATTCATTAATTAATTCAAAAATTTATTGAGACTCTACTATATGCAAGACCCTGTCCTAGTTTCGCTGGATATATTATGGTAAACAAGAAAACATGGTCTCCAAACTCATGTCATCAAGTAGCATAAAGTCTAGTAAGGTAGGATATTAAATAAATAAATAAATACAGGCCTCCACCTCACCCAATGTGTTACAAATAATTCTATAAATTATTTTCAAAAGAATTTTGTTTTAAAAATTACATATCTTAAAACTTAAACCAAGCTCTTTATTTTATAACTTCTCACATCCTGACCTTGTAAATACTGAGAGCAAAGGTTATATCCACCTAGACAGGTTTCTAACTCCACCTAGCACACATATCTAGGATTTACAAAGGACTGTCTGAATAGCTAAACTTAGTATTAGATAGTAAATTTTACCTCATTTTTTGGTCTCATGTATATGTCCAGGTATGGGAGGGCAGGTTGTGGAGTAATCAACACAGAGTGAGAATTTCTATATTTCCACTTTAAACAGTAGAATAAAATAAAATACCCTTATTCAACCATTCACTACTAAAGCACAATTTGCTTATAGGTTCTTCTTTGAAATTTCTTGTTTTTACAACTTGTTACCTCCCTCCTCTTACTATCAACTACTGTATTCTAACTTTGCCAAGTCAAACAACAGTTGTCAATTCTGAGTCAATTTAGCCACATAAATGTAATAATCTACTCAAAATTGGGAAACATTCTTTTGTCAAAAACGCTTCAGTCTTGAATAAGATTAGCGGAAGCTATACAAAACCATTTTGAGTTTACCCAAATGAAAATGAAAACAAAATGGATGATTTCCCTCGTAAAGTAGAAATAACACCATTTTGCACTGTTATTTATAATCTTAAACTTCAAGGAATGGTTATTCACAGACATGTAGAATGGAAGAAAAGTAAAACAGTCTGTTCACCCTATCTACTTGAAATACTTTGCACACTGTTCTTAGTTAATGTATTTTAATTTATTTTTAAAATACAAGTTGTTCTTTGACAATAAAGCATCCCAGACACTTACTAAAATTTTTTTAAAATTATTTTCTGCTCACCACATTCATGTACAACTAAAAAGATAAGCAGTGCTCTAAGTTGGAATTCAGTTTATACATGAGAATACCCTTCCAAATACAATCATTTAAATCACACGAACTATCTGTTAACTTTGGGCAGTGCTATTCCCTCAAAGCATATATCTCATTTCATTATGTATGTATATATTCTCAATGTTTTATTTCAAGCCGAAAAAAAATATGGTATACTCTTGAGAAATCTGACAGAAGATAAAACTGCAGGAGCGAGGTACATGTGCACATGTTTTCACACTTCTACAAAATTGCTGATTTCTTCTTATTTCAATCAGCTGCCTGAATTGGTTAACTATCATCAAACTTAATAAACAGCATAAGAGCCTGCTATTATACGTAAAGGACCTGTTCCTTCTCTCCCCTACCATCTATGCTCTTTTATGTCTCAGTTAAGTAATACATTTCCTGGTTGAAGGGAGGGTAAACTTGAGAATAAGCCATATGCCACAAGAATTTCATTGTAAAAATGATGGCTAAGTTTATTTTAAGAATACTGTATAAGAAGAAACTAAATCTTTGTCTTAGTGTACTCTATTTATACATAATGCACAAAAAATATTTTTGTACTATGCTAGTGTATTATTTTGGTTTGCAAAAATATAATTATATAAAATATTAAGTGGCTATAATGTTGGGATTTTTCAAATATCAATGAACATATATCAATCAATGGAAGTTTATTATAAAAAGAATTCTAAAATTACCATTTTATAAAATTTAAATTTCACTGACCAAATACACTGAATTTGTCAATAGAATTTCAATCAAAATCAGTTCAGAAAGTGTGATAATTTTTTTTAAATTCAAGACAAAAAAAGCAATCTACTCTTTAAAATGGGGACCAATACTTTTTAAAACCTAATTCTTGGAAGACAAAGAAAGAGGCTAAACATATTTCAATATGTTAATGCATTTTCAGGCTATTAGTATAACCCTGAGGTTTTTTTTTTGTTTGTTTGTTTTTTTGCCTACCACATCATTACTCTTCAATCTGGGGTAATCATTGATCTTAGATTTCAGGCACGTGCTCATCAACTTTGACCTGTTTTTCCTCTAATGTGAATCCAGTTAAACTTCCTACCTTTAATCGACTCTTCCATTTCTTGCCAATAAAAGAAACAGGTAAAGAAATACATCAAAAGCAGGCCCTGTACATGGAATGCTATCCTCTGTGGGAGGGCAGGTACTTCTGTAATAAATGCTTATTTTAAGTTTTCCTACATCAAATTTAGACTCGTAAAGCCAGGCCATGCATGATTAGAAATGTCAAAGGCATAATTCTAGAGTGATTCCTGCTTTTGAGATCTCATAGCATAACAGCATTCAATTTTACTAGGCATTACAGGAATATTCTCCAATGTGCGTATTAAATTCCTTTATAGAGACAGTTGTGTTGGTACAAGCCATAAATTTGACAAATCATCAGATATATAACTTTCATTCTCACATTTACATTACCAAGTATTTTATGGAGCAATTTTCTTAGTCATGGCAGTGAGACTGTTCAATGATATAAATAAATAAATAAATACTATTTCAACGTAAAACCCTTAGCTCTAAAAGAAAGTAACTATGCTGGAGTCTCACAACAATACAATTCACTATGAAAGAGAATTCAGTTATCAGTAGGGTCTATCTTGGATTGCATCCATGAAAGTTTATTACCAGTAGTATCACAAGGACTTTATTATAGCAAGCAATACAGAAGCCAAGGACAGAATTATGGCTGGATTCCAGTGCTGAGAGAAAGTGCATGAAAAGCCTAATATACCACAATACTGAAATGGTTATTATAAATAACAGGCACATTTACATTGGATTATCATAAGTTTTCAACAGAAACTTAAAATACCAACTGTCAGCACCAGTCCCAGGGCTTGGGGTTTCTTGTTGAGACCTGTTGTTGTGCATTGGCAGTGGCAGGCCTAAGTGCTCCCAGGGATTTTCAGGCTTGCATTAAAAAACAATATCCCTTGTATGGAAAATTAGAGCTTTAGGTGTAAAGGACATTTAGAAATGATGAAGTACTTGAGCAGTCCACTGAAATAGCCTTAAAGCAGTATTTTGAAATACTCTAAAATATATTTGTATATTTTTACCTCAGTATTACAAAAATATAAGGACACACTTTGCTCTGGAGGGGAAAAAGGCATTAGAAGGCAATTAGGAAACTAAAATCTTAAGTTCACCTTACAGGGTTTCTCTGTCAGTATTTTACTTAAAAGATTACATTAAATTTCAGGTTGGCATGTTGAGTAATAAAAGAAAATAACCCAAATTTTAAGGCACATATGTTACAAATTTTATACTGGCCATTTATTAAAGCTTACTGTATTATAAAAATATTACTTGATTTTACAATATAAAAATATCTCAATATATTAAGAGACTGTCAAGTTTGTAATGTATGAAACAATTGATTTTAATTTAATAGAACATGTCCAAAATAAAATCTTTTGGAAAGGATAATTTATTACTCAAAATATTTCCAAGAGGTGTCTCAAACCTGCTTGGCCTAGCCTATCAAGGCTGGTGTGTGTGAGTGTGTGCGTGTGTGTGTGTGTGTGTGTGTGTATGTTTTTCCCCAGTGAGCAGTGCCAGTTCATCCTAAAGTTTGCTCATAAATTTCAGAATGAGTATCCCAAATATACATTAACTTGGAAGTCAAATTCTCTACATGTTGATCCAGGAAATATTTGTCCTAAAATTTGTTTAGAAATGCATATCACGTACAAGTAGATAGTTCATAAAGTCCAATCAATAAGGAGACTAGCTAAATGAAGTACAAAAATATTAAAATGAATCCTTTAGCTCTTGGGAATCAATGGCAGTAAACTTCGTTTAGAAAGAATGTGTGTCTGAGCAATAATGTGGAGCAATATTTCTCAAGCTGCTAAAATGAAAAGAGCTCAGAGGCATACATCTCTCCATGTAGCTATATTACATTTTTTGTTCTTTTTTTCCCCTATTGCTACAAGAGAATTGTCCTAACCACTTCAGAAATGCCCTACCTTATTCTTAGGAAGGAAATGAAAGCCTTACCACTGATTGTAAAATATATATGATAATTACAAAGGAGCAGAATTGGCAGATGAGGGCTGAAAGTTGCTTAATGACGAGGTCAATTATTAGCAAACTACACACGCCATCTTCTCGGTGGAAACAGATATTTTTACTTAATTCTACTTTGAAATATGCATCTTTTCTGCATGTGTGTTCCTAAATAGATGACATGATTCCATATGTCAAATAAAAATCCCATAATACCCTTATATTAGAATAGGAAATTTACAATATTTTAAATGCTAGCTCCAGCTGAGTCATTGATCCACTTTTGTAAGGCATATCCTCTCCTGAACATAAAAAGATTTAATGAGATATGCTTGAGAACAAGGAAACTTGAAAATGTGTTAGTGTGCATAATATAAATTCCCTTTTATTTCTGTCATGCTGGTAATTTCAAAATTATTTTCCATTTTATTTTAATTTGTTACTGTATCCAAGGAAGCTTCTAATTCTTAAGCAAGTTTGAGCAAGTTCAATAATTTAGATCAATTGGCAGGCATAATTAAAATAAATATTCCCTAGGGAGGCAGGAGGAAAGGTTGTGACTTGTGTTGCAGTTAAAAATATTTGTGACCAAGACTCAAAATAGCTAAGATATTTTCTAATTGAATCACATATTATAAAAATCTTATTATTTAAAATGGATTATCTAGCAGTTTTGAAAGCAGTGATATGGATATGGAAATATTTTCCTATATTCAGCAGAGAGAAAAATTTGAAGGAAAAATCTGAGTTTACACATTTAGCTAAAGTTTTTTTGCTTATTTGGAAATTTCCAACATTACTGAGAATATTAGAAGTATTAAATAAATTATTTAATATATTTTACTGCTTACTTTACTGAATGGTTTGCATAATTAAAAAAGTTAATTGCTTTGTTTCCACAATCTTTGGGAGTCATGGGACCAACTCCAGAATCAGGCTCTTAATGCAATATTTTCTTATGCCTCTTCCCATTGAGTTAAGCATCCTCCCTACCTTGGTAGAAGGATACAATGCAGGTGTGTGTATGTCTGTGTGTGTGTGTGTTCTGAATGAACTGCCAATGAATTACAGTCAAAAGCGATATAACTATCAAGTTGAACCATAAATAAAGCATCTGGTATTGATTCTTCTTACCTTATTTTGGGTATATTTCTTTAATTGGCTCATGATACTGAGTTATTATTCTGTTATTCTGAAACAAACAAGCAAATAAAAGCACCTCCCACCAAAATCTATTAGTCTCTTCCCAATTTTTGTGAAGTAAATATTTGACCGTCTGAGTTATAATACCAGGTACCAACATCAAAGCTACAATTTACAGTGGTTCTTGATGATAACATAAATATTGCTTTATGCAAAAAACAAAAAAAAAATGCATTGTGGTTTATAATACACAGATAGAAAGAGAAATTACCTGAAAGATAGGCAGAGCAAAGTTTATTGCCGGCCTTAAACAATGAGACAATAAAAGGCTAAGGGATTTGCTTAAAACTACGCAATAAATCAGTGCTTCTATTAAATATCAAACAAAAACTAAATGTTTTTCTACTTAAATTAGTTTTTAAAATATAAATAATTATAATGGCTACAATAGGTTTTCATAAGCTTTGAATGCAATAACTCAAATATAGCCCTTTGGAGTTAATAGTGGCAAATAATAAATAATAAAAGCTACCATGTATTAAACACTAAGAGTTTTCAGGTATTAACTACAACTTTCCATATCTTCTTCTCACCTTCATCATCTGTAAAATGTCGATATTACCTTGCTTTGAGTGATACTGTAAAGCAAATGATTATGTAGAACCCTCAGGTAGACACCAATATACTATAAAATAATTAATTTACTAATTCAATTATTCCTTGCTCTATTTATCTTTTCTTTTTGTATGTTTAATAAGGATACTATTTTATCATTCTAGTAAATATTTTTGATGGATAGGTTATCCACTTCACGTTGTTCTTTTTTAGTGCTTCTTTCATTTTATGTGTATTTATAAGAGGGAGTGAATACCAATATAATTATAATTTATTTATCTCTGACACTGTGATGACGTGGTGCCTTTAGATTACTTCATGAAGCCTTTTGTGCTCCAATTGTATTGCAATTGGGGTGTTTTGCACTGTGCTCAGAAAATTATCTCAAATAGCCCATAAAAGTTGATTTCTACATTTATAAATTTATTTGGCATAATTAGCAGTTTAAATGGAGACGTGAATAAGGGCTAGGAATTGGTGCCTAATTGGCAGATTCTATCCACACTCTGTGATCGGTGATAATCTTTACAAGGTTTTGCTCACTGCTCTGAATATTTGACGGTTGTCTGTAATCTCAGCCTTTTTGGAACTATTCTGCCACTGCTCACTGAATGATCTTTAGTAATTACTTGATTAATATCTCTGTGAGTTACTGGTTTCTGTCATTTATTATTCCTTAGCAATAAATCCAGGAAAATATATGCAGGTTTCTTAAAGACAGAGCCATTTAGCTTGTAGAAAACAGATGTGATACTATTCATGTTTTCTTTTTCTATAGTTTCATAGAATTATATTTGTTATAAATACTGGAACTTGTTCATGGTAGTTAGAGACCCATGTACTCTTAGTCTAGAGAATTGGAAACCAATAGCGAATTCAAAAGGTGCCAAGAAACTACTTACCTTTACAGCTAAATATGAGGCCAGTAAACATTTCTGGAGGTAAGAAAATAATCATGCATTTAATAAATATTATGAACATTGCAAGTCTGATTTAATGTGGAAAAAGATTGTTGTAGAACTAGTTATCAGCAATTTTAAGGTATCTATAAATAACTCAATATAGTAAAGTAATACTTCAGAATTCAATACTTCTATAAATAACTAAATATACTAAATACTTCACTAAATATAGTAAAGTAATACTTCAGCAATACTTCAGTAATAATGTATCTATAAATAACTGAATATAGTAAAGTAATACTTCAGTAATACTTTAGCATCTTTTATTAATGCTAACTTCCAAAAAATATATGTCCAACTGCACATAAACCTTTGAGGAAGATAGGGCAGTTATTATCATAATTATTGTTCCCATTGTGTAAGTGAAGGAGATAATACATGAATTGACCCAGGTTCTCTTTCTGGAAATGTGATGGAGCTTGAACTAGAACCCAAGATATCTGGCTCCAATTCTTTGCAAATGTACATGTTATATGATACATTACAATACAGTAGAATTGTTATATTTAAGAAGGACTTTTTAAAACTGAAAATATTAAATAGACTCTTCCAGAAGGTATCCCAAAGGAAAAGAGAAACTTGATAGTCAAAAATGACTCAAATATAATGACTTTTGGTAGAGAAACTGAATTATTTAATCTCCAAAAGGTCATAGATAAGGTATTATAAAGAAGAAACTGTGCATGAGATGGTGAGTTTAGGAAAGGCAAAGGAATAGATTATTAGAATGGAGAAATAAAGAAAATATGAAGCCCGAGAGTCAATTTGTGGAAGAGTCCTCTAATTCTCCTTCAAAAATGAAATGACAGAGGAACTGAGAATTTTCATTAAGGTAAAGAAGAGTAATAATGTATTTTCTCTGCTATTTTCAAAAAACTTCAGAAAAAGTTTAAGAAGCTAAATAATCAAGTCAGAAGTCCTGTACTTTGTGTTCTAAAATAAAATGTGGTTACTTAAAAAACACACACACAGGGATCTCTAAACCCATGAGCAATTGACAGAACTAATTTGATAGCTACTTGATCCCGGGGACATAGATAATACTCAGACGTAGGCAGCGAAAGAAAAAGCATACTGGCTTGATTTCACAAAAGAGGATGAAAAGTTTGGGGCTGAAATAGGCAAGAATTAGATTTTAGATCTTCATTATTCTGGGAGAAAGAGATGGACCAATGTTGTCCAGGAAACTAGAAATGCCTCTCAAAATTGAATTCTCAAAGAGCTAGTGAAGGCTGAATACAATTGATCACACTGAATAAAGGGCAGTAAGCTTACGGGGAAAAACTGATAAAATATGGTTCCGTGTGAACACGTTGTTTGCAGTTACCTATTGAAAGATTATGTATGGTTAGATTGCTTCACCCACAGTGAAGGGAAATCGTAAGGACTGGGCCCTAAAACTCCATTTCCTCGAGTATTCATATAATTAAAGATTGAGCTTGTTTTAGGTGAGAATTACCTGAGAATTATGAGCATTTAATTAATGATTTTTGAAATTACACATAAATCTGGAATTGTTTCTTATGCACACAGTTGTGAGTGTCAGATACCACCTACACAAGAGTAACAGCAGGTAACTACCAAGTAAACAACTAAAAAATTGATAGATAGTTGGTGAATGTTTAGAGAGTGGAAAGACACTTTATAGAATGGACCAGAAGCAAGGAGAGAAATGAAGTGTGGTTATATAAGCAGGCCTAAAGCTATTATTGAAAAAAATCCTTTATATATTTTAAGAAAGAATATGCAAAATCCTTAATAGATGACCCTAAAGACAAGAGAAAACAAACAAACAATAACAACAAGCGTAAGTTAGAGACACAAGATTGTGGTTAGTAGCGGACACTGAAAGAAGCACTGAATCTAGGGAGCAAAAGCAATGTGTTTTTCAGATGACCTCAAAGATAGTTTTGTTTCTGCAAGCCTCATCAGGCCTCAGTGTGTGGATTAAGAAACTCCTGGCCAGGTGCAGTGGCTCACACCTGTACTCCCAGCACTTTGGGAGGCCAAGGCAGGCAGATCACGAGGTCAGGGGATCGAGACCATCCTGGCTAACACGGTGAAACCCTGTCTCTACTAAAAATACAAAAATTAGCTGGGTGTGGTAGCATGCGCCTGTAGTCCCAGCTACTTGGGAGCCTGAGGCAGGAGAATTGCCTGAACCCAGGAAGCGGAGGTTGCAGTGAGCCGAGATCAGGCCACTGCACTCCAGCCTGGCGACAGAGCAAGACTCTGTCTCAAAAAAAAAAAAGAAAGAAAGAAAGAAAGAAACTCCTCCTCTGATTCCATCCTCCTCTTTAGGCAACATTTTAAGAGCTACTCTGATTTTCCTTGGCTCTCCTTAAAGAAAGGGTATTGCTTTGAAGAGGAGGCAGAGACTTTCTTATCTACTGAATGGGATATTCTCCTGTTCTAAGTTCAATAAACCGTTGTTACAGTTTGACATTAGGATCTTGTAATATTGTCGAGACTTGGTTATCATGCTTGGCTCTGTACAATTCTGAGGCCGTGATAAAATTGTGTTTTATGGATCTAGAAAGCAGTTTACAGATACCACCCAGAGGCCACTCTGTAATCAGCCAGGTAGCCTGCTCTTGTCACATACCACATTTACATACATTCTATTTAATGTTCCAGGACAATGGGGAGTGCATACACATGTCAAAAAATGGACATTAGTAGAGATTTTCCATGAAACAAATATACATATGAGTGATTAAATGGGAGTTGCATTTTTTACTTGGAAATTATTTTGTAGCAATTGTTTAGATTATCTTGAACTGGAAGACTTTTTATCGATATAGTGCTTATACATAACTCCTATAAAGCAAAAATGAACACAAAGAAATAATAAATTTATGTGACATTGGTGGTTTCATTTCTTTAGGTTAAAAACAACATTAAAAGTGATATCTTCCTGACAAATCATTATTAGTATGACTTTGCATACAACATATTTGGAAGCATTTCTTTCCTTGGATGGTGCACTAGCTGTGGTAGACATCAGTGACGTGACATTTCTGTGGTGCTATGCAAACATCAAATGGACTGGAATTAGTCCTTTTACTATACAATTTGAATTTATTTCTCATTCAGATTCTATTTCCGTGATTTATGTTTTGAAGCACACCTACTTACATAGTATTACTGACAACTGATAGTACTGTTACAATGTCAAGAATCTTAAAATCACAAAATAATTTTGTATGATGACCAGGAAATGTTATAAATTATTAGATCTCACCATAAATGTAGTTAGTCACATATTCTTTTAATTTTAAGTAAGTAAAATGGTCAAATAATTGCATAGTATAAAATAAAATATAAAAGTCATACTAGAGGACAAAACTAATTTAATGAATCAGTATTATATCACTCAAGAAAAGACAGCAAAAGCTATTACACAGAAATGTCACACTCATGGTACGTTCTGAAAATTTTGTAAAAAAAAAAAAAAAAAAGTCCTGAAAAATAGAAGCATAAGGTGATTAGAAATTCTTTAAGACTGATATCAAGGGATGCCACTATGCCCCGGCCTCTGATAATGATGTTACAATGGACTTGGTGACCTGAGAAAGAAGTTCTCAAGTGTGTTCTTAATTCCATTTTCTGGTCTCCAGTTTTCTGAGTTGTCTCAATTCTGTTAAATCTGTATCAGCAACATTGGGCCCTTACTTACTACATATATATATTTATATATATATTTTTTTGAGATGGAGTTTCGCTCTCGTTGCCCAGGCTGGAGTGCAATGGCATGATCTCACTCACTGCAACCTCCACCTCCCGGGTTCAAGCGATTCTCCTGTCTCAGCCTCCCGCGTAGCTGGGATTACAAGCATGTGCCACCACGACCAGCTAATTTTGTATTTTTAATACAAACAGGGTTTCTCCATGTTGGTCAGGCTGGTCTTGAACTCCTGACCTCAGGTGATCCACCAGCCTGGGCCTCCCAAAGTGCTGGGATTACAGGTGCGAGCCGCCATGCCCGACCAGTACATATTAACTTTAATTCAACTTCTTTTTTTCTTTTGGACATGTCTATGGAAGGATAATTCCAGAAGTATCATGCAACGGTAGCCAAGGCACAGGTCCTGTCTTTAAGCAGTTTATGGTATAGTGGGGAAAAGGGGTGGTAAAAACACAAAATACCTCCCATGCAAATGTCCTAACTCTCTTCATTAATCAATATCTACATGATCCCACAGGTCTACTTCTTTATCTTCATCTCTGCAGGACTAGATATTTGATAGTTACTACTTTCCCAATGCTAACTTCTTCATTTATCCTGTCATATTTTGTTTGTTTCAGTTTTTATTTTTTTGTTTGTTTGTGTTCTGTTTTTTTTAGAGACAGGGTCTCAGTCTGTCACTCAGGCTGGAGTGCACTGGCACACAAAAAGCTCACTGCAGCCTGGGACTTCTGGGCACAAACCCTCCTCACGCATCAACCTCCAAAGTGGCTAGGACTACAGGCATGTGCCACCACATCTGGCAAATTTTTAAACTTTTTTTTTTTTGCAGAGACAGGGTCTCACTCTGTTGCCCAGGCGAGTCTGGAACTCCCGGGCACAAGCAATCCACCCACCTCAGCCTCTCAAAGTGCTGCAATTACAGGCATTAGCCACCTTGCCCAGCCTGATTTTGTTTTTAATATATTTCACAGTCACATTCGCTGAAACTTACTTCTCCCTTATTCTCTTATATTTCAGTACTTTTCAACATTCTGTTTGGATAACGTCACTTATCTGGTGCCAAATACTTAAATCGTAGTCTGATCTATTCCCAGGAATTCAGCATTACCAGTGTTCTGACTCCTAAAGCTACATTCTTCTGCTTATCTATACTCACAAATTTCAGATCTATATCCTGTTAAATATCACTTGCATTTTTCAAAGATACCTTAAGTACAGGATATCTTAACCAGAATCATTCCAAGGAAAATGTGCTGCTCTTTCCACTTTTCCAAGGTTGGCAAATGGCACCACTTTTTCCTCACCCTCTCGGGTAGGTATCTTTGGTATCTCCCACTGTTCTCCATAGCCTTATCCACATTTCTGCTTAGCAAATCCCTACTTTTCCACCCTTCAAACCACGGCTATGATTTTTTGTAACCCACACTCAAGTCCTCCTCTACTTCTTGTAGCATATAATCAGTCTCTCCATATAATGCCTCTCATGCCTTTACTTTTAAACATCAAATCTGTACACGCCTTTCTCTCTGACAATATTTAAATGCTTAGCAAACAGAGCCTGTGTCATTCACCTTTGAGTCCATAAAAATTTGCATAAAATAAATACTCAACAAATGGTCATTGAATTTTACTCAATGGATTCTTATAACACTCTACATTCTCTGTTCACTGTATAAAATTTCAGCTATAGCTGCTAGGACCTTTGGCTACAAATGCTGCCTTGGTGAAATGTGGCCTCATAAGGAACTGAAACAATGGACACAATTCAGCATTGGGCACTGGGGTTCTGAGGAATGCAACCTCAGAAATGCATACCGCTCTCAGATCATATAGGGCTTCCTAACAACTTCATTAATGTAGACGCTAAGCATTGAGGATCAGAAATAAAACCATGGGAGATATATTTTCAAGCAGAAATGAAGAAGATTTTTAAATAGCTGGATACTATCCTATTGTCTGTTTACTTCCAAAACATACCACTAATCACAGATTTTATTTATACATATAGTATCAAAAATTAATTTCCTTTAACATTATCATATGTTAGTAGTTGAAACTCTGTTCCAGAGGAGGCATTTAAATTTGCATGCATTTCAGATATTTTCTCATTCTTATAACGAACTTACAATTATATTTTCTGGACAATAATGAGAAGACATACATGATAATGAGACTTAATGCCAAAAAATCTACCTGCGTATATTAAGTAAAATTTATCAGAGACAAGATTTAAAAACAAAGCAACCTATTGTCTATATTTCAGTATAAAGGGATTGTAATATAAATACCTGTATGCTTAACTTGAATCTTGAAATAACAATTACAAAAACAATTTGCAACTGCCACAGAAGAAATGGGTTTTCTTAAAAATAAATATAATGTAATCCAATCTACTCTACTCTAATGTAATTTAATCATCTATTTAATTTGAGTAATACAACTGGTCTTCTGAAAATAAATAACAATGACTTCAAAAGATTATTTACGGGTTATTATTGAGTTTGAAAGGCCTTATTTACAGCACACATATTTTTAGTAATTATCCATGTTTATAAGCAGAGAGAAAAGAAAGACACAAAATTAATCTATTTTATAGTTTAGATCTGGATTTAGTTTCTGCTGCCAATTTCATCAAGGATAAATTTTAGAGTTTTTGAACTAATTGTGTTTAGCATTAAAAAATGAAAAAAGGAAAAAAGAAGACATAAAAAGGTAACAGTAACTCAATTAGAAAAATAAAACAAATAATCTGAATTTATTTGGCTTCAAATGAAGCCTCCAGGCCAGTATAATAATTGTTTTTAAATATATCAAAGATGAGTAGATAAAGAGAGAGGATGTGCAGCCAAAGAACATTTCATGGCCTTCTTCCTGTCCAACATTTGATTTATAAAATAAAAATTTTCAAAACTTGCGTCTATAATTGTTTCTTCCGTATAATTTTCCATTCCCTCCTCTGTACCTCACACCACTCTGAACTTCTCTAATGAGCTTACTATTTTTTCATTATAATTAAGTTACTGTGATCAAGGTTGTATCTCTTGAGCATAAAAACTTCCATCTTAAAGGCCGAGATTCTTTCTCCTTTACTTAAATTTCCTCAGAAAGCCTTGGTCATATTTTATTTTCAGTATTGGTTTGTTGAATCAAAATGAATAAACACAGCTTTGACACTATATAATTGCCCCATGAAACAAGAGACACCTATTGTTCTACTTTGCTTTATTAGCAAAGCAAAAAATACTTTACTTATTAAAAACCTGCAAGAGAAGAGGTAACAATGGAAAGTATTTTACCTTAGAAGAGGAATATTGAGATAAAATGGTTTCTCAATAGGTCGTCTAACCTCTGAGGTTGAGAGTACTAACTTGCTGGGCAGGGTGGCTCATGTCTATGATCCTAGCACTTTGGAGGGCCAAGATGGAAGGATCCCCTGATTCCAGGAGTTTGAGAACAGCCTTGAACAGGTGCATGACTGTAATCCCAGTTACTTAGTAGGATAAGGTGAGAGAATCGCTTGAGCCCAGGAGGTCGAGGCTGTAGTGAGCCAAGAATGTGCCACTGCACTCTGGCCAGGGCTACAGAGCAAGACCTTACATTAAAAAATAAAAATAAAAAAAAGACTACTAAACTTAAATATACTTAAACAGTCAAGATCCACAGTTCCTTTACCAAATAGAAGATGCTTAAGAGTGTTATATTTTAGCAGCACAAGGTTTTTTTGTTTTTTGGTTTTTTTTATTGATCATTCTTGGGTGTTTCTCGCAGAGGGGGATTTGGCAGGGTCATAGGACAATAGTGGAGGGAAGGTCAGCAGATAAACAAGTGAACAAAGGTCTCTGGTTTTCCTAGGCAGAGGACCCTGCGGCCTTCCACAGTGTTTGTGTCCCTGGGTACTTGAGATTAGAGAGTGGTGATGACTCTTAACGAGCATGCTGCCTTCAAGCATCTGTTTAACAAAGCACATCTTGCACCGCCCTTAATCCATTTAACCCTGAGTGGGCACAGCACATGTTTCAGAGAGCACAGGGTTGGGGGTAAGGTCATAGATCAACAGGATCCCAAGGCAGAAGAATTTTTCTTAGTACAGAACAAAATGAAAAGTCTCCCATGTCTACTTCTTTCTACACAGACACAGCAACCATCCGATTTCTCAATCTTTTCCCCACCTTTCCCCCTTTTCTATTCCACAAAACCGCCATTGTCATCATGGCCCGTTCTCAATGAGCTGTTGGGTACACCTCCCAGACGGGGTGGTGGCCGGGCAGACGGGCTCCTCACAGCACAAGGTTTTTTTATACATAAATCTGGCAATAACATCAGAGGAAGAATAGAATTATATGTAATCTATAAGCAAAAAGAATTCACAGGAAAGACTGAGATAACACCTTAACTAAATAAGGAACTAAAACAATCAAATGTATTATCAACAAGTGCTGAAATTCACACAAGCAAAAGCTTTGGGAGTCTGGAGGTAACAAAACCACTAACTGACCTCCAAAGTCACTTTGAGATTTGATGAGCGCTCATTCCCTCCTCAAATGTCATAAGGGTTCAGCAAAGTGATCTAGTTTAAAAGGACCAAATTAGAATAAAAGGGTAATACGGCCACACATTTTATCAGAGTTAATTATTAATATTGAGATTAGAAAAGAAAGGACTGAGAATCTGGTAAGCATACTAATTGGACATTATTTTCAGCTAATTTTCCCTGTTAATGTGAATAATTTGCAGCACTTTAAAGGGAGGTGTACACCTGAAAAATAATGCATTCAACTAGAACACTTAAAAAAAGAGAAAAGAATGTAGAAAGACCATAATGACATCTCCCTACCTTGAATGACAAAGAACACAAAGAGTCGGTTGGTTTGATGCCAAGAGATAGAAGACTTCCTTCCCCTCATTTTAGGTCCTTGCTATATTTATAAGTCACTAGTCATGAGTACTACCCTATGGTACTCGAAACAAAAGAAAAAAAACTAACTGGAAAATATTTAAGGTGAGAATATAATTTATACTGGTAATTTAAAAATGCTAAATTTGTGAGGCTGAGCATTTTATGAAGTCCTCATGACTAAGCCATTGTATTATATCAAATTTACCTAAAGTTGGCTGGGTGTGGTGGCTCACGCCTGTAATCCCAGCACTTTGGGAGGCTGAGGCAGGCAGATCACGAAGTCAGGAGTTGGAGACCATCCTAGCTAACATGGTGAAACCCTGTCTCTACTAAAAATACAAAAAATTAGCCGAGTGTGGTGGCGGGCGCCTATAGTCCCAGCTACTCTGGAGGCTGAGGCAGCAGAATGGTTTGAACGCAGGAGGCGGAACTTGCGGTGAGCCGAGATTGTGCCACTGCACTCCAGCCTGGGTGGCAGAGTGAGACTCCATCTCAAAAAAAAAAAACGACCTAAAGTTAATAATAATCCCAACTATTTATCATTGTTATTTAAATAATAATGGTAAAACATTTTATCAATTAATATAGTGAAAATACAACTTATTACTTATTTATAAATTATTGCATATTATTGTCTCATTTAGTTCCTTCTGCAATCCTATGATTTGCAATTGAACAAACTGAAGCTAAGAGGGGTTAGAAAATAATACTCCTTGTAGGAGGTAAAGCCAGGATTCAAACTGAGGTCATCAGATTTCAAAGCTTGTTTTGTAAACCAGTAGATTCTACTTACAGCACTGCCAATTCTTCTCTAGGACAGTACCTTCTTTAGACTCTTTTAGATTGTACTGCTCATTTTACTAGACAGCTGAGAAGCCACTATAGCACACATTTTAATTAGTTGAGTTCTGGCTTAGAGACAGTCTCTATAATCCATCTCTCTATATATTACTATGAAGAAATTCAAAGTGAATAGCACCCTCCCAAAGTGGTGGCATACAGACTTTTGGGGGATACTTGGGAGGTATAGAGCCATGTCACAATTGACAGGAAAGGTGAAAACAATTGCAGCCTCAGTCAGACACTGGCAACTAGGGTGGCACAGAGAAATGCAAAACTGTGAAAATGAATCCTTAGCAAGTCATGTTAGTCTCTTTCTGCAGAAGACGAAAAAAGGTATGACAGGTATTTGGTATTTTAGGTATTGTGCTTATGCCATTAAAAAGTATATGAGGATCTTTGGAAAGATGGAAGAGGCAGCCTTGCTAGAGAAGTTTGCTCAATCTACGTGAAATCAGCACAAACCAATAACTAGACAACTTTGCCTGACAGATGCCTGCTTGAAAATTGGGAGACAGGAGAAAAGGAGAGAGAAAGAGGAGGTCCTTTATCTCATACAAAGATATGCCTTTGGTCTCTATGCTCATTACACTTGGCCATTTAAAATTAGTGGCTTATTCTCAATGATATTTCAAATACACTGTCTAAAAGCAATATGAAAAGTCCATGTTTTACTGCAGCATGTTTAAATAATCAAGGACAAGGTATAATGCATGTAGAATGAAGAGATGAAGGAAATGGAATGAATCAAACAGTTGAGCTTAGCTTATATAAGTGTGACAAAGTAAGGAAGTTTGGAAAGGGAAAGTTCAAAAATATTCATGTATAAAGTCAAAAGTATTATTTAAAGATCTGAGAAAATCAAGAGGCATAAAATGAATTAGGGATTTAGAGTGGCCAAATTTCGAACCTCATTTAACTTGTTATAAACCTGGTTTATGGATCATCTGCTGTTTTTTTTTTAATTTATTTTTATGGTGTGATATTTAAGAAAGTCTACCTACAGAAAAATATATATTATTTCCTACCTTTTTTTTTTCATTTGTACTCTGACCAAAGTTCACATTGTTAAGTAAGAAAACACATGTGCTTATTCTATTGTGAAATGTCTTAATCATAATTCATGTATTTCAAGGGCATTGCACCCAGGGCTTGATCAGATCTACAGATGGTTCTTGCATAGTGGGATCTGAAGGAGGCTCCACAGCTGTCTCCCACACTGGCCTACTATGGTGCCAACATTTCCACCCACCTGGCCAGAAATCACACCATTTGATTCAGTCCACTCCTTTGATTTATGTAATAAATGCATTTTCTACTATTAAAATGCACTTGCTGTGTGGGTTCAGAGAAAGGCCCTAGAATCACTACTGGCCTGCCCACATTAACATACATTGTCAAATTCACTCACTATCTTACTATGAGACAAATGTCTCCATTCTATAGCATAAAAGATACAAGAAAAATTGAATGTAAGAGAATCACAGATTATTGGACCTGGAACCGAGTAAGATTTCAGAGTTGATTTATCAATTTCCTTAGACAGTAGCCTACCCAATGCTGATGGCAAAATTGAGATGAGAAGCCAAGCAAGGTGTTTTCTATATCTGAGCTTATTAAACACTAATTATCATAAAGACTTACATAGCAAAGGCAAACTGGCTTTGCAAAGATAATTTAGAGGGGGCTTTGGAAAGATCAAGTAGGTCATGGCATGAAGGTAGGGACCAGGATAAATACAATAGACCTAAAGAAACCATTGTATACCACTCCAAGAGAAAGTCTGAAGACTACTGCGTAATTAAAATAAGAGCAAACTCTTGCACAGTCAATGCTTGCCTTGAATGAGATGGTGCTTTTAAGCCTAATGTTTGGTTTTTAACTTGAATTACCAATCCATTGCAATATGCATCAATTATTCTAACATTTTCATTGTCAAATGTTTGTATTACCTATTTCCCCCATAAACTCTATATGAATTATTACTTTATTGCTAAATGTATTTTAATGAAACAAATAACCAATTTCCTCAATCTTTGATTAGATTGATATTAAAAGATTAGCATGAAATTATCATAATGATGATAATTAAAGGCAAAGAAATATATATTAGTAATCTTTGTCACAAATAAATGTATAACTAATAAGGTTTTCTTAAAATATTTTTTAAATGGGGTAATTTCTAGTGTTACTTTCCAGGGACCTGTGGCATTCTACAGATTTGGAACTTTAAAATGGTGGATCTCATTCTACATTATTAGATTCCGGTGGTAAGAAATTATATTTATTCTTATGGTATATTCTTTTTCCTTAGCTAATAAGAGAATAAAACCTCATTCTACATTTGGCGGTAATGTGTTTTAGAATATAGCGTAAAGCTTGTTAAACAGGGAATTAATACACAGGCCCTTTGAATGAAATTGTATTCATCATACTACAGTACAGAAGGAAGATAACGCTTTTGTAAAATGTAAGTACATTTCACTTAAATTTTCTTGTTTCTGTTCCTTCTCTGCATTTGTGAAAATGTATTTTTATCATTAGCTATCCTAACTTATTCCTGGTTTGTTAGCATGACATTGGAATTTTACTTGTTATTGCACTAGAAATTATCTTCTAAACTTTACAATGAAAGTTAATCCCAAACACTTGCTGATAACTGCATTGTTTCACATAGGTTAAAATTCAAGAAAAATGTTTGAGGTAATAATAATTAGGAACTAGCACAGCATCCAAAATGGTATTTTAATGGAAAATCCAAATGAAAATCCAATACAAATCCTGATTAAAACCTAGCCAAGCAAAAAACTACAGATTACCTGGATTCCAATTAAATGTGACAAATGAATACTTGACAGGTTTCAATTCCAATTCTATTTATGTCAGAATGATCCATTAATACTGAAGATGAAATTACCAGAATTTAAGCAACACAATTGCACTTTATGGCTAGATGAGTAGTCTGAAAACACGGACCCAACAAATTTGTTACTCAAAGGTCAACTGCTACATTTAGATCAGCCACAGTGCATCGCATCTCATTTTGTCATTACCTATAGATCAAGGCTAACATGAATCACAGCCAGTAGATGACAAATGGTCATATAAACTCTGACTTTCAAGTGTTGGTCACATACAAAATCAGGAAAGATCCGTTACATTATCATGACCCTTGCTTTTGACAGGCCTTAAAAACTTGGTTCTAAAAAAGAATTAAAAGTCGTTTTTTGGAACTCTTTCTCAGTATACTTTATATTTTATTAACAAGCTCACCTGTTAAGTTTTCCATGACATGTGTGTTTCCTAAAAGGTAACCGATATGTGTTTGTCATATATAATTATCTTTTAATTATTCATCATTTCTTTCTTATTTTAAAGGTGATGAATCCCCATAAACTCATAAAACAGAAACTAACATTAAAAAATGATTATAATGCCAGTGGTGCAAAGTCCTTTTTTAATAAAGCTGACATCCAAAAAATAAAGATTTAATTGTACATTCTGTGCTTTACAGTAAGAATAAGCACTTTTAAAAACACAAACAAAATTATATGTTCTCATGAACAGGTAATCTCAGATGTAGTAATACCCCTAAATTAAATTAATCCTGCCTTCCTAGGTATGCTCTATTTATCATCTATCTATATTAAAAATACTGTAATTACATACATATGTACATATAAGTAATTATATGTACTATATACATATTATATATTACATATATCACACATACGTAATTACACGTTACACATATGTAACGTAATACACTATAGTACATGTGACTACATACATGCAATTACATGTGGCTACATACATGTAATTACATAATTATCTTTTAATTATTCATCACTTATTTCTTATTTTAAAGGTGATGAATCCCCATAAACTCATAAAACAGAAACTAACATTGAAAAATGATTATAATGCCAGGGGTACAAAGTCCTTTTTTAATAAAGCTGACATCCAAATTACATATGTAATTACATAGTATGTATGTAATTACAGTATTTTTAGTTTAATTTCTTTTTCCAAATAATTTTAAACATATCTGCCTTAAATATATATTCATCAGCATTGCAATTCATACCAAAATTATATGCCCATTAAAAAAATTACTAAAAAAAATGTAACTCTTAGAAACCACACCAGACTCCCATCCACATAAGCACACACCACCATACACACAGATAAGCATGCTTTTATAGCCATAAGGCAAAATGCCATTTTAACTCTGCAAAATTAATCAAGAGGGACGTCAATCATCAGACCCTGATATCATATTTTCTTAACCAAGAACAATGTGGATAAATAATTATTTAGCATAATATAATTTAGCAATACTTTCATTTGGGGTCCTTTATAATATATTATATTCTAATATTGGATTTTAATATTCATAGGTAAACTTACAGAAGAAAATCAGTCTTTCTCCTGCATTAATATGCTCTACTTGCATATATATCAGCACTAAAGAAACGGATATATAACAAAAAGTTAGAGCGTCTTATGTCACTCGGGGGTTGAGATGGCAAAAGACATAAATCCACTGCAAGTTTTACTAGGGATAAAATGTGTGTGATTCCTTTCCTTTCTCTCTGTTTAACCATCTCTCTCTTCATATTTGAAAGAATAATGAAGTTAGGATGAATTTTACCATTCCATTATTTGACACAAACCTATTCCTCAGGCATTTACTTATGACTCAAAATCCAGAAAATAAATCACCAAATTATCTCTGGGAATATAAACAAATGTGGAAAGTTTTATAAGTGCTATTTGCAATCTAAATGTATAACTTAAAAGAAAATGTATACAAGGCCAATTGTGGTAATTATGAGAATCACCTCAAAACAGTATAAAAATATGGAGTATTATGATTTATTTTCCTTCCTTTCTCTCACATAAAAATAAAAAAAAACCTTATACTTGAATAGGAGGGAAATTCTAATAGCATTTATTGCATACTATGGAGAACAAAGTAGTACTGTTCTCTTTTGACCCTATTCAGTGATCATAGGAAAGGAGAGGTTTGAAAATGCTTTTCTAAACATCTAGGACAAGAAAAGGTAGAGCAAGGTATGTTTCTTTCATTTCCTTTCACTAAGACTGGACAGCTGCAATTGAAGAAATAGTTGCATGACAAAAATGAATAGAAGAAAACAATTAGACAAGACCTTTCTTGGTGACTATTGTTTAGGAATTCTGCACTTATTTAGCTTCCTTCATAGTGGGCCCTGTTCTGATTTATTTATAAGTGCGTTTATTTCTGACAGGATGTTTTAAAATGATGGTGCAATTTGGGTGAATTTTATCTACAGAGTTATGTTCCTTTATTTGGCATTTCTGTATTTTAGCAAATATTTATCACTTAAAATAAAATGGTTTTAATGTCAGCTATTTTATTTTGGTTTTAGACTGACCTTCGCGAGTCTACTTATTACGGCTCACTAGCGTGATTATGTGTGTGGATGTTGTGTTTGCCCCTACCATTTTCCATATGCTCTGCCTCACCAACACTGCCATCCGGCGTGGTCCTTTCATAGTTGTCCTCTGGGAGTGGAAGCGCACCCAGTCTTGGCCCTGATGAACTCTTACTGCTTGGTGTTTCTGACTCCTCCAGCCCGCTGTCATAGCAACTCTGCAGTGACCCCTGATGTGGGTCCTGAGGCTGACTCACAACAGAAAACGTCACTCTACGAAATGGCTGCAAAAGAAAAGATTCTGAATGTCACTACGATGTAAGATTGTAAATGATCTTATTTTAAAAAATACATAAATTACATACATTAAGGTCTACTGGCAACTAATTCAATACAAAATGAATAGATATGTTGAAACTGCATTAGTTAACTATGTATTATCTAAGGCAATGTCTAGAGCTTAGATTTTATTATGGAAAAACTGGAAATTCCCTTTCAGAAACAGAGATAAAAAAACAGTAATTTCACTAAAACATACATTTAAATCTGATATGTTAGTTCCACATATTCAACCTTTTTCTATTCTATAGTATTCACTTCAGATATGCTTTCCAGAAATGGCCTCTAAAAAAACAAGGTCAGTGATTTGTGAAGGCAGTAAATATTGAACTAATCCATTGTAAGAAGACTCAATTTTTAAATACTTTGTCCATATCATACAAAGCTATAAAATCAAATGGGTTGGCAGTTGACTTAAACTGTTCAAAGTACAGCTGACAAATAGGAATTTAGATGCAGTGCTAGGAAACACAAATATGTTTATTACATCATTCCTATAAAAATATTGCCTATGGACCTTGAAATTGTAAGAGTCATATTGCAATAATAGATAAAAGTATCCCTAAACAGTGAGTAGGAAATAAACTATAAAGTTTAATTGTATGTTCTTAATATTACTGTTTGTGATTCGTTCAATAAAGTAAAATCATGTACAGCCTTTAATTTGTTTTTAAAAAATTTTATGAAACTATCCAGTTGAACTCCACAATTTACTATGTTACTGACAATGGCTGGACTGAAGATTTACTATGGAAGGTATTTGCAGATTATCTTGGTTAACCACAAAATAAAATAAATTAAAATAAATTAGGCTCATTAAAGGAACAAACCAATGCCATGTATTGACAGTGCTACATAATAATAATTTGGAAAAACATATAAAAATGTTCTGTAATGTCAGTCTGAGATTATTTTTGGCAATAGTTGTATCCATAAAGCTGCTGCATGAATTTGAAAATGTCAGAAGTGTACATATTTTTAAACTTATAACTCAGACTGTTTCTTTCTACTACAAAGTAAAAAATTAATGTTGCTAGAAAATAATGAAAGTTTACAAAATCTTTTTTGCACCTTTATAACTTGAATGTTCATGATACAAATTACTAATTACGACCTGGACCAGTAGAATTTTAGAAATATTAAGGATTATATGCACATGGTAGGTTATTAATGGGAAAGCTAAGAAGAGTTATAACATCTCCCCCTAATTTATAAATTAGTTTTGCTAAAGACAAACACATGCTTCCATAAAATTACCCTTTATTTTGTCATAGATGGAAGACTAGCTGAAAACATTGTGAATTATTGGTATTTTTAACCCAGTAGCTCACAATTCATGTACTTATTTGAAGTGTACAATCTTTACAAAGTTTCCTTTTTATTCTAATTCAAAGTCAAAATCAGAATAGTTGAATCTTAATACAAAAGGAAAACATTTAATTCATGTTCTCTTCTTTATAATGTTTCACTGAATTGGAACTGCAGTATTTATAAACAATTACAAATATTTTCAGTATACATAGCATGTATGTTATGGATTTAAATTTACTGACAATAAACTTTCTAGAAACATTATTCTTATTTCACTAATGATTCTCATATTTCTTGATGGTAATATAGTTGTGATATTTTACCCTGTATTTTAAAAAAAATAAAGAAATGTAAATACCCTGTATTTAAAAAAATAAAGAAATCAATTTGTACTCTCATTTTTACCTGTGTGTGCATATTTTCTTTTCTCCCAACCCTCACCCACCCCATCCACCCCACTTCTCACACCTGTGACTGTTTAATGTTTTTGGTCTCACCTTGGAAATGAGACCACTGACAGTCTCCTAAAACCACATTGTTCTACACACACAAAATAATCAGTAAACACTTCTGGGCAATGAAATTTTAATGACAATGTTGAATTTAGCTAAGAATGCCAAGGGTCATGCAGACATATTACCATTTAAAGACATAGCAATGGGTTTAAAAACAAACACTTACATAAAAAGAGAAAGGAGGGTCAACTGCTGTTCTTAATTCTATTTTAATGACTTTCAAATCTTTTAGAATACCTTCATTAACACAAAAAGAAAACTCAAAATGAATACAGAAATACATAAGACATACCAATAAACTTAGAAACAGAAAATAAGAAATGATTAGAAATGGTGTTTCATTTTGATATAAAAGTAGAAAAAAAGAGTGACATTTGGGTGAAGTTTGGAATAATTTTGGAAAAATTTTGGAATCTGTGCTTAAATGTTTATTCCACAAAAAGTGGATAGGCTAGCAGAGAAACCGGTGATAGCTATGTTTATAATGAAAAATGTTAACAATAAAATAATGATTTATCTGTAATGTACTATGTAATGACTGCTATGAATCTATGCATTTTGTTTTCTTGATTTCCTACCCTATTTTGACTGTGCATATTTTAATCTCTATAAATTATTTTAGAAGTAAAAATGGCATAATTTTAAAATATTTTTATCTATTTATATATTAGAAAATACTTAGATCCATCAATTCTTTCTTGTATAAAATGCTTTTTGCATTTAAAATAATATCTGAATTTATAAAAACATAACTCACAATAAATATTCAAAATAAAATGTATCATACAATGGATTATAATATATCACACCTATCATTTTTATTCATATTTTAAAATATTTTAATTAGAATGCTATAGTATGGTATCAGCATTATATCACTAGCTCTTCAGATTCATTTTGACAGTTTTGAATAATAAATTTTTTGTGGCCAAGTATTTAAGTTGGCAGTGTGAACCAAATTAATACAGAAGTGAAAATTCTGAAAGAGCTCCCATTGATGCAAGAGTTAAGATTTAATTTAAGTAGTATATCAGACATACAGAGTTAGATGAAATGAGAGAGAGACAGAGAGAGAAACAGCAAGAGAGAGAGGCAGACAATTGAGTCTTGAAAAGATAGTTCAGTTTTACCGCAAAGGTTATGACACAATATTCATATTATTTATATATTCCAGAAAGATTGACTAAAGCAGAAATGTAAAGCAGAGTGTCAACTCCTGACAGAGAATGAATTTGCATTATATATGTAACTGTCACTTTGTTAATTACTGATACTCTGAAGTAGAATAGCTTACGTGATAATTCTTCAACCTAGATGTGACTTAGTATCACCCAGAGAACTTGTGAAAAAAACAAATGCCAATATCTGGTCCCAACTTAAACCCAGTGAATCAGCATTCAGGGCGGGACTCAGAGATCGGGAGTTTTTAAAAATCCCCAGCTGATGAAGAGGCACAGAAAGGAATGAGAAACTTTATTGTCAGGAAGAACATAGGTAGAGGTTCAAAAAGCAATGTGCTCCAGGCAATTAGCTGGTTCTTTAAGGGTATAAAATAGTTTCCAGGGAGAGTCAGTAGACTCCTGGTTCCATCTTGAGACTTAAAAGTATGGTCATAAAGACATTTAGTAAATTGCAGTGTCTGAACTTTGCATTTTTCTGTCTGGGGTGATAAACGATTTTGTGTCTTGTAAATGTAAATTGGTCTATCTAATAGAAGAGAAAGCAAAAGAGCTTGAGGAAGAGTGACAGTCTGCCAGCTCTTTGAAATTATGAAGACAAGCTACAGACTTGAATAAGTACTGCAAGACAGAGATCTTAAAGAAAATTATTCCAAAACCTGTGGATGAGGTATGTGAATGAATTAAAACAAGAGAGTGAAAATCAAAGAATTTCTTTAGGTAAGTGAATTATCTAAATAAAAGGCCAATAATGAAGACATTTTCTGACAGTTCCTTATGAAAGAGGAGGAAGAAGAAATGTTGAAGGCAGAAGATTATGCTAGAAGATAAAGTATAATGAAATATTTACCTAGCGAGAGGTAAGGCTGAGAGAAGGTAGTGGCAGTGAAAACGGACAGCAAGGCCATTATGAAGAAAGCCCATGTAGCTGATTGGATTGAGTCATTAATTCACTAGACCTCCATTTATTTTTATGCCCATTATTTTCCAGGGTTTCGAGGGTGCTCCAACAATGATTCTACACATTTAAGAAACTCAAAACCTTATCAGTACATAAAAGCACAAAAATATAATGTGATCAAGTTTCCAGCAAAATGGAGGCATAAACAACATGCTGTAACACTCAGGAATTTAGGACAGGCAGTGCAAAGGCAGTGGTTTGTTGGTTGAGATCTCTAAAAGAAATTGGATAGATAATACATATTTGGGAGTTGATTATGGATTCCATACTCCATATTGCTAGAAGCAAGCAATTTGAAAAAAAGGGTGAGGGCCAGGCTCAGTGGCTCACACCTGTAATCCCAGCACTTTTGGGAGGCTGAGGTGGGCGGATCATGCGGTCAAGAGATTGAGACCATCCTGGCCAACATGGTGAAACCCCGTCTCTACCAAAACTACAAAAATTAGCTGGACGTGGTGGTACATGTCTATAATCCCAGCTACTTGGGAGGTTGAGGCAGGAGAATCGCTTGAACCCGGGAGGCAAAGGTTGCAGTGAGCCGAGATCGCGCCACCGCACTCTAGCCTGGTGACAGAGCGAGACTCCATCTCAAAAACAACAACAACAACAACAACAGAGGTGAGAATGAAAAGCAGGTCACTTTCAAAACTCAGAAGTCAAGGAAGCGTAACATTTCCAGAAAGGCAATCCTATGTGATCAAAAGCATCAGAGACATTAAGAAGGATGCTGACTACCACATGCCCATTGGATTTATCCTTTAGAAGGCCACTGTGGCTACAGTATCTCTAAACTCTGGGGAACAATTGTAGGTTGGACCAAAAGAAGTAGAAGATTGGCTTGTCAATCAATGGAGAAATAGAGAAAGTGGGAATGTACTACTACCCTTAAAAGTATGAAAAAAGAGAGAAATAGGGTAGAAGTTAAAACAAAGATTTCTGTAAAGTGTTTGATTTATTGATCTACATTTGTGTCTTTCTTCATTGGCACTGAAGAAGTTTTGCTTTAAAATAAACATTTGGAGATGTAAGCAAAAAGGGGTGCTCAACAAGATAAGGTGGGAGCAGAATGAAAGAGAGCAAAGAAGACAAGCTAGCTAGAATTAAGAGAGAAATAAAATCAGAATAATTATAAAAACAGTAAAATATTTTGAGGAATTTTATTAATGGGGTATGTGTGTGTATGTGTGTTTAATGGGAAAGAAACAGTACACAAAAAATAACAGAACAAGAAAAGAATTCTATTCCAAGAAACCTTACGTGACCTAGAGGACAAGTTACCTGATTTTTGGTTGTTGTGCCTTAGGCTCAGGGTATGTATAATGGAGACAATAGTAACTGCCCCTTGCTAACTTACATTCTCTCAGAATTAATGAGATAGTTTATAAAAAGAGCCTTAAGCTCCCTCAAAGACATATACTATAAACGGTAGTATACCTCAGGCCACAGCTATATAACTAGAGTTATGGCCCATTGTTTTGATGCTTTTTAAGAAAATATAGAGCTGGCCAAGTAAAGCTTCTAAATAGAATTTCTAAAATCCACAAAAAATTTCAAACCTAATTATCCTATTAAAGTGCTAAAATTTTATTTTCCTAAATGCAAATTATTTGTAATGCAAATATGTACATACAATAATACTCAACATTTTTAAAAGCTATTTGAATCTAATCATTCATTAAGCATGAATATTTCTCTATTCAGTTATTTTGGAATGGTATTTATCAACTATTTTTGTTTCCATTATGACATACTAGAGACTTTCACTTAAGGACATACCCTCCTATAGGTACTACTCAGACATTTTAGAGTTTGTTACAAATATATTCAAAGGCAAAACCCAGATAATGTACAATTCCTGCAGCATTGTACGTACCATCATTCTCCCTCTAAGCCTCCAGCTGATGGAAATGCATTAGAGCTGACACTTTTTTAAACTACCATATACTTATAATGAACATTGTTCTCTCCTTATTTAATTTTATTCACTTTATTTTCTGGAAATCTAGAGGCCACACGAGTAGGCAAAAGTGTTAAGGGAGAGGTCCTCTATCTGCCATGCTTGCTCTTCTGCTGTTGGGAGGCCTGAACATGGTGGCCTTTTCATATCCTCCCCTCTGCCCTAAAATGTGGGTGAGATCAGAGGAAGGGGTGTGCGATTACAGTGATCATTTCTGAATGAAACTAATCTCAGAGACTTAAAAGGACAAACATAGCAAATTAGGATTTATTAAATTGACTGCTGTGGGGTGTACTATGTGACATATCCAGTAAATGCATTTGCACTGGGTAGTTTTGTTTTCTGAAAAATATAAACAGATGCTAAAATGGGCATATTGGTGAAACTGGGATCAAGAGAAAGACTGCCTTCTTAGGTAAAGAGAAGAATTAGAATCCATCTGGATTGCAGAAAGAAGGCTTCTGTTCTAATGATATTATTGCAAAGGATAAGGCACTCATGAAGGGAAAATGACGTGAGCATTTGATTCATTATTCCCTTTCGTAAAATTGCATCTCTATGATTGATAACATAAAGCACCTAACAGTCACCCTAAATGTAGGCAGTTGACAGATTTAGAGATGACATGAAAAGCTCTCAAAAACTGTACCTTTTTTTCAAAAAATAAACTAGCAGCCAAATTCTATCCCGCTCTCCACACAGAGAGTTCAAGGAAAGTTAAGTCCACATATTTCAAATTCACTAGAAGACTGAAACAATTTTCAAAAAAGTCCATATTTTTAAATCTCTAGAAAGCAGAAGTCAAAATTGTACTATAATAACTTCTTTATTTTTTATTTTGTTTTGTGACTTCATTTTTATTATTTTTTTAATTTTAGAGAACTATATAACCACCCTACCTTTTTGACAGTACTGATGTAGTAACATTTACTACTTATAATCTGCACATTTGAGGAAGTTAATTTTGAAATTCACATGACTATTAATGTTATCAATATTATATTATTAATGTATTCTGCTTTCAGAATACAATGATTGCAAAATATGTGTAACATTCACAGGTGTTACCTATTTGGAAAAATATTTGTCCAAAAGTTCCTGTATAGTTTCCAAGAAAAGCAATAGAGACCAGAAGAATATTAACAAATATATATATAATAATAATATTAAAAACTTTATTTTTATCCATCCTGGTTAGATTAATTAGAAAGTAACCATCACATCATAAAAGCAAATATTATGTCCCACAATCGGACGTATTAAAAATAAGTGCCTTTCATCTACTAAGCAAAATTTTCTAAGTTACAACCTGTACACAATAGTTACAGTAAAACAGAAAATATAGCACAAGGCTAAGAGTGCAGATGCTTTCCCCTTGGAGTCCATTTTTTATAACCTAGTGACACTACCTTTATGGGGATTTTATTGGCAAAAGGATAGGACCCTAAGGATGCCATCTATTGGAAAGAACCTCAGGTTAAATCTCTTTCCTTATTGAATACTGCTCTTTGTCTTACAGACAACTTTATTGGGAACTTTAAATCTGCACCTTCCTTTTTAGCTTCAGTAGTTTCTCCATAAATCGTCTCCTTATCTGGAACTCACATACAGCTGTCTCAGTCACATCAATTATTTCTGAATGGGCTGAAAAGGCTTTTTTATTTTTTCCAATTCACTTAGTTATGTCCATCAAACAGAATTCTAATGACTCTTTTTGTCAGTCAAAAAGCACTGAAACAGTCATGGAGCAGAACATTGCATTATTATAAGGAGTGCTGCATTTCATTTTTAAAGAGGGGCTAAGGCTGTGAGATCTTTCCTTGCAAATGAACAGGCACTGATTAATCTGCAAACAGTCTCAACCAGTGTCAGTGGCTATTGAACAAACATATTTAGGATTCCATAGTGCATTAGTTGGACTATATCTGGCAGAACTCTGAAACAAACTTTAGTTAGGCCTTTAAACTTTTTAGGGGTGTTTTCTTTTGCTAACATTTCAAGATGCCTCCATACTTCAAACTGCCTTTCTTTCTTTCAAGTCAATAGCAGATGAAAGGATATTAACAAGAAACATGTTGAGACATTTGGATTCATTAATTAAAACTCTCATTTGGGGCAGAAGTTAAATAACTATATTTCCTTTGACTTGAATGCAATTACATATTTGACATTATTGTTTATATCTGTACTTTAGAAATTATGAGTGTAGGTGCTTATTATAATTCTTAGTCCAGTGATTACAAACTATTTAATTATTGCAACAAAACAATGATATTAATTTTTTTTTTAAAAAAAGCAGCTACTCTGTGCCAGGAAAATGCTATTCATTTCATTTATGTTGTCACTTTTCGTGCCATCCCTATGTGGATCAGATTAATATTCTGATTTTGCAAATGAGAAGAAAATAATGAATTTCAATATTCAGACTAATGCAAGAACTACTCTAGCCTAAAAGTGCAAGTCAGCTTCTCGGGTTTTTTCCGCCACTAATGAAAAATGTCAGGAAACAGAATAGCCAAAGCCTAAAACTCTTAGTTAATGTAGGCAATTGTTTTTCTAAAAACTTCTAAAAAAGATATTATATTTTAAAACACAAATTGTGGTTCCTCTATATTGTTAACACAATCATTCAATTTAGGTTTTGCTCTTTATTGCTGCGTTATTTTAAACCTAGTCAAGGGTCTGGCAAACTTTTTCTGTAATATGCCAGAAAGTAAATATTTTAGGTTTTGTGGGCCATAGGTCTCTGCCACAGCTACTCGGCTTTGCCAACGGAGTGTAAAAACAGCCATAGAACATCTGTAAATAAATGGACATGGCTATGTTCTAGTAGTTCTTTTTTTTGGGGGGGGGGGTGATTTTTTTTTTAATATACCTTAAGTTCTGGATACATGTGTAGAATGTGCAGGTTTGTTACATAGGTATACAGATGCCCTGGTGGTTCGCTGCACCCATCAACCCATCACCTACATTAGGTATTTCTCCTAATGCTCTCCCTCCCCTTGCCCCCACAACCTCCAACAGGCCCTGGTAGGTGATGTTCCTCTCCCTGTGCCCATGTGTTTTCATTGTTCAACTCCCACTTATGAGTGAGAACATGTGGTGTTTGGCTTTCTGTTCCTGTGTTAGTTTGCTGACAAGGATGGTTTCCAACTTCATCCATGTCCATGCAAACAACATGAACTCATTCTTTTTTATGGCTGCATAGTATTCCATGGTGTGTATGTGCCACAGTTTCTTTATCCAGTCTAATATTGATGGGCATTTGGGTTGGTTCCAAGTCTTCACTCTTGTGAATAGTGTTACAGTAAACATACGTGTGCATGTGTCTTTATAGTAGCATGATTTATAATCCTTTGGGTATATACCCAGTCATGAGATTGCTGGGTCAAATGGTATTTCTAGTTCTAGATCCTTGAGGAATCACCACCCTGTCTTCCAGAATGGTTGAACTAATTTATGCTCCCAAGAACAGTGTAAAAGCATTCCCATTTCTCCACATCCTCTCCAGCATCTGTTGTTTCCTGACTTTTTAATGATCACCATTCTAACTGGTATGAGAGGGTATCTCATTGTGGTTTTGATTTGAATTTCTCTGATGACTGGTGATGATGGGCTTTTTTTCATATGTTTGTTGGATGCTTAAAAATGTCTTCTTTTGGCTGTCCATATCCTTTGCCCACTTTTTAACGGGGTTGCATTTTCTCGTAAATTTGTTAAGTTTCTTGTGGATTCTGGATATTAGCCCTTTGTCAGATGGATAGAATGCAAAAATTTTCTCCCATTCTGTAGTTTGCCTGTTCACTCTGATAGATTCTTTTGCTGTGCAGAAGCTCTTTAATTAGATTCCATATGTCAATTTTGGCTTTTGTTGCAATTGCTTTTGGTGTTTTAGTCATGAAGTCTTTGCCCATGCCTATGTCCTGAATGGTATTGCCTAGGTTTTCTTCTAGGGTTTTTATGGTTTTAGGTCTTTCATATAAATCTTTAATCCATCTTGAGTTAATTTTTGTATAAGGTGTAAGGAAGGGGTCCAGTTTCAGTTTTCTGCATATGGCTAGCCAGTTTTCCCAACACCATTTATTAAACAGGGAATCCTTTCTCCATTGCTTGTTTTTGTCAGGCTTGCCAAAGATCAGATGGTTGTAGATGTGTGGTGTTATTTCTGAGGCCTCCATTCTGTTCCATTGGTCTACATATTTGTTTTGGTACTAGTACCACTAGGTTTTGGTTACTGTAGCCTTGTAGTATAGTTTGAAGTCAAGTAGCGTGATGCCTCCATCTTTGTTCTTTTGGCTTAAGATTTTCTTGGCTATATGGGCTCTTTTTTGGCTCCGAATGAAATTTAAAGTATTTTTTTCTAATGCTGTGAAGAAAGTCAATGGTAGCTTGATGGGAATAGCATTGAATCTATAAATTACTTTGGTCAGTATGGCCATGTTCACGATATTGATTCATCCTACCCATGAGCATGGAATGTTTTCCATCTGTTTGTGTCCTCTCTTATTTCCTTGAGCAGTGGTTTGTAGTTCTCCTTGAAGAGGTCCTTCACATCCTTTGTAAGTTGTATTCCTAAGTATTTTATTCTCTTTGTAGCAATTGCAAATGGGAGTTTGCTCATAATTTGGCTGTTTTTCTATTACTGGTGTATAGGAATGCTTGTGATTTTTGCACATTGATTTTGTATCCTGAGACTTTGCTGAAATTGCTTATCAGCTTAAAGAGTTTTTGGGCTGAGAAGATGGGTTTTCTAAATATACAATCATGTCATCTGCAAACAGAGATAATTTGACTTCCTCTCTTTCTATTTGAATACCATTTATTTCTTTCTCTTGCCTGATTGCCCTGGCCAGAACTTCAGATTCTATGTTGAATAGGAATGGTGAGAGAGGGCATCCTTGTCTTGTGCCGTTTTTCAAACAGAATGCTTCCAGCTTTGGCCCATTCAGTATGATATTGACTGTAGGTTTGTCATACATAGTTCTTATTATTTTGAGATATGTTCCATCAATACCTAGTTTATTGAGTGTTTTTAGCATGAAGGGGTGTTGAATTTTATCTAAGGTCTTTTTTGCATCCATTGAGATAATCATGTCATTTTCGTCATTGGTTCTGTTTATCTGATGGACTATGTTTATTGATTTGCATATGTTGAACCAGCCTTGCATCCCAGGGATGAAGCTGACTTGATCGTGGTACATAAGCTTTTTGATATGCTACTGCATTTGCTTTGCCAGTATTTTATCGAGGATTTTCACATGGATGTTCATCAGGGATATTGGCCTGAAATTTTCTTTTTTCTGTGTCTCTGCCAGCTTTTGGTATCAGGATGATGCTGGCCTCACAAAATGAGTTAGGGAGGAGGCCCTCTTTTTCTATTGTTTGGAATAGTTTCAGAAGAAATGGTACCAGATCCTCTTTTTCTATTGTTTGGAATAGTTTCAGAAGAAATGGTACCAGCTCCTCTTTGTACCTCTGGTAGAATTTGGCTGTGAATCCTTCTGGTCCTGGGATTTTTTTGGTTGGTAGGCAATTAATTACTGCCTCAATTTCAGAACTTGTTATTGGTCTATTCAGGGATTCAACTTCTTCCTGGTTTAATCTTGGGAGTGTGTATGTGTCCAGAAATTTACCGGTTTCTTCTAGATTTTCTAGTTGATTTAATCTTTGTTGTGTGACATTCTGAGAGACAAAAATACTGTAAACTCCTCATTCCCACATTTTTCCACCTTATGGCCAATTATACTAAAGGATGCTATCCTAATTTCTTATCTCTGTACATTCTCTAATTAATCTATATCACCTTAGCATTGGGCATTTGTGCTTTCACTTTTTTCTTCATTGCAATTTTTAATCAATGTACTCCATAGGGGACTCTTTAATTAGGAAGCCCATTTCTTTTTTCTCTTTTCTTTTCTTCTTTTTTTTTTTTATTATTCTTTAAGTTCTAGGGTACATGTGCACAATGTGCAGGTTTGTTACATAGGCATACATGTGCCATGCTGGTTTGCTGCACCCATCAACTCGTAATTTAGGTATTTCTCCTAATGCTATCCCTCCCCTAGCCCCTCACCCCCGAACCGGCCCTGGTGTGTGGTGTTCCCTGCCCTGTGTCCATGTGTTCTAATTGTTTAACTCCCACCTACAAGTGAGAACATGCAGTGAATGGTTTTCTGTCCTTGTAATAGTTTGCTTAGAATGATGGTTTCCAGCTTCATCCATGTCCCCACAAAGGACATGAACTCATTCTTTTTATGGCTGCATAGTATTCCATGGTGTATATGTGCCACATTTTCTTAATCTAGTTTATCATTGCTGGACATTTGGATTGGTTTCAAGTCTTTGCTATTGTGAGTAGTGCCGCAATAAACATACGTGTGCATGTGTCTTTATAGTAGCATGATTTATAATGCTTTGGGTATATGCCCAATAATGGGATTGCTGTGTCAAATGGTAATTCTAGTTCCAGATCCTTGAGGAATCGCCACACTGTCTTCCACAGTGGTTGAACTAATTTACACCCCCACCAACAGTGTAAAAGCATTCCTATTTCTCTACATCCTCTCCAGCATCTGTTGTTTCCTGACTTTTTAATGATCACCATTCTAACTGGTGTGAGATGGTATCTCATTGTGGTTTTAATTTGCATTTCTCTGATGACCAGTGATGATAAGCATTTTTGCATATGACATTGGCTGAGTAAATGTCTTCTTTTGAGAAGTGTCCGTTCATATTCTTTGCCCACTTTTTGATGGGGTTGTTTTTTCTTGTAAATTTGTTTAAGTTCCTTGTAGATTCTGGATATTAGCCCTTTGTCGATGGGTAGATTGCAAAAATTTTCTCGCATTCTGTAGGTTGCCTGTTCACTCTGATGATAGTTTCTTTTGCTGTGCAGAAGCTCTTTAGGTAATCAGATCCCATTTGTCTATTTTGGCTTTTGTTGCCAAGGAAGCCCATTTCTTTAACTCCCCTGCTGGAGGTCTCCATAGCCCAGTGTTCTTCATCTTCATACACAGTTGCTGAGAAGTCCATAGACAGGTCATCAGCTTGAATCTTGGTTTAATAATATTTTTCCTTGCATCTGGATCCTCAACAATGCACATTTTAAAAATTATTGCTGGGACCATAATCTGCTTTATTTTATTTTATTTTTGAGACTGAGTCTCACTCTGTCACCCAGGCTAGAGTGCAGTGGCATGATCTTGGGTCACTGCAACCTCCACCTCCTAGGTTCAAACGATTCTCCTGCCTCAGCCTCCCAAGTAGCTGGGATTACAGGCACCCGCCACCACGCCCAGCTAATTTTTGTATTTTTAGTAGGTACAGGGTTTCACCATGTTGGCCAACCTGGTGTCAAACTCCTGACCTCAGGTGATCCTCCTGCCTCGGCCTCCCTAACTGCTGGGATTACAGGTGTGAGTCACAGTGCCTGGTCCATAATCTACTTATTTTTAATTCCTTGAAATGCAATATTCAAGATGCTATATAACAGCACTTTTCTAATATATCAAATTACTGGAAAGTGTAGCTGCTATTGAACCAAATATATCTCATTGTTTCAACATTTATAGTTCTTCAATTGTATTAAAATGTTTACACACTATTCTGGACTTTTCAACTATACTGTATAGCCTTTATAGGCAGCATTTATCCATTATAGCTCTGTTTCAATGACAGTATCTTAAAAATTGTTTTTACCAATTGCTACATATTAACATGTTTTAATATGTCTTGTTCTTTTGGAAATAACTGAATTAGGGGTTTGGGGGACTTGGATTCAAATAGTGGTTTTGATGTTGTGTGAAATATGGGACAATACCTAATCTTTCAGCATTAATACCTTCAACTTTAAAATGAGGGAATTTTAATAGGTGATATTTACTATTCTTTTCAGTTGTTTAATTCTCTTAAACCATATGACTTTGAAACCGTAAGAGTATATGGGTTGGATCAGTGACTAAATGACTGAAATCAATGATTTCAGGGTAGACTTTGTTCACTTATTGAGAAATTCCTTAGCATACTGCCTGGCTTTGAAAATGTTAATGTATCTTGGAATATCACAAAATATGCATACTAATCAAACATCTTAGTTAATTAACTTAACGGAAAGCACAGAAATGGCAAGGTTTCCTTAAGCTTAATATCTTTGTGGAAAAGCAAAGACATTCCCAAAGATAAGTTCCTTGGAATATGTTTGTTTAAATCTTCCCTACCTCTGAAACCATCTCTTCTGTGATTTCTTCTTAGCCTCATAAAAATATTGAATTCCTACTGTGTGTAAAAGGCTGCAAGATCTCATTTATCTAAAATGTATAATTCTAATAGCAGAGGATAGCAAGGCTGGTGTAAAATAGAACAGAGAAAGCATGCTGGACTACAGCTGGATTTCACCTTCCAATTTATTTGAGTCAAGCCCTTGTAAGGCTCTATGATTACACCCACAGAAAGACAGGAAGACAGAGGGAGTCCTAGTCAGGAAAAGAGATATTGACAAGCAACTAATGCGAAAAATACTATCTTCACAATGACATGCAATCCAACAGAGACTTATTAAGCACTTGCTTTGTGCCTACCACTGTGCTGAAAAATCTACATGCTGCAAAGTCAGGCATTAAACCCAGTTGGGCAAAGTGTGGATTAATCGTACAAAAGCATTCACAGAATACAAGCAAAGGTTTCTTTTATTTTTGTGGTTTTTTTTTGTTTTTCATTTTCTCATTGTGATAATCATCAAAAGCTCAGTTCACATGCTGCTCTGTTGCTTTGCATGACTACCCTATAGAACCATGGAGTTCCAGACGCAGCTGAATGAGGTCGATAAACCTACATGGTAAATTACACAGTTGGAGTTAGTCTGCAGCAGTTCAAGGGAGCAATGCTGAAGAGCCAAGTGGAACTCCAGTAGTATGTAAAACACTAAAAATGAACAAATAAACAAGGACAAAAAACCAACTTTAAAAAGCTACCTCCTAAAATACACAGAAGCACAGATAGGGGCCTGCATCATGAGCATTGGAATCAATTGTCCCATAATGAAATGAATGAAAATGAAACGTGCATGTTAAGATCCACTCAAACAGATGCTCCATTTTCTTTTTCTTTTTTTTCTTTTTCTATCTTAGACATTTCACATAAACTGCACCTGGTGAAATCTGTTTAGGAAACTACATACATTTAAAATCCTTGGGTTTTCATATTCTGTGGAATGAAGGTTTGTGTCCTTAAATACCTTTTCCTGGTCAAGATGAATTAAAATGTCTCACAGGAATCAAGACAGACAAATAGAGTCAGTTTCTGAAGTGTTAGTTAAGCATTAAATTATTAAGCTGAACTGAAACCTGACTTTGGCACCCAAACCTTTTACTACACAGGTGAACTTATTTCCTCTGCCACTCCCATCACTCATTTGTTTTAACTTCCTTATCTGCACTTTGTTAGAAAGGAAAGCTACCAGTGACCATAAGGAAAAATATATTCAACGCCGAGCATATGTTAATTTTTATTACTTAGTACAAGTCAGATGACTGCAGGGAAATAATTGAAGGTGAGTGTGCTAAGTAGAAAAATAGACTCCCAACAAGGTCCAAGTCTTAATGAATGGAAGCGGAGACATGTTTCACATGCAAAGGGGAATTAAGGTTGCAGACGAAATGCAGTTTGTTAATCAACTGACTTTAAAATGGGTAAATTGTCTATTGAATCATCTGGGTGGGCCCATTATAATCACAAAGTTTCTTAAAAGGAGATGGGGGAGACAGAAAAGAAGGTCAGGGGATGCACTGTGAGGATTCTATTCACCATGGGTAGTTTTGAAGAGGGAGGGAGTGGGCTGCATGCCAAGAGCTGTGAAAGGCAAGAGAGCCTCCATAACAAACATTGATTTGCCAGCCCCCTTGATTTTAGTCTAGTGAGGCCGATTTTGCATTTCTGACATCAAGAAATATAAGGTAACAAATGTGCATTGTTTTAAGCCATATGCTCCTGGTAGTTTCTTACAAAGCAATAGAAAACTTATATAGTAGGTTGTAGATCCTGGTTATGGTGGGGAGTAGATGGAAGTGACAGAGTTGGGCTTGGGTTTCATACTTATGAAAGAGGCTATAGTCATCATTGAAATTTAAATGGGTGTTCCCTGTTGGGTTCACCTGTAGGGCACTGCAAATCACATGTCATTCTAACAATTACACTTATTTTATAAAACACTCAATATATTGTGTTGTATATTTTGTGTTTAAAAATGTTAGCTTAATAAGTGTAAAATCATCAAAATAGTCTTTATAGTCTTACTTTTACATGTAGTATCCTTTTAATACAAAAAAACACCAAAAACAAAAAAAATGAAGTAGGCTAGGTCTCTGGAATCCCTTGTAAGGCATAAACACTGCAAATTTACATTTTGGTTCTCTCTTTTCAGATAACTAATATTGTATTTAGGGAAATTCATGGAGTTTCAAGTCAGGAATCCAGAACTTCTTCTGTGACATCAACTATAAATTGAGCAATCTTTGGCCACTCAATTTCTGAGTCATGATTCATCTTTGGAAAATATAAAGGATAATCTTTCCATTTTAAAGATGCAATGAAGATCTGATGAGATCTTTATAAGTGAAACAGATTTACACTGTAGAGTGCTCTATAAATGACTGAATTAAGCCCAGAATTGTGTCCACAGGATGAAGATTTTAGGGAACTGTTATATACACTAAGACAAAAAAAAAATCCAGGAACTTGAAAGAAATGAGTTTTTTTCCACACTTGTAAGAATAAAAAATAACTGATAATAAACGTCTTTATTTTCAGGATTGGCCTAATTTTCACTGGAGAGAGTTATTGAATCCTGATTGGAGCCTAATTGGAGTTAACCATCTCTGTAGCTATTGTCTTTTGCTTCCTTCCTTCTTTCTTGTTTCTGTTTTATACTTGAGTTAAAAAAATATTAAGAGGATGAGTTATTTATATAAAAACTTAAGCTTTTCAGAAGAAATGAGAAAAATAAATTCACTAAATAATATTAAGTTATGATATTTTCATGATTCTTTAGGAAAATGAGAATATTCACAACCTGGCCATAACCCAGGGTCACAGAAGTCATTCTTATTCAGAAGGGCAAAGTTGTCAGATGTACTTTTGGCCATCCGGAGTTTAATTTTAAAGCACAATTTGATAATATAACCTAAATTTTCCAGTGTTCTCCATGTATTATCCAATAGTAAATGCCACAAGAGCAACTTATTTCATTTATCCTTTTCTTGAGAAAAATGGTTTGAATTCTTAAGCTTGTAGAAAAGGGATATTTTTAAACAGGAGGGCAAAACAAATCTATGAGGCAATAGTAGAACAATCATATTTTATTACTACTACTACTTGGCTTTCTAAGCCTGTTTACATTTCATATTTGAAGACTTGGTGAGCCATATCTAAAATAAAAGGGTTTTATTCCTTATTTTTTTAAACTTTTTTCCTTATGACTTTTTCAAGTCTCTTTTTTTTCCACAAAAGTTTATAGATATGGGCATTTTCTACACATTACTTCACTAATATCTTAATTTTCACTTCAGAAGCACTAAAATGATAACACTTTGGGACCCATAATCTGTTAAATTTATTATAGCCTATTAAAATGTTTGATTCACCAGTGTTTCTGCTCCCTGGATCTCATTATATGCATCGCACGTATTAAGAAATAGCATTAATAATAAAGCATGTAATTAAGCTAACTCATTCTGGGGGAAGGAACAAGATAGTGTCGGCATTTTTAAAAACGTTTAGCTTCAGTTTTTTTTAAATGACAACTGCTTACATTGGCAGATCATGAATTAACTAGGGATGACATTTATTACCTGCACTCAGTTTGACAAAGAACGCTGAAGTAAAAAAACACAGAGATACAGGGCTGGGCCACAGACTTACATACTGCAACAACTGACCAATAGAAAGATCATCCTTTCCAGTGGATAATGATTAACGGGTAGCAGACATTTCCCAGAACATAACGAAAGAAGAAAGGCAAAGCCTTCTTAGTAATTGAGTTGATAAAGTGTTTGTACTTAAAATGCATAGTGACATTCCCTAATACTTATCGTTTGTCACAGTAGTACTATGGGTAATTACTCGTGTTATTCTGCATTTTATAGAGAAGAAAACCAATGCCCGTGGAGGAAACTTGCCCACAGTTACATAGCATAGTTGCTAACTGATCCACAGGTTGGTTCTTATTCATCAGGCAATGTCATGGCCTTGACTGAACCTTAAGAAGTTGATAAACAGGCACTGAGACTTCTGAATATATTGATAAGAGCACTGATATAACTAAACCACATTTCAGCATAGCCCAGTTTATTTAAAAGTAAAGGTCGGTAGAACTTGAACTATACAAGAAAACCAGTCCTCAGGAGAATGAAGTCAATTATTCTAGCCACTTCTGATAAGAGTTTTTCATGAGTTCCTTAGGCTGAAAAATTAGACATCCAGTTTGAACTCCACCAGACATTATCTGCAGTTGGTTACATTTAAGCCAATTGTAAGGGAAAAGGTATGTAGTTCACCTTCCATCATGTGGGTTGTAGTCATTTTCTTACAGCCCAGTAAATTCCCTGCCGTGTTTTACACAAGTCAGCTGTTCTCCACTCTGGCTGCACATTTGAATTACCTGGGAAACTTAAAAAAATATTGATGTCTGAACCACATCCTAACATTATTTTTGCATACAGCTCAGTATCTATGTCAGCAAGGTTGAAAAATCTACTCTGGCCCTAAAATAAAATGGGAAATCATCCTAATTTTAATCTGCCTTGGCTGCTAGGGATGTCAGCACTCCATCACCATATGATTTATAAACTAAGTAGGATTGGTATATATACTTATTCCTCTCTCTATCTGGTTTTTCTGTTTACTATTTCTATGTTAATAGTCTTAATGTAAATGTGACTTATTATAAAATACCTCACATCTTTTTGGAAGCTGGTAGCCTTCATTTTGAAAATGATTATAGAAAAACTTAAATGAGTATTTCTTCTCATTCACTTTATTTACTCTGTGAAAATGGCTGGGTGTTGTTTTTTAAAGCTATCGTACATTCTAGTAAAAGTAATTTGTAATTGGAATCAATCATATTTGGGAGTTTGTTCAGAAACAGGATGAGTAATAGAGTTTTATTTATTAGATACTATATGAACAATGAAGATGACATCAAAAACCAGAAAATTCATCTTCATAGAGTTATCTAACACTTGTCATAAGACATGAAAGACATATGTTGCCCCTCAATTAGCAATTAGTCTTGTAAGACTGGTGCTAGCCCTATTTTTTATCATCATATTGCAAATATAGAGTGCCATTCCTGACTTTATTTCCATGTGATCAAATGCAAGTTCCTTCTTTAAGCCCAGGAACTCCCCATATATAATGCCATCACTAGACAGCACTATGAAGCATTTCTATATCTATGTCTTTACCATCTCTTCTGCCTTTTAGCATTTTTTATGTCTATATTTTACTCAAGTCATTCTACTGACATACTGCATCAGAACCATCTAGGACAAATTACCCTTTCTCTGTCCTGGGACTTCCATGCACTGATTTGTAAATACCCATGGTGATGATAAGAAGAGTATTGATGTATTACCTTTTAGATGATGTGTTGCTCCTGTGTCTTAGCCCAATTAAAATCCCTGGTGCTTTAAGAAAATCTTTCATAAGTAGTATATATTTCAAGAATATAAATTTTATCTCAAAGTTGAGAGATATTTGAGGAAGACTGAGGGAGGAGATTCAACTCCTTAAATCACAAGCACTCCACCTATTCTTCCTTCAACTGGAAATAGCACCAGACTTGGAGCTGATAATTGAACTTTCCCATTTCAACAGCAATTTAAAAAAATGTATTGGTTCTATTCTTTGCTCACACCATATGTTTTTGTGTTCTAGTTTTACCATTCGTTTGCTCTATGATATAAGACAACCCCTCTAAACTTCAGTTTCCTAATCTCTAATATGGGGGGAAAATGGGAATACTTACATCACAGTATAGCAAAAAGATTTAAGTTAGACAACCCAGTAAATCCCAATCTTTGTGTGTCTGGTGATCTCTTGGGAAACTGTTCAATACTCAGAAGTCCTTTAGCCAAACATCAGACGATATGGTTTTAGGAAAACAAACAGATGATCATGATGCACACCAAGTTTTGAGAATCACTGATATAAACTATGTAAAATATGGACCACATTATTTGTTTTATTATTATTATTGTTATTATCAACATCATCATTTTTATGACTACTATTGAGATGTTGCTTATAGCAGGTGATAAAGTGGGAGTCAGGTCCACCCCTTATCAGGAAGTTTAGTTATGGCAAGACCCAATGCGTAGGATTGCAGCCATTCCCAGCCCACCTCACCCCCACCCCACAAACACACATATGTGGTGAAGAATTGATAAAAGATGAAAAAAAAAATATTAGTGTCATAGTCAAGTGGTTCCTATTCTATAAGGATAGTGAGGAAAATTAAGACTGATTTCAAAAGATGGAGTGAACAGTAAACGGAAACCCAAAAGGATCTCTTAGAGATTATCAGATGACTTAGCCTAGTTCTGGCAGACAGGCTACTGCTTCCTATTGGCTGACAGGCTTAAATGAAACCAGCAGCAGATGATATAGTATATTCCACCTCATATAGGGCAGGCTCAAATAAGATTAGCCTTACAGGAGGGAGCTACAGGTAGTAGCACAGCTTTAAGGAGCTGGGACCTAGATAGGAAATTAGACAAGGGATGATTATTAAACAAGAATATAACAAAAATTTCCAGATACACAAAATATTCATGTCAGGGAAGTCAAAAAAGGGCAATTTTATCCTTCAAAACCTGGAATACAGCAATACCTTACGGGCCTCTCATTCATAAAGTGAACTTTGGTATATTCAATGTGAGCAGGATAGGAATATTTTAGAATTTGCATTGTTCTGGACAGTCATTCTCAAAATCTGTAGCGTAAAAAAACCCTGGGGCAGTGACTTTCAATTTTTTTTAATCACAACCAACAGTAACAAATCAATTTTGCATTCCTATCCTATAAACACACACACCAAAGGAAAACTTCATGAAACAACATTGTCCATTACTTCATAAAGTTCAGTTACTTTTTTTTTCCATATTCCATTCCATTCTTGTCTTTAATTTTAAAATGCTGGTTAAGATCCACTAAATTGACTTTATGACCCATTACTAGGTCTCAATCACAGTATGAAAAAAAAAAGGCATTTGCTAAAAAATAGGGATTTCAGGCCAGGCGCCGTGGCTCACGCCTGTAATCCCAGCACTTTGGGAGGCCGAGGCGGGCGGATCACGAGGTTAGGAGATCAAGACCATCCTGGCTAACACAGTGAAACCCCGTCTCTACTAAAAATACAAAAAAATTAGCCGGGCGTGGTGGCGGGCGCCTGTAGTCCCAGCTACTCGGGAGGCTCACGCAGGACACTGGTGTGAACCCGGGAGGTGGAGCTTGCAGTGAGCTTAGATCGCGCCACTGCACTCCAGCCTGGGCGACAGAGCAAGATTTCCTTTCAAAAAAATTGGGATTTCAGCTCCATCTACACCTCAAGATGTGCGTTTAGTAATTCTAGGGGAGGAATCAGGAATGTGCCTTTTACAAGCAATCTAGATTATTCTGATCTCTAGAAATAATGTGATCTGCGGAGTTAAAAATTACATTCGGATGGAGCTGCTTTCACCTTCTCTTGATGTCTTTCACATTCCTGTTTTTGTATCCTCCTCGACTATCTACCAGAAGTGGAGCCAGCCTTAGATAAGATTCAATCTGATGCCTGCCGCAATTTAACAGAAGAATAAACTAAGGCTCTGAAAGGGTGAGTGCCAGCCCTACACTTAAACTCCTTCGGGTTTTAAAATTCCTTCAGGTTTTATACCGATGGCAGAGTTCAAGTCAACAACAACCACAAATAAAAAAATAAAGGCCCCTCAAATGCAATCTGTGGTTTTATTAGTTCATGCAGTTTTTCCCCCTGAGGCTACTTTTATGGATAGAAAATAGAAACATGTTAAACCAATTTGACTGAACTCTACTTTTTAATGTATAATTTATCTTACTGCAAATTGGAAAACTTAACTTCTCAATTTTCTTATCGGGGTTCAACTACAAATGTACCTTTGGGAGGAAAGAAAAACATTTCCAGTGAACTCTGGAGTTGGATCAGTAAAGCAGACCATTACAAGGCAGAGAGCTGATTATACCAAGCTGTACAGATATTTTCCATTATTGCCAAAGAATCATATATATTGTACTAGTTGGCCAAAATTTGAAATGATTTCTCAAATAAAACTAAAAGCAATTTTGCTTGCATTCCCAGGATATCACTACAAAAAAGTACAACCTATTTCATTGGTTTACAATATTAACCTGTATAATTTATTTCAAAGAGATAAACAGCTATGTGTGCTTTAATTAGTTCGGCTAACCTGATTACATTTACTCTCTACCATCAATAATAGAATTATTCATTCACATAACTTCTGTTAAGAAATTTAGGAATTATAGAACTCTATTCCTCTTCGAAAAACTTGTAATCAATAAAATATAAGCAACTAATATCTAAATCAAATACCTTTACCTTATTTTAATTAAAACATAGATATTAATCCCTTATTTTATATTAACAAAGGCAATTGTCATGTAGCTTAAGAAATATTTTATACTGGGAATTTCTTTAGGAAAACCTTAAAAAAAACTTCCACAAACACTTTGGCATGAATGTGGAAAATATTTCAAGTTAGTGAGCCACTTATTTATGATTTAGTAAACCATAGCATTTACTAAATATGGTTAAATGAGTGACGTAACAAATGACAGAATGATGTTTAAACCTCGTATCTTCGAAGCACTTTCAATGTTTGTATAGTCTCTGACAAAGGAGTTTGTGAAGCAATTTAGTGTTGTAAACAAAGAACTGGGAGGCCGGGCGCGGTGGCTCACGCCTGTAATCCCAGCACTTTGGGAGGCCGAGGCGGGAGGATGACGAGGTCAGGAGATCAAGAACAACCTGGCTAACACAGTGAAACCGTGTGTCTACTAAAAATACAAAAAATTAGCCAAGCATGGTGGTGGGCGCCTGTAGTCCCAGCTACGCGGGAGGCTGAGGCAGGAGAATGGCATGAACTCGGGAGGCAGAGCTTGCAGTGAGCCGAGATCCTGCCACTGCACTCCAGCCTGGGTGACAGAGCAAGACTCCACCTCAAAAAAAAAAAAAAAAAAAAAAAAAAAAAAAAAGCAAAGAACTAGGAGGGGCACAAGACAAGTGGAAAGGGTTTAGCTACCAATTCAAAAGCAGGCTGGTGTCCATGTATGTGCAAAGATACGTGCAAATTGCAAATAATTTGTGTGTTTTTTCTTTAAAAAGTAATATACGAAAGAAGTATAATGACACAATTATTAGTACAAGATATAGTAAATATTTTGAAGGAATAAAATTTTATTTAAAAATTCTTTATCAGATTTTCCACTTCCTCCTTAAAATTTTCCATACAATTAGTCTGAATTGGTGTGGTTTTATTTTACCTAATTAGTTAAATTACTGTTTAAATCACTCATCAGATGTAAGACTAAAAAAGAAAAAAGGTTATAAATCATTTCTTGTTCTAGTGATGAGGTTTGTACTGTATATTCAAAGTATAAGATACTTTATAACTTTTATAAAAATGCAATTTTTTATGGTTATCATTCATGGTGGATTAGAGCCCAAGGTGGGGGTAGAAACACATTTGCAGAAACAGACCACTGAGAGCCAGTTCAGCATTGAAATAGCTACCCAAATCTAGAAAAGCAATTAAGCTGTTTTAGGAGAAATATAAAATTTCAACAAACAACATTTTATATTTTGCTTAGTTTTCAACTTCACAGCAAGAATTTAGTGCCTGTTCAAATCTATGTAACTAAATTATAAATTATATGCTCTCTAGACACACCAAATTTACGGTCCAAAATGGAAATATAACTGGATTTAGCCAGAAGTTGTTCATTAGAAAGTGAAAGGAAAATAAAAAATGCCATTAGAATATGTAGTTATGTCATGGAGTTCAGAAAGAAACAATAACCCCTCCACCTCCTCAGGGTTTATGTAGTCAAAATTATTCCTGCTTATAAGATTGGATGGAACTCTCCAAATACCTTTGACATTGAACCAGAGTTCCACGTATGGTGCATTAGATGAAGCGGAAGAAGTAAAGCATCAATAGAGTCCTGAATTATTGATATGTTCATTGGAGAAAGCATATATCTTCATTTCTCACATTCCCTCCTGTGCTTAGCTTCACTTTGAATTGGTTTGCAGTTGTTTAGATTCACTTGTCTTATAAACACAATCTGAGTAAGGTAGAATGTAAAGAAAATTTGCCACAAGCACTGGGCCACAGCAAAGTCCATCCTGCTAGCAACTGGCATCAGTGTTCCTGTATTTGGGGGAGGGGTAAGAAGGAGATTTTTTTCATATCCTGGGATTCTTTGCAAGGTAGCTGCAAGGTAGCTGAAAAAAAATAATGTCCTGCTCTAACTTTTACCACTGGCCAGCTGACAGAAGAAGTGCTACTCTGCATGCACTGGTGGTAGCAAGAAATGAATAGGGGAAAATAACATTCATGATGAGAGTGCAGGTAGGGGCAATGGTGAGACAAACCCAATTATAAAATCCCGTTTTGTCCTACCCTACATTAGAAATACATCATATGTTCCTATAGCCACACTGCTCAGAAGCTTTCTATTAAGTTGATATTTTGGAGATCACTTACATCTTCTGGTTATTTTACCTGAAGATACTTAAACTATTCCTATTTCCCTATTTAGCTGAGATCACATCATGAATGCTATAGACCTATAGTAAAATACTTAAACATACATGCGGTTACATGCTGCCTGTTTTCCTGATTAAATTGGAAGATTTTCCAGCACACTAGATTTTGTCCTCCTTTGCATTCTCCACTGCTATGGGAACAAAACTGGTACTCATTTATTATTATTATTTTTTTTTTGCTGAAATTGTCATGTTCATAATGAAAATGGAACTGTTTAAATAAATAAAAAAAGATATTCATTTAAAATTTCGTAAAGAAAGGATAGATGCCACCCTTGGTATAAGAAGATAAAACTAATGCATGACATAATACTATGATAAAAATAACATAATAATAATAAGTATAATTGATTTAGCACTTACAAATTTGCTAAATAACATGCTAGAGGTTTTGCATATGTTGCTTATTTCTCACAAGAACAATATGGCATCTGAATTATTATTTCAGTTTTATAGAGAATGAATCTGATTTTCGGATAGGTTGACTAAACTTCCAGCAATCAAGCAGAAGGGGCAAAGCCACAACGTAAAATCAGGTTCCTGATCTTTTTACTCCTGGAGTTCCTTATCCATCTCATGGTAGTCACATGGTCATATAAAAACATCTGAATTTTCTCATCAAATATTACTCATGACCAATGCTTACATTTAAAAGATCATTTACCTGGATTAAACTATGAATTTATAAACTCAAAACATATATATATATATATATATGTGTGTGTGTGTATATATGTGTGTGTATATGTATATATGTGTGTGTGTGTGTGTGTGTGTGTGTGTGTGTGTGTGTGTGTATATATATATATATATATATATATATTTTTTTTTTTTTTTTTTTTTTTTTTTTCCTGAATGAAACTGGTCTCCAGACCAGGGCCTTGGCCTCATCAATACCACTTTCCAATCAACTGAGCTTATCTGGAAAGCTACAATTACAGGGAGGCTGATTAATATCATTCACTAGTGTACCCTTTGCCACAGACAGTGATACTATTTTCTTCTAACAACTCCCCGACTTAATAGGACTTTAAAAGTAGCAAAGCTGTTCTTTGGGATAAGTGTTTTCTTCTGGGTGCTATTGTCTGGTTTAATAGAATTCAAAGCCTGCCTAAGCTGTCTGGAAAGCAAACTTCAAGCACTGGAGGTCCCACAGTTTCACTGGAGATAATCCTTCAGAATACAAGGTTCATATTCCTACAGAAATAATTTCTTAAGAACAAAATATAATAGCCCAGGCAATAATAATTTATTATCAGAAAATTTGGGGAAGTTTGCAAGATTCTACATTCAGTTCTCCAGTATCTGTCTGGTACCCTGCAGGTTCATCTAGAGAAGTATGAATGGCTTTAGCCATTGGTGGCCTCCCTGTACCATATTTGACAGACAAATCCTTTGTGAGGATAATCTAACATTCACTGCTCCCTAGACATTTAATCTAGCAAATTTAGCCAAGATGATACATGCAGGCCTGTGTAAGCAGCAGAGTCAATTTTTCATATGGAAGGCATGTGGTCCTTCAATGAAAAATAGTATAATAAGGAACAATTAGTGAAGTAAATAATAGATTTTGTTGCAAGTAAAAGTCACTCCTGGTGTTACACACAAAGGGATTTACCTAGAAACACAGTTATAGGTGTCTTTGCCACATACTAATATTCAACAAAATAAGCCATAACACTAGGAGATAAAATCTTTCAGACCTCACATGTAGCAATTCACATTTCTGCAGAAGTATTAGCTCATATACCTGCAAACTTGAATATGTGCTAAACTTCTGACTTCATATTCAAAGTGGTAATAGCCATAAGTGAGTTTCAGAAATAAGAAGACAGACATTGTTATCTTTATAGCAGTATATTGAATACTGATATTTGGTGATACTTTGAAATTTAATCATAATCAAGAAGAATTTCACCATATATATAGTTCTGTAACTTCTCTTCTCAGGAGAGAGGAATGTGAATTTGTTGGAAAGTAAAACTAAACCTACTTATTAAGTTACCACAAGCCCAGAAAAACAACAACAATGGTAGCTTGGAAAAGTTGATTACTGAAAATAGTATCTTATTTTAACGGTTAAAGAAATATATTGTCTGCTTATTTTGCCATGGAAAATAGCTAATTTGTTTTTGATGCTTCCAATTTTGAGATAATATAGTATGTGACACAGAACAAATAGAGTGTAACAGAATTTCTTATAAAGACCATATAAAATGTATTCAGAAAAATGACCCTACAATACTTCTATAACATTTTAAACAATGATAGTCACACTCCAATATGACAGTCAGACTTGATGCAGAGGCAGCTGTTGTATGGTTTGGAGTAAACAGTTGTGGAAAGAAATGTGGCCTATTTAACAGTGGTAACAGGAAGTGGCCTAGGTAAACAGGAAGTGATAAACTGATGGGAGGGGCCAGTACATACTATTTAACTGACAACTGTTGAGTATCCCTAATCCATGAAAGCATTCATCAGATTTATTTTTCCCCTATTTTGGGAAAGAGAATACAATTATTAGATTCCTTCTTTGTTATTTCACTTCCTACAAGCATGACATTCAATACCCCAAAATAAGACAATTCATATTAACATATTATTATGCCATCATTCATCTCACAAAAAAGATTCTTAATTTACTAATGATTCACTATTTAAATTCATCAAGGAAAAAGCACCCGATGTACTAAGCATATATCATTTTTCACAAACCTATGCAGTATAATTCATTGCATGAAAAAGGCTCCACTTTAGAATTCTGTTTAAGAGTAACTTTTTCTCTCTTAGCATTGTTTGATTCAGTTTCTATTTCACCATGAAATATTCCAATAAGTCTTAATGCCTTCTCAGTTAATTTAAGAATCACTGGATATAGAATAATTCTTCTGAACTTTCTTCCTTTTTTTCCTATGTAGTACACCAATATTCAGTTTAGAGAATCCATCTCTCCACGTGGTCTACTTTACTAACAAAAGATTATAAATTCTAACAACTTTCTTCTTTATTTTTCTAAGAATATATTTATAGAGAGGTGCTTCATACCAGCATTCTTTTGAAAATAAATCATATTATTTCTACAGGTACCTTATATTTACCTAGTATAATAAATTATATCAGTAATGTCTCAGTGAAATCCGAATGAAATAACTTACATTACTGAAATAGGAAATGCATCCTTCTGATTTACTGCAACAACCCAGTTAAGTGGGGGCCTTTCTGTTATTAAACATGATCAAGCAACATAAACAGAAATTTCCTCAAGGTTAGAAATAGGCTTTTTATCTATATACAAGGCGATTAACATATTTAACATTCATTCTTTTTTGACAGAGTATCTCTCTTTTTCCTATCTATACTATGTAAAATCCATGTCCGTTCACAAAAATTCTTGCAAACACGATCCCCTTACCAAATTAGTTGAAAGTCTGACATATCATGTGAGCACAAAAAGGCATCACCCCCATGTTTTCTGGAGTAACTTATACAATGGACACCCTGGAGAGTACAGTTTAACTCTTAACAGAGAAAAAAAAAAAACAAAAAAACAACCCTCAGAGAATCAACCAGTTAGTTGCAACATGTAATTAACTAGCAGTTTTATATTAATCAATAAGTGATCTTTGGTCATTTCCCTGCCCTTCCCATGATGGAGTTTGTTGTTGCTGCCATTCTTTAATTCAGCTAAAAGAGAAAAATAGTGGATTTGGATCAGACACACTGATAAGTTCATTCACCAGGAGCAATCATTTCCCCATTAAGGGGAAGAGAAAGTCTTAAAGGATAACAAGATCCTAACCAACTATTCACTTGATCTAATGTAACCTGGTATCCTAATTATAGACATTATTCTACATATTTATATACAGTAAATGACACTCTGGCTTCAGTAAAACTCAGGCTTAATATTTCTACATAATGTATAAAAAAACAAAACACTGAAATTACAGCATCTCTATCGAGATTCTTCCAAAGAAAAGCAACACTTTCAGTCCATTTAATGAAGCTCTTACTCTCATTTGCTTAGTGATTGACAAGTCAATGCAATTCCAAAATGTGACCAATGTATTCTCCTATTCCTGGTAAAATATACCTAATTGTTCACTATACCATTAAATTAGACTAACTTAGAAACCCAATTAACTATTTTAATGACTAAAGTGGGGCTTGCTAGATGATCCAAAATGAGAGGGGCAATTAGAGACCATTCCTTCATTTAAACTGAGCAAGAGAAGGTGATAAAAATTCAGATAGAGAATGTACAAACCATAAACTGGTATCATCATGAGAGTTTCATTTTTCAAGCATTTATGGAGCATCTAGTTTGAGCCTATTCCTAAACTTGAGAAAGTTTCTGTTCATGTTACTTGATCATGTTTAATAACACAAAGGCCCCCACTTAACTGGATTGCTACAATAACTTAAAAGGACACATTCCCTATCTTAGTAATATTAGTTATTTCACTTGGATATCAAGAAATCATTACTGATATAATTTACTACGCTAGGTAAATATAAGGTTTTAAATATACCCTTAGAAATAATAGGATTTATTTTCAAAAGAATGCTGATATGAAGCACCTCTCCATAAATATCTTATGCATTCCATTTCCCAAGATATCTATCAGATTATTGATTCTGTCTTCCCTCTAACCCTGAAAACTATAAAAACAAACTAGTGATCTGAACTGTATTAATGTGCATCAAAATGAATTAACTCTTTGAAAATATTCTTAAATATGAACATAAACAAAGATGATCATATATTTGGGCTTAAATATTCAAAACATTTGATTTTCAGCAGTTGAGAATGACTATACAAAGATCAAGAAAAATAAACGATGAAATCTAGTGCAATTCCATCTTTTAGCAGACACATAAAACAAAGTGCATTAAAAATGATGTACTACTCTAAGGTATTTATGTTAAGCATGCAATTAAAATGAAAAAATGAAAGTATATTAAGTGTGTAAGGTATTTTTTCTATCACCTCAACTTCAGAATCCTTCAAATTAAGTGAGTATGAATTGCATTAAATGAAAGTCAGACACACTTGGCATGCAAATTACAGTTCGCTTTGACAGTGATTTCATTTTCTGTGTTTTAAAGGAGATACCTATAAATACTGGTCAATGGCAAAGTTTACTCTACAGTTTATATTTCTGAAAGCCTACTAATAATATCTCCTTAAGTCACTGTAAATAAATGCTGTACATAGAACATGGTAGAAACCTCTAGCAATACTTTATTTGATGTCTATACTGACACCTAAGCCGAACTGACCATAATCCCTGTGTGTTCACTACACAGCTCTAATATTGCACTTATCCAATTGTCTGGCAATTCCTTAATTATGTATTTGTCTGCCTACAAAGACTTTTCATTCTAGCATATTAGGATCAATTTCTGTCTCTGCAATGCCCAGTATGATGCTGCTATGGTCTGAATGTTATGTCTGTGTCCCTCCCAAATTTGTATATTGGAACCTAATCACTAATGTGATGGTATTAAGAGATGGAACCATTGGGAGATGATTAGGTCACGAGGATGGGTTGAGCATCCTTATAAAAGAGGCACAAGGGAGCCGCCTTGCTCCTTACACCATATGAGACCACAGTGTAAGAAAGCAAGATCTATGAAGAACAGGTCCTCAACAGACATGGAATCTGCCAGTGTCTTGATCTTGAATTTTCCAGCCTCTAGAACTCTGATGGGTTTATAAACCACCAGTTTATAGTATTTTGTTATGGTAGCTCAAACAGTTGAAGACAGATGCTGACCACATAGAAGATTTTGTATATATATTGTTTTACTATAACATTGTGAAATTTATTGCAATATTATTGTCTCATGCTGCTGAGCATCACTATGAAAGTTCATTTGGTGTTTTACATTCTGAAAATGTTATAATGTTGACAACGATCAATTTGCCATAGCTTATAATAATAAGGATAATAATAGTTATTATTATTATTTTTGTAACAAAACCAGTAGGAGAATATATTGCCATTATATATTCCAAACCATAGTTAACTGCCTGCAGTTACTTTCAAACTACGTCATAAATGCTTAATTAAAGTGTTTCCGCTTTCTAATTTGTTAACTCTTGGTAACTTAAAGAAGAGTTCTAAAGTAAATATACAGTATTTTCTTTTGCTTTTTTTTTTTTTTTTTTTGAGATATCTGCTCACCACAACCTCTGCCTCCCAGGCTGAAGCAATCCACCCACCTCAGCCTCTGGAGTGGCTGGGACTAAAGGCATGCACCGCCAAGCCTGGATAAGTTTTTAATTTGTTGTAGGGATGAGGTCTCACTGTATTGCCCAGGTTGCTCTTGAACTCCTGGACTCAAGCAATCTTCCTGCCTTGGCTTCCCAAATTGCTGGAATTACAGGCATGAGCCACCACACTTGGTCAAAAGTAAATATATATATTATTAACAAACTTGTTTTACTATGGAGAATTTTAAACATATCCAAAATCCAATAAAATAGTGTAAGTACTCATATACATTGGCCAGTTCCTACATCTATCATCCTAAGAACAAGTCTGTCAAACCACTCTCCAGTCCAATTTCTTCTCTTCCCAGTTACCGGGAAACAAATCTCAGATATCACTTCATTCAATCCATATTTTACTATGTACATCTATAAAAAATGAACTATATTAACCAAACCACAGCCCTGTTATCAAAGTAAAATATTAACAATAATCCCTTAATACTATAAAATATCCAGTGTTCACATTTGTAATTGTTTCATACATAAAATAATTTGTTCTGTTTTTAGAGTCTGTATAAGTTCCATACATGATAAAATATTTGATTGCTATATCTCTTCTAGTCTATAAATATCCTCTCTTTCTCAATCTATTTCTGCCTTGCAGCTTATTTGTTGAGGAATAAAACAAATGTTTTGCATAATCTCACAGTTTGGATATTGTTGATTACTTTCTTGTGGTCAAGTTCAACCTGCCCTTCTATTATGTGAATATATAGGCTTATCAGATTCTGTGTGTGTGTGTATGTGTGTGTGTGTTTCATAAGACTACTTCATAGAAAGTGCCTAAAGTATGGTCATGCTTTGGATTTTACAATTATGATCGATCCATTACACAAATCCATTTTAAAAAGAAATGGGCCGGCTGGGCACAGTGGCTCACGCCTGTAATCCTAGAACTTTGGGAGGCAGAGGTGGGCAGATAATGAGGTCAGGGGTTCGAGACCAGACTGACCAACATGGTGAAACCCCGTCTCTACTAAAAATACAAAAATTAGTCGGGCTTGGTGGCTCATGCCTGTAGTCCCAGCTACTCGGGAGGCTGAGGCAGAAGAATTGCTTGCACCCGGGAGGCAGAGGTTGCAGTGAGCAGAGATAGCACCACTGCACTCCAGCCTGGACAACATAGCAAGACACCATCTCCAAAAAAAAGAAAAAAAAAAAACCAAAAAGAAAAAAGAAATGGGCTATGACCATACTTGGCTCATTGTTTCTTCTCTTATGAAAATCTGATCAATGCCGTGTGAATGCAAAACTCATAAACTTCATTGAGTCTAAGTTAATTGTTCTACATGTCCTGATGTATGAACCTTCACACGTAAAACTGAATTTGCATGCCTTTGTAGTTTACTTCATACCTAAACTAATAAATCAACAAAATTATTTTAGACCTAATTGTAATCACACTTGTTTACTGTTTCACAGAGAAAAAAAGTTCTAAAAATTAGAAGAAATGTATTTTTTATGTATTTTATCAAGTATTATCTTCTCTATGTACTGAATGTGTGTCTACCTTTTGCTGTAGCCCTCCATTCCATTTGGAGGGCTTGATAATGTGGTCCATTGTATTATAGACAGTTCAATAACCATTTATTGAGTGCCTACTATGTTTGAGTCTGAACTCTTAGGATATAAAGATGTTTCAAGTGAAAACTAAGCAGTATAATACAGAAGAGATACATATACACACAGATGATTTCTGCTTTGGTCTTAATGTGCTATAAGTGTGCTTATAGCAATCCCAGCTTTAAGAATTCAAGTTGAAAGAAACAATGGTTATTTCAAAAAAATCAAATATCCTTACTATCAACAGGGGATTATTATTTAGTCATAGCTACCTTAGCATACTACTGCTATGTTTGCCAAGAACAAGATTGTCCCTATACATAGCTTTTTTTTATTATTATTATACTTTAAGTTTTAGTATATAACCTGCACATTGTGCAGGTTAGTTACATATGTATACATGTGCCATGCTGGTGCGCTGCACCCACTAACTCGTCATCTAGCATTAGGTATATCTCCCAATGCTATCCCTCCCCCCTCCCCCCACCCCCCACTCCACAACAGTCCCCAGAGTGTGATGTTCCCCTTCCTGTGTCCATGTGATCTCATTGTTCAATTCCCACCTATGAGTGAGAATATGCAGTGTTTGGTTTTTTGTTCTTGCAATAGTTTACTGAGAATGATGATTTCCAATTTCATCCATGTCCCTGCAAAGGACATGAACTCATCATTTTTTATGGCTGCATAGTATTCCATGGTGTATATGTGCCACATTTTCTTAATCCAGTCTATCATTGTTGGACGTTTGAGTTGGTTCCAAGTCTTTGCTATTGTGAATAATGCCGCAATAAACATACGTGTGCATGTGTCTTTATAGCAGCATGATTTATAGTCCTTTGGGTATATACCCAGTAATGGGATGGCTGGGTCAAATGGTATTTCTACTTCTAGATCCCTGAGGAATCGCCACACTGACTTCCACAATGGTTGAACTAGTTTACAGTCCCACCAACAGTGTAAAAGGGTTCCTATTTCTCCACATCCTCTCCAGCACCTGTTGTTTCCTGACTTTTTAATGATTGCCATTCTAACTGGTGTGAGATGGTATCTCATTGTGGTTTTGATTTGCATTTCTCTGATGGCCAGTGATGATGAACATTTTTTCATGTGTTTTTTGGCTGCATAAATGTCTTCTTTTGAGAAGTGTCTGTTCATGTCCTTCGCCCACTTTTTGATGGGGTTGTTTGTTTTTTTCTTGTAAATTTGTTGGAGTTCATTGTAGATTCTGGATATTAGCCCTTTGTCAGATGAGTAGGTTGTGAAAATTTTCTCCCATTTTGTAGGTTGCCTGTTCACTCTGATGGTAGTTTCTTTTGCTGTGCAGAAGCTCTTTAGTTTAATTAGATCCCATTTGTCAATTTTGGCTTTTGTTGACATTGCTTTTGGTGTTTTAGACATGAAGTCCTTGCCCATGCCTATGTCCTGAATGGTAATGCCTAGGTTTTCTTCTAGAGTTTTTATGGTTTTAGGTCTAACGTTTAAGTCTTTAATCCATCTTGAATTGATTTTTGTATAAGGTGTAAGGAAGGGATCCAGTTTCAGCTTTCTACATATGGCCAGCCAGTTTTCCCAGCACCACTTATTAAATAGGGAATCCTTTGCCCATTGCTTGTTTTTCTCAGGTTTGTCAAAGATCAGATAGTTGTAGATATGTGGCATTATTTCTGAGGGCTCTGTTCTGTTCCATTGATCTATATCTCTGTTTTGGTACCAGTACCATGCTGTTTTGGTTACTGTAGCCTTGTAGTATAGTTTGAAGTCAGGTAGAGTGATGCCTCCAGCTTTGTTCTTTTGGCTTAGGATTGACTTGGCGATGCAGGCTCTTTTTTGGTTCCATATGAACTTTAAAGTAGTTTTTTCCAATTCTTTGAAGAAAGTCATTGGTAGCTTGATGGGGATGGCATTGCAGAGCTTTTAAACTGCACACACATGCACACACACACACAGAGAGACAGTATCGTGAGAAGAAATAAAGGTTATCTTGAAAGAGACTGAAGAAATAACTAACACTCACATCGTGCTCATTAGGAACCATGTGCCAATATTAGTGTTTTGCCCTTATTAATTCATTTGATTCACCCAACACTCAACATATATCATATCAGAAATTACCACATAGGATAAAACAGTTTCAGAGACTCTTCTGATATTTCACACTAACAAGTGACAGAGCCAGAAGTGGAACTGAGGCAACGTGGCTGCAGAGTCTGTGTTTTAATCACTATGGTACCCTGTCTCTTAATCAAAATGTAACAAAGGACAAACAGTTGATTGTGTGGAAAGCAAGGGTGCTCCCATGAGTCCAAATATCATTCTGAGGCACTAGAGTAATTAAAAATCTACTATCAGCCATCCCATATATTGGAACTGACCTTGTACAATGAATGTGAGGCAGATTCTCAGTTGACAAAGCCACCCTTACAAGATAATTCCCCTTCCATTTCATCTTACCCTTCATCATTACAGCTCTAGCAATTATTTACGTTTTATTCTTACATGAAACAGGATCTAATAACCCTTTAAGGGTTTCATCAGACCCCCATAAAAATCACTTTCCACTCCTACCCTACAACTAAAGATATTCTAGGTTTCATTTTCCTCCTCCTCCTTAATAACTCTAGTACTATTTTTGCCTGACCTCCTGAGTGACCCAGATAATTACAGTTTAGCCAACCCCCTCAATACCCCACCCCACATTAAACCAGGGTGAGACTTTTTGTTTGCATATGCAATCTTAAGATCCATCCCTAACAAACTAGGAGGCGTTCTGGCCCTTGTATTCTCCATTCTCATTTTAGCAGTTATTCCCATACGTCACATGTCTAAACAACAAAGTGTAATATTCGGGCCATTAAGTCAATGCCTATTCTGAATCTTAGTGGCTGCCCTGTTTACATTCACATAAATCAGAGGGCAGTCAGCCGAATGCTCTTTTATTACCATCGGACAGACAGCATCCATTATGTACTTCTCTACTATCCTCACTCTCATACTATGCACTACCCTAATTGAAAATAAACTACCTAAATGAAAATGCCCTTGTAGTATAATTCAATAATCTGGTCTTGTAAACCAGTCCCCTCCCCAGGATAACTCAGGGAAAAAGCACTCCAGCTTCACCGTCAACACGCAAAGCTGGAAATCACATTGCCTCAGCTTGAATTCTGGGACCATAACCTTGTGCAAAATACTTCCTGCTTTTTTCTGTTTATAAAATATCAGTGCCAAAAATGCCTACCACACATAGATGCTGTTAGGATTCACAAAAATGGTGTGTACAGTGTTTGGCGAGTAATAAGGTGCTCAAAAATTTCAGCTATTAACTTTATCATTATGTGCCCAAATTATTGGTCATGGTATTTAGAATTTGTTCTGAATGAAGGAAGCCTCCTTATTTAATATGTAATATTAAAATAAATAGAAAATAGGGCAACCAGGAAAAAGTACTTTTCCTCTTGCCTCCCATAGGAATTAAAAGTTACAAAAGGAGAGGAAAATGTTAAAGGAACCAATTTGTCAATAAAGAGGAAGGAATACTGGCTGCTGCCACAGTTACCTCAATGTTCACTTCAACTCCACAAGAAGTGTTTTCCCACATCACAGTCAGAAAAACTGAGTCATGTTGATCATTCAAATTTGCACAGTCAGGAAATGGCAAAACCAAGAGGACCTGAAATGATACCTCCCTGACACAATAGCTCTTACTTTTCCATTACATCAGTGTTCAACATATTATAGGTTACAAAATTTAGCAAGTCATGAAATCATTTTAGTGGATTTTAACCTAGCCTTTGCAAAAATTAAAAAAGGAGAAGAGAGGAGAAAATATCAGTGTACATCACGTGAAGTAAAAGCAAATACTATTGGATGAAAGTGTTACAGTCATATTGTGCATGTGGGTATCCATGGGTCTTTGGGGTTGCCATGGAAATTGTATTTCTTAATGTCTGTAGCAGCAAAAATGTTAGAAACAAAGTAAGTACCACGTTACATTCGTCATGCTGGTGTGATAGTCAAACAAATACATACTGATTCACTGAACCACTGAGGTCATGATTTCTTGGACCTACACATATTTCAAGGAAAACAAAAAAAGTTATACATGTAAGCGAGGCAGTGTGCAGCTTTCTATTCTTTATCACATTCTCAGTAAGTACTGGGAGAATTTGGCTTGGTAATGGTTATACCATCACTAACAAGCTGAATGAGTTGACATATCAATTAAATTTTATGTTCCTAGGTTTTTTCCTCTATAAAAGAGAAGATAACATTTCTTTCTCTCGAATTACCTCCGTGGGATTCTGAGCCATTTAGGCAAAAGTCAGTGTAGTGATTTAGAGAAATAGTCCAGGGAAAGGATAAGTGGGTGTGTGTGCCCGTGCACATGTGTGCACATGTGCACACACTTGACAGAATCCAATGCCAACAAAAGATATGGCACAGTGTCAGAGAAGAAGGCAAAATATGTATCACACTGAAAGGGAAATTGCCGCTCTTTGAGACCATGGGATAACCTTTATTATGTGGCTGGGTCAATAAGAGTCTCAAGTGATAAAATGGAAATTATGAAGAGCTTGAAAATGGAGTAAGGTTAACACAGATCTATGAAGATATTTGGATATATGAAGATATTGGGAAGTATAAGAAGCATATACTACTAACTTTTGGCATGGGGTCATTCTCAAGTAATTGCAGCTATTGCTAAGGCAGTGACTTCCCTAAGCAAAAGTATGACTTTGTTTTTATCTTCTTTCAACTCTTCAAAGAGTAAAGCATGCAATGAAAGATTTATTTCCCCACATGACTAACACATAGAGATGATAGAAACACCAAGTGCATATTGTATTTATTTTACCAACTGGTACGAAGAAAATAACCTTGTATTTAACATCCTCTGAAACACTAGAAAAGCATGCTCAGTCCAGGTGCAGTAGCTCACACTTGTAATCCCAGCACTTTGGGAGGATAAGACAGGCTTGAAACCAGGAGCTGGAGACCTGCCTGGGCAGCACAGTGAGATCCTGTCTCTACAAAGAACAAAACATATTAGCCAGGCATGGTTGTGCGTCTGTCATCCCAACTACTTGGGAGGCTGGGGTAGAACTGCTTTAGCCCAGGAGTTTGAGGCAGCAGTGACCTATGACCGCCCCATTGCACTCCAACCTAAGCTACAGAACAAGACCCTTTCTCCAAGAAGAAGACAAAGATGAAGATGAAGACAAAGATGAAGAAGAAGAGGAGGAGGAGGAGGAGTTAAAAGGAAGAGGAGGAGGAAGGGGAGGGGAAAGAGGAAGGGGAAGAGAGGGAGGAAGGAGAGGAAAAGGAGGGGGAGGAAGAGGGAGAGAAACGGGAGGAGGAGGAGGGGGAGGAGGGGGAGGAAGCAGGGGAGGAGGAGGATGAGAGGTAGGAAGAGGAGGAGGAAGAGAAAGGACTTCTCAGAATTACTAGCTCCAAATTGTGACATCTACAATAAGACTCATGTTTCACACTTGGTAGCCTTTAAGGGTGCCCCTCTGCTTTTTAGCCAGTTGTTATCTGTTACTTTATATATAATCCACATTTATATCTCAGCTTTGCTAAAATAAATAATTAAATTGAAAAAAATACTTCAGATTAAGGAATAGGCACAGAACTCCAAACCCATCAATTCAAGGACTATTTCTGAAGGGTTCGTTTAGAACGCTGCTAAAAATGTGAAGGTGGAACCTGCAAGTCACATAAAGGAAGATTTCCATTTTCGCCAGTTTTAACTTAATATGAGAGCAGCAGATGGTGTCTTATTGAAAGCACTTTTCAATTTTCTGGGCAAAGTAATTTCTTAAATGAAAAGGCTCCTTCAGGCACCCAAAAACTGCATTCCAAAGCTGTTAAGAGACCTAACTGCAGTCAAAAAGCTAGAAACGGTGGTAAAAGACAACTAGAACTCAGCAAAATTGCTTCCTAATTTGTGCTAGAGATGACATGAATTCCTCAATGATCTCTGGTTGCTGTAAATGTGCATGTTTGTTTTTATGCATGTGTCTTTAGATGTGAGCAGTTGTTCTTGACTTTGACCAGCATCCTCCCTTCTTGTAGTAAGGAAACTTATAGTTTGTTCTGGGTTTTGTTTTGTTTTGTTTTGTTTTGAGATGGAGTCTTGCTCTATCACCCAGGCTGGAGTACAGCGATGCAATCTCAGCTCACTGCAGCCTCCTGGGTTCAAGCAGTTTGAAACTTACAGTTTTTAAGTAAAATACTCCTGTCCTACTCCTTGTCTCTGTGGTGACCTGCTGACGGCACCAAAAGCTCCAGGGTTGGTAACAGGATCAATTTTGTTTCCCCATTTACCTTGCCAGAGTGATTGGTCAAGACTGAGGAGATGTTCTATAAGTCCATCTCATACTGTTCAACAAATTTGATTCAGGAAATGTATGTGAACTGGTTTGATTTAATGAAAGCTAATCTGATGGTCTTGGAGTTGAGAAAGTGAAAATCTGACTTTGGGGAGTCCACTGGAGAAGACAAACAGTGAATGTAACACAGAGTAAAGCAAGGAAAACAAAAGAAGCTACCCAGTCTTGATGTCATTGTTTGAGTCTCCAGCTCCAGCCATACTCCTGACAAGACTCTGCCTCTTGGCTTTCATTTAAGTACGCCAATCAATTCATTTTTATACTCTCTGTGTTTGGTTTACCATAATTCACTTCTCCTTGTTCTTATCTGTGTTACTCTATATTATTTTTTGTTTCTCAAAAAGGAAACTATTTGCTTGCATTTTTGCCAAAAAGGAGAGGTTGGCCTTTTTGAGTTTTGATGGAGCTTAAAGAAATAAATAGGACAGTAAGAGAGAAAAATGGAAATAAATAGGCAAGAAGATAGAACTCCTGTTTTTATGTTTGTTTTGTTTTGTTTGCTTCAGGTTGTATGACAGAAAGTAGATGATACCTCAGTGCATAAAGAACTTTATTAGAAATTCAGTGCAGAGGTGTTTATATTGAGCTGTGCTAATACTGATTTCATTGTTTTTCACTGAATCACAACTATGATACCTCTGTGTCCCACAACAGTTACACATATTCTACATACTGCTTTAACTATGCAATGCAGATTTGGTTATGGAGAATATTTTAATTAAGCTCTTTATATAAGGAGTCCTTTGTAATATGGACTTTCTATAGTAAAGCTGAGGAGGGTTTTTTTTTTTTTCTTTTGTAGCTTTGCTTTTCAGTACTATGGATAATGACCACTTACACCTTAAAGACCCTTAGAGGAAGCAACATATATTGCCTTTTGCCATTGACTATTTTACCATAGTTAGTTAAACCTCTTGGCTCTCTTCAACTGTTCCTAGGTATTGCATTTTCCCAAGAAGTTAAAATTCATCCTAAGCTATGAAATACCTAGAGGACATTCCATTAAATATTCCATGAGTCAATCTGGTATACTGACTAAGAGTGGGGGTTCCAAACATTGGGTTATGAAGTGGAAACTATGAGTGGGGTTTAGGGAATCTGTTAAAAACTGAAGTATGCAAAATATTTTAGAAACATGTATCAGGGTAATTTTTCCCCAAGAAAAGGCTTCTATCTTTTATCAAATTATCAAAGAGGTCTATAATCCAAAAAATGTTATTAACTGGTAGCAACCAGAAGAAATTTAATCTTTAAAGAGAAAATCAAGAAACAAGGGATGCTACTGTGTTTTTCAGAATTTCCATTTTCTATTTATCTAATCAAAACCAGCTTCAGTATGATGTCAGTATCTGCAAGTGGCAGGGTTATGAATATGTAAAATTAAGCATGATATAATCTGCTCAATATTGCATATCATCATGGCGATAATTGCTTTATTGTTCAGTGGTCAGGGTCCCTGTGAGGAAGCATAATCCAAATGAGAATTAGATGCAAGAAACATATCTCCATGATATGACAATTAGGTTCAGTACAGACAGACTTGAATGTAAAAGGCCAATTTATAAAGTTTCAAGGATACTGTCACGTAAACGGTAAGAATTTGGGGCTTAAGAGAGAAATTTTGCAAAAAAAAATACTCTAATATGACTTGTGTGATCACGGTTCTAAAATTTAAAATCATCTGATCTAAAGAATTTCCTCTTAATGCACAGTTTTGTTAATCCTGGAAAATAATCACTTTTGATTTTTTTTGTCTAGAAATAAGAATCAGATAATTGTTTCAACTTGTTTATTGGAGGAAAAAAGGAAAGAACCAAGAAAGTAGAGAAGAAAGGAAAGAGAGAAGGAAAGAAGAAAAGAGAGAGGGAGGGAAGATGGAGGAAGCAGGAGAAGGAGGAATAAAGGGAGGGAGGGAGGAAAACAGGAGGAAAGAATTGGATTTTTTATATTAACTGATTATTTCCAGAGAAACCTCCATCTCCCTCTAAGTTCAGTGGCTTTACCTTTGCTTCACTTCTTAATGATCTTATAATATTTCACATATATATTTTAATAAATACTATTAGAGGATATACTTGGATATTTTTTCCCCTTCTAGCTATATTAGTTAGGTGACTGGTAGCTAGGTTGCTGCAACGAAGACTGCAAACAACAACGAAAAGAAAACACATGAAAATAGTGGCTTGAAATAATGGAAAGGTATTTCCTGTTTTTTTTCTCTTTGTTTTGAGACAGAGTTTCACACTTGTCTCCCAGGCTGGAGTGCAATGGCACAATCTCAGCTCACTGCAACCTCCACCTCCCAGGTTCAAGCGATTTTCCTGCCTCAGCCTCCAGAGTAGCTGGGATTACAGGCGCCCACCATCAAACCCAGACAATTTTTGTATTTTTAGTAGAGACGGGGGGTTTGCCGTGTTGACCAGGCTGGTCTTGAACTCCTGACCTCAGGTGATCTGCCTATCTTGGCCCCCCAAATATTTCTTTTATATCATAGACTGGGGGTGAGTGATCCAAGCTAGCAGCACAGTTCTGCCTTAGATGACCATCTGGATGCCCAGCTTCCTCTCCTTTTGCATCACGTTATTCAAAACCTCAGTTTCGGAAAGGTCCATTGGCTGTCCTCAATCTTCATTCTACCATTCTCCCTCCTAGTACAAGAACTCCATGGAAGCTCAGAAAGACACTTCCTAACCTTCCTTCCACCTAGGTAAACCCATTTGATTATAATTTCTGGGCAATAGCATGTGCACAGAAGTAATGTGTGAAAATCGGATCATGCTTCCAACAGTCCAGAAGTGGACTCCCTTGCCCTTTACTCTCCACTGACTGAAATCCAGACCTCACAACTCTTTAAGGGTGGTGAAGCATTAAGACAGAAGGAGGCCTCACCTAAAATCATAGAGTCAACCCATTGCACCAGCATGGTGCCCTATTAATGTGTGAGAGAAATAACATTCCTCCTTTGTATAAGCCAGTGTTATGTTGGGTCTAAGTCACACAACTGAATCCACATCTTAATTACCATATCAATCCAGTATTTGCTGCTCTTCCTCACACACTTTTCTTCTGATATAAGCCTATCTATAAATAAACTCTTCTACCTCATTTTTCTCATAGTGAGTTATTTTTGCTATAAACAAAATAAAATAAGGCACCATGGCAATTCAGAGTTCCCATTAAGAAAAATAACAAATAACTATCCTCAAAACTTTTACTTATCTAACCAACTAGATTTCCATATCCAGATAAGAATTGGCACTGGCATATTTCCATCTCCATCTGTTGATTCCAATGTAAATTACCTAAGAACAGAAAATTCTGCCTAAAGCTATATGTATGAAATTTTCCACTGAATACCATGTAGTTACCAGCATAAAAATAAGAATGAAATTTTAGGAAAACTAAATTATGGAAAAAAGAATAGGATACAGTTGAAAGTCATATTCCTGAGCACTGATATTAGAAATGGAAATTGCCTGCATGATGAAGAGAGAGCCAGTCGGAAGGAGACAGAGGGATAGGTGATCTGTCTAGACCATGGGCCTGCTGCCTCCTTTCCTTCAGTTCAAACCGTATTTTATTTTATTTTTATTACACAAAAGCACGGTTGCCTTAGGCATGTCTTTCTTTGATAGCTACAACTTCCTCTTCTTACTGCCCATCTCTCACTAATCAATACACTACGAGGTGCCAGAGTAATTTCCTTTTTATAAGACTTTTACCACTTCCTGACACTTTTCACATTTCTGTCCTAATTATTTTCGGATTTTGATACCAGATAGAGAGTTCTTGTCCTCCCTAATAGGCATTTACCTTCCACACATTGGTCCAACTTTTGCTTAGCTCTGGCCTGTCTAGCTTTTGTTTTCTTTTTTTGTTGTTATTCTTTCCACACTCCCCAAACCATCAACCCTAGTTTAACTTTGTCCTTACATCCTAAGAAGTATTTTTTCTTTTAATATTCACTAATATTTTAACAAAATACTTTCATAATGCTTCTCAATCACTACTAAGATGACTTTAGTCTGCAGGAAAAAAATTGAAAACAAGAAAGCATTAATCCCTATCAGGGACTGTGCGGGAGATATTATAAATTATTCATCATAACGATGAGAACACATGGACACAGGGAGGGGAACATCACACACCGGGGCCTGTCTGGGAGTGGGTAGAAAGGGGACAGAGAGCATTAGGACAAATACCTAATGCATGCAGGGCTTAAAACCTAGATGACAGATTGACAGGTACAGCAAACCACCATGGCACATGTATACCTATGTAGCAAACCTGGACATTCTGCATATGTATTCCAGAACTTAAAGTAAAAAATAATAGTAATGATAATAATAATAAAACAAATTATTTGTTACAGGTAAATGACTCACATCTCCACCTTATGTACCTTTGCTTCACTTCCTAATGATCTTATAATATTTCACATATTAAATACCCATTCCCTGAGGTCTAAAGTATTTTTAAACTAAAAGTCTTAATAAACACACCATAAAACTTGCATGTGATATTATAATACAAATGTACAGTATTATAACAAAGTATCCTTCCAAATGAATCACGTATAATGAATGCATCTGTACTATTACCACCTACACAAATGTTTTTATTGTTTTTTACTACCAATATCAATTTATTTAAAAATTTTTACAGTGTTTTTACTTGAAAACTTTTCTTGATCTTAAGTATAAAAATGTAATATCACAAGAACAGTCATTTTAACTTCTCACATTTTATGTACGTTAAGCCCCAAATAAATACACATTTAATATCACTTACTTCATATATGTTTACTAAAACTTTGCCTGTACATAATTTCCATTCTGATATGTTTTCCTATTCACTAGATGACAACAGGTAAGAATATTAACACTATAGGTTGATCTTAATGCATATTGCAGCCTGTTACCTTCTCTAGCTGACAAACATGTGAGTGGCCAGGAATTAGGTGGAGGAAAAATGCTGATTCAGATTTCATATGACTAATGCTTTACTGATATTACAGAACACCATCAGTACTTAGACATATTACAGATCTACTTGGTTACAGTTAACAAATACTCCTTGGAGACCAACATGACCTCAGAAACTACTTACATAACTTTTTAACAGCATACTACTTAAAACCAGTGAATTTAATTTTCACTCTATCTCACATGACAGAAGAAAACGTTCACAGATCCTGTTGAAATTAATAGCCTAATGTCGAGCCAACATCAGGACTTCTTAATAAATCTTTGCTAAGTGAATAAATGGTAACTATGTGCAGAAGATTCATAGAAAATTGGATGAATAATGTTCACTTATTTAACTAAGAACCTTAAGCTAAGACCCAACAAAGCAAATACGGAATCAGATGACCTTAAATCACTACCACATGAATTCTAACATGACCCAAGTGAGTCCAGGGCTGAGAAGCTTTCAGTCTATTTAGGTAGAATGCACTGATGCATTAATCTAGAGAGAGGGAGGTAACTAAATACTCTTGAAAGTGTTTGAAAATTTTAGGATTCTTGTTCTGATTCTGACACAAACGGACTACGTAAACTTGGACTATTCTCTTAGAATCTCTCATTTCTAAGCTCTAACATTAAAGAGATGGATTTCAAGTCAGTCTCTGTTATGGATTGAATTGTGTCTCCCCAAAATCCATACGTGAAAGTCTTAACCCCTACTACCTCAGAATGTGATCTTATTTGGAGATAGGGTCTGTTCAGAGGTAATCAATGTAAAGTGAGCTGGTTCATTAGGCCACGCCCTAATTCAATATTACTAGAGTCCTTAAGAAGGGGGGAATTTGGACACAGAGATGTGCATACAAGGGAGAACAAGATGTGAACACGACGATGGCCAAACAAACCAAGAAGAGAGGTTCGGAACAGCTCCTTCCTGAAGGAATCAACGGTGCAACCACCTTGATTTTGGATTTCTAGCCTCCAGACTGTGAGAAAATAAATTCATGTTGTTTAGGTGTGTAGTATTTTGTTATAACAGTGCTAGCAAACTAATACAGTCTCTAAGGTCTTAGCCAACTTGAAAATACGATGATGTGAGGAAATAAGGACTGTAACAATAAATGGGTGAAGGTGGGAGAATTTGTAAGACACACCAAGTCTGAGAGTTAGCATAAGCGCCAGTATATATTCAGGAGCCACAGTAAAAATAAGAATAATAAATAATAATAATAAAAGCTCCAACAGTCTTGCTGAAGAGTAAATATTAAATACTTTAATGAGACAGAGGTAGTTAAGTAATGGTCTCTGGTATGGTAGAAAATGAGGAGAAGATAGTTTAAAATTCACAACATCTCTAAATAAAATGAATAATAATGCTATCTTTTTTTTTTTCAATTTCACTATTTTTTTATTTTATTATTATTATACTTTAAGTTTTAGGGTACATGTGCACAATGTGCAGGTTAGTTACATATGTATACATGTGCCATGCTGGTGTGCTGCAGCCATTAACTCGTCATTTAGCATTAGGTATATCTCCTAAGGCTATCCCTCCCTCCACCCCCCACCCCACAACAGTCCCCAGAGTGTGTTGTTCCCCTTCCTGTGTCCATGTGTTCTCATTGTTCAATTCCCACCTATGAGTGAGAACATGCAGTGTTTGCTTTTTTGTCCTTGCAATAGTTTACTGAGAAGGATGATTTCCAATTTCATCCATGAAATTGGACATGAACTCATCATTTTTTATGGCTGCATAGTATTCCATGGTGTATATGTGCCACATTTTCTTAATCCAGTCTATCATTGTTGGACGTTTGGGTTGGTTCCAAGTCTTTGCTATTGTGAATAGTGCCGCAATAAACATACGTGTGCATGTGTCTTTATAGCAGCATGATTTATAGTCCTTTGGGTATATACCCAGTAATGGGATGGCTGGGTCAAATGGTATTTCTAGTTCTAGATCCCTGAGGAATTGCCACACTGACTTCCACAATGGTCGAACTAGTTTACAGTCCCACCAACAGTGTAAAAGTGTTCCTATTTCTCCACATCCTCTCCAGCACCTGTTGTTTCCTGACTTTTTAATGATTGCCATTCAATTTCACTATTTAAAAATTAACATAGCCCAACTGAAACAACTAGGAACTTTCTGAGCCATTACATTGTAAAGAGCTTTCAAATACTGTTAGGGTTATTTAGACTTTTGATCCTTAAATTAAATTCAGACTTTTAGTCCTTAAATTATAAATAAATAAACAAATAAATAAATAAAAATAAATAAAAGCCTCCAAATATAATTAAGCAACAAACCCACAAAACTGTATTTCTATGGATTTGAATTTATCCAAATTAGTGTCAGGTGGTATTTGCATTACGAACATGGGGCATATTGCATGCCATATTCAACATATAGAAGTAAAAATACCCAGCAAAATACTCAGTTTTGACCTGAATCTCATGACCCCATGAATATCAGACTGCAAAACCATCAAATCATATTCCTGGAAAATGACCTACACTCCCTCTTAATTTAAGAAAAGTGAGAAACTAGCTAGATGATCATTGTAATTCTCTGCAAAATTTCTCATTATTTAGAAATACATATAGATCTCAAATTAAATTTGTATATAGATCTCAAATTAAATTTGTATTAAATTTTAACATAACATTGGGTAGCCAAGAGGTTTTTCTCTGCCATATCTCCATAAAAAGTTCTCAATTATACATGATTAAATTGTATCCAATTTTATATATTTGCCTAATGACATCAGAATCCCCAGATATAATACATAAATATTTTATACCAAAGTTAGCTCTAAAGCATAATTGTATTCATTGAATCAATTTTCCTTAAAATTCTTATTGTAACATGGGTGGGACTTCAGGTATAGTGTGGCTAGAGGACTTAGTGGTTGCCTTCACAGTTTTATGCCATTGTTCTCCCCAGTTGAGCAGAAGTAGTATACATAATAAAAGAGAAACTGTTCTTTCATCTTAATCAAACTGATAAATCACAAAAAGAACACTCAGGCCTGAATAATCATGGTGTATTCATTTAGTTCACTCTTTGACATAAATTCAGCAAAAATAAAATTCAGTAATTCCTTTTGCTGAGTAATAAGGGAAGCCAATTATAACAATAATGGTCAATGTGACTAGCTATCATTTACTGAGTGCTTACACAGTGCCAGGAACTGGTCTGATTCTTGACATGTATTAACTTACTGAATCCTCATAAGCAAGCTAAAAGGTAGTCACTATTATAATGTCTATTTAAATGATGAGAAAAAATGAAGCACAGTGATATTAAGGAACATGCCCAAGATCAAACATCAGAAGGAGATACTGTTCTCGTCTAATTTGTTACACTGCCTCTGCAAAGGAAGTGCTATGTAAAAAACTACATATGAATGCCTACAATGAGCTAGGCGTTGTGTGGATGATTTATAGGAATTGTCCTCATTTTATTGATGAGGGATTGAAACTTACAGAGGTTAAGCCATTCGAGATCACAGCTACCCAATGATGGTCAAAATTTGAATTTACTTATGCCTGAATCCAATCCCAAGGTTCATTTCACAATATTCACATCCAGGTTATAATGGAACATAGTCTAGCACAGGGCTGAAAATACCACAGCCCACAGGTCAAATTCAATAAAATGTATGAAATTCAATAAAATAAAACTTTTATTGGAACAGAGCCATGCTCACTCATTGACTATTGCCTATGACTGCTTTCATGCTGTAATGGCACAGTTGAGAAACTGTGACAGATAGTATGGCCCACAAAGCCAAAAGTATCTCTCTGGATCCTTACAGAAAAAGTTTTCTGATCCCTGGTCTAAGTTGTCCCTAAATAACATCTTGGTAGAAATTAAAAGAATTCTGATATGATTATAGTTGCTTCGTTTTATATTTAATCTATTAATAAGCAGTAATTGGTAAGGAACTTAAAAAACAAAACAGAGGAACCCAATTTATCTGTTATGGGCTAAATTGTTTCCTTCTCCCAAAAGATATGTTGAAGTCTTAACCCCTGATAACTATAAATGTGACCTCATTTGAAAAAATATGCAGATGTAATAAAGGCCAGAGGAGATTTACTGATGTAGACCCTAATCCAATATGACTAGTGTCCGAAGAAAATGAAAACACCATGTAAGGACAAAAATGCAAAGAGAGAATGATGCCATAAGATGATGGAGGCAGGCTTTGGAGCAATGCAGCTGCAAACCAATGAGTGCCAAGGATTGATGGGTCACCACCATCAGCAAGGATGGGGTGACGAAGGTTGCTACCAGAGTCTCAGAGTGACCATGGCTCTGCTGACACCTTGATTTCAGACTTCTGACTTCAGAACTGTGAAATCCTATATTTCTATTATTTTGTGCCACCCGTTTTGTATCACTTTTTTATGACAGGCCTAAGAAAGAAATACAATGAATTCAGGGTATTTAGAGGCAGAGATTAGCACTAAGTTACTCATTTTGAACAGTTAGCAGAGGTTACCAGCTGATCATCGACACTTTGTTTTTATTTTTGTTTTGTTTTTGGTAGACTTGTATTCGGGAAGTGGCTGCCCTGTCAGAGGCTACTTTTCCCTGCCCCCATTGGCTTAGTCAGACCCAAGTGACTTGTGCTCACCAACAGAATATTATTGGAAGCAAAATGGGCAAAGTGACTAAGAAAGCAGTGTGCCTTCTTCAGGCTGGATGCACAGGATCTAGCAGTTGGTTCAGAGGTCCTACAGGTCATGGAGCCACAAGATGAAAAAAGTCTGAACACTGAACAGATACATGGAGCAAAACCCTATGCTCCCTACCCATCCTCTGCTAACTGGTCTCTATGCAAGAGAAAAGTAAACTCTGGGGGTAAGTCCTTGGAATGATTTTATATTATGTCAGCTACAATTACATTAACCACAGTAACTAATAAGCATAAAATCAAATTTCTCATCATCTCTAGAACTTGAAGTCCCTGTAGGTGTCATATTATGTTTCCTCTATGAAATTTTTAAAAACAAATGAAGAAGGGCATCACCAATGTAAAGTTCACAAGCACCTTAATCCAAACTCAAACAACATTTGCCATCAGCGCAAACCTCACAGAAGAGCCAAATAAAATAAATGACAAGAGAACATCCAAACAACTGCTAAGTATTGCACATAAAAGGGAGTAAACCTCAGAATTTGGGGCATAGAAGATGTTTACAGGTGCCGCAATGTGCAAAATCCAGTGGTAATAACTAGATGTGGACCTCTAAGAAAAACAAAAAGGAGCTTGAAGATCAATCTGAGGCATAGCCAAGACTGTGCTTGAAGCAAAGCATTAGACAAGAGGTGAGAATAAATGAGTCACTGACAGCTTTGCCTTCTGCAAACAATGGCTTCCAAGTGATGCCAAAATGTGATCTTTCTGTGGGTGCAACAGGGAAACCAATTGGTGCTATTTTCGCACTTCCTGGAGGCAATAACACATCTAGAGAGCAGTCTTTGTCAAAGATAGTCTTTAAAGCTGCAGCTCCATAGAAGCCTTCTATGGTTAGGAGGAACATTTACCTGTCTTGAATAAAATAAGATGAGATAACAAATACAAAAATTTCCAAATGAGACATTCTAGTTTTAAACTTCTTTTTAAAAATTCCTTTCTTCTTTTTTTATTTTTAAAGTAAATCTAAAGACTTACATAAGACCTAAAAGCATAAAATCCCTGGAAGAAAACCTAGGCAATACCATTCAGGACATAGGCATGGGCAAAGACTTCATGACAAAAACACCAAAAGCAATGCCAACAAAACCCAAAATTGACAAATGGGATCTAATTATACTAAAGAGCTTCTGCACAGCAAAATAAACTACCATCAGAGTGAACAGGCAACCTACAGAATGGGAGAAAATTTTTGCATTCTATCCACTTGACAGAGGGCTAATATACAGAACCTAAAACAAACTTAAACAAAGTTACAAGAAAAAAACAAACAATCCCTTCAAAAAGTGGGCGAAGGATATGAATAGACACTTCTCAAAATAAGACATATATGCATGCCACAGATATATGAAAAAAAGCTCATCACAACTGGTCATTAGAGAAATGCAAATCAAAACCACAGTGAAATACCATCTCACACCAGTTAGAATGGCGATCGTTAAAAAATCAGAAAACAACATATGCTGGAGAGGATGTGGAGAAATAGGAACGCTTTTATACCGTTGGTGGGAGTGTAAATTAGTTCAACCATTGTGGAAGACAGTATAGCAATTCCTGAAGGATCTAGAACCAGAACTACTGTTTGACCCAGCAATCCCATTACTGGGTATACACCCAAAGGATTATAAATCATTCTACTATAAAGACACGTGGACACATATGTTTATTACAGCACTGTTCCCAATAGCAAAGACTTGAAACCAACCCAAATGCCCATCAATGATAGACTGGATAAAGAAACTGTGGCATATATACACCATGGAATACTATGCAGCCATAAAAAAGGATGGGTTCATGTCCTTTGCAGGGACATGGATGAAGCTGGAAACCATCCTTCTCAGCAAACTAACACAAGAACAGAAAACCTAACACCACATGTTCTCATTCATAAGTAGGAGTTGAACAATGAGAACACATGGACACAGGGAGGTGAACATCACACACTGGGGCCTTTCAGTGGGTGGGGTTTAGGGAAGGGATAGCATTAGGAGAAATACCTAATGTAGATGGCAGGTTGATGGGTGCAGCAAACCACCATGGCACGTGTATACCTATGTAACAAACCTGCACGTGCTGCCCATGTATCCCAGAACTTAAAGTACAATTTAAAAAAAAGTAAATCAACATAATTATTTTCTGAGTTTACACAGGCTAAACTACAATATCTTAATTAATTTTTGATAGGTTTTCCTTGTTCTTGTTAACAAAATTCTTTTTTACATGAAGTCCTAATGAGACTGAAGATTTATCTTTCTGGGGTGGCATGCTGCTGCGTGATCAGTGGATTAGCTGCCACCCTGGAACTGGCACACTACCTTGTGGTATTTCTGTGCTATCTGACAGAAGGAATCCAAGATTAACACGTTGTTCTCCATCACCAGCTGAAAAAAAGAATGCTTGATAACATTTTTGGTTTTCTTTTGACATAGTATATTTTTAGTTCACCCCTTTTCATTTTACTAATTCTTTTTCATATGGTTGAACTATTTTGCAGATAAAACTTCAACAAGTAAAGACAAAAATATTTGCATGGAAGTCACCCTGTACATCAGAAAGCTAGAGTTACATACAGAAACATCTGTCAGCATATGGCTATACAGATGCATCACAACACTTTAGGGTCTGACAGCTTTACTTTGGATGGGCTCTTCAGTAAAAGAACAAATTGCTTTTGTTTTCTTGGATTCTAAAACAACAGGCCTATTCCAGGGGTCAAGAATTCTTGATATTAGGTCCTGGCTTCCATCAGTCACACTTACATAAACATAGATTTTTTTTTCCATCAGAGAGTTTATCATTTAATTATATTGTTTAAATCATACAAAGTAGAAAAAAAAGAAAAAAATTAAGCACAAGGAATTGCCATTACAAACAGAAGTCTTTGAATAAACATCATAAAATGGAAGGCACTGAACATTCCTTGTCAGAGAAGCTAAATCAGAACATACACAACGCCTGCTCGTAAGTGCTCAGGAAAAGGCAGAGACAATTCAGCAAGGAACTTAAGTCAGCAGCGTAATGTTTAAAATTGGGGTTTTGCAATCTGACATACCACTTGAATTTCAGCTGTACCATTTTGTATGATGCTAGCATGCAAATGAACCTAAATCACCATTTCTTCATCTTTAAAATAGCACTATAATAGGGATTAAACGAGGTGATGTATGTAAAACACTTAGCACCATGCCTGGCATATAGGAATTTCGCCAGAAAGGGTAGCTTTAAAAAGTGAATATTCATAACAGTTGGTATCATTAACTGAAGTCCCAGTTAGTAGTGCATGAATTTTTATTTCTGTCAGAATACATTTCTGACAGGACTACTGAAAAGTAGTGAAAATGACGGATTTTATAAGACATGTAATGATGGATAATAACTATTAATAATAACTAATGTGGCTTCAAATTTGAGCCTCTTTTAGGGAAAGGTTTTATGACATCCTCTTATAGAAAAACCAGCATGATTGACAGACCTACATTTTAATGTATATTAAAAATATCGTGCAATTTTTAAACTGCATCCTAATCCAGAACTATATGTTAGTTTCTCAAAATGAGGATATCACCTCTGATAAAATGCAAGTATCTCTTTTGAATAGCCCTACCATCAGAATGAAAAATGAATGCTATTTTCCCCTCAGGTGATCCATATGAGTGACAGGGACAAATAGACATATTCCACATCACACTGCATGTCTGTTTTCCCCTTTCTCGCAAGGAAGTGGCGGCACCAGTGAATCACCAAACCTTCTGTGGGCTCCTACCCAGAGAAAGGCTGTGTGCCAGGCTCTCAGTTGAATCCACGGATGTCTAAATCCTTGTCCTTCCTTTCCCCCAAGGAGCCTACAGCTTAGGTGATGAGATCCAGGAGAAAAAAATGATGGTTAGGAATGCAAAAGTTAGTGAGTACATCATGTACCATCTTAAAAGAGGCTTTCATTCTTCCTTGCTGAACAATGATTTGAGTATTAGGTGCCCTGAAGTATAGGACAAATGTTGTAAATAATTACAAAGCACATCACAAAACATATACTTTCTTACTGATTTGAGTATATTCTTTAAAATTCCAACAATTTCTGTGAGGGGGCCTGTGGGAAATACTAAGACGGACCCTCACCTCCATTCTTACCTTTTTCTCCCTTAGCATACAGAGACTAATTCTACACAGGATAAACAAATCAAATCAGAACTAAAAGTTCAAACCAGCAATAATTCTCCATCTGTGGTTTACATTTCTGGGAAGTCACAGAGAGCTCTGATCCATGGACCTGTACAGACAGCCTGAGGTGACATACCAATTGAATCTCATCACCCTGGGCAAACAATCTCTAATTCCATCTAGATGGTAGCAAGCAAAGGTGTAGAAAACAATTTTCCCATTTCTACACCATGAACCTTAGATCTACCTCACATTTAAGAATAAGGTTTCATTTCCTTTTTGTTACCCCAACCAAAGTCCAGCTCTGTGTTCTGGGGGGAAACCAAAAAGAAAGGAAAAGAAAAAGGAAAACAAAACGTCAGGTTTACTGCTTTATCAAAATGAGGGCTACATACAGAAACTTCTTTAATGGCTGCAGAAGGGTTTCATCTTTCCTTTGCAAGTCCTGTTTCTCTGTAAACGATTGTCTTATTCCAGTTTACCATGTAAGGATTGCAGAGAAAGGAGTAAAAACACATCAAAAGGACAATACTTTTTTTTTTTTTTTGCCAGAGATTCTATTTGTGGAAAGAATTTTCCTTTTATGGCCATGGCCAGAAAGCAACTGATTGCTGAGCAAAGCTGTGTAAGCAAAATATCCAGTCACTTCATTTCACAGTAATGTAACCTGGAAAATTGAACAGAAAAGTTAGAAACTGGAGTATATTTGCTCTAACGTTACAGCAATCAGCCCAAAAATGCCTCTATTAAAAAGATCTAAGTCAAATAAGGAAAGCTGTTGTGTATAATGGAAAGAGCATGAACTTCAGGTCAAACAGATCTCATTTTGCCTCTGTTTAAGTCTTTGCTACACAAGCTGACTAAGCATCTGTTTCCTTAAATTTACAATATTAATAGCAATACTTCTTTCTGGAGGAAGTTTAGATAATTTAATGAAATAATGTAGATATGTTAGGTAATTAGTAACCTGTTAAGTAACAAGCCAGGTTAAACTTCTCAAATCTCCCCTCATTACCAACATGTAAATAAAGTTAAGCTTCTTGATATAGAACCAGCTTTTTTAAAATTTTGCCAAGTAAAGAAAGGAGGGCAATGGAAGGAAGTAGAAAGAGCCATGAGATAATGAGCAGAAATAACTCAAGACTATCAGGTAATAAGAGAGCTTTAAAAAGACAGGAGTGGAGTCATTTCATGTTCATTTAACATACAGGAATTCAACTAGGTTCAGGCAAAAACACAGAAGGAGCTTAACTTGTGTACACCATTTTATCCAGTTTTCCACTCCACGGAAGTATGCCCCTAAATTCGAACAAGAGGATAAGAATGCATCTGCTATTCTCTCAGGCATCTTCCTTCCAGCATTTGAGGATTTCCGTGCCAAATGTGATTCAAGGGTCAAAAAACACATGGTTTTCATACAACATACTCTATAAGTATGCCAGCTACTTCCACTGGTTCTTAAGAGTCAACTGTTCATCAACTGAGAAAAGACTGGCTATGTTAGAGAGATAGAAGGTATGTATATTTCTATCAGTTCCTTCCTATGAGGTTTTCCAAGGTAATTTTCCTTAAAATACGTTGTACTTAATTTTCCTTAAAAAACACTGTAAATTATTAAGAATATTTACAAACTATTATGGACCTTCAACTGTCATCTCAGGGCCTAAGTGTCATGCACTGCTAGAGCTCTACAAGCTTACGAGGTGGTATTTAATATGGTTGGAACAATGTTGCTCACATGTCCAAATTCCCCACATGAGATTCAGTGAACAGCCTTCCAGACTATAGTCTAGCTTCTCCTGAAGAACCCTTAGGGATGGGAACTCACTACTTCCAGGATTTCCACTTCATTTTTGGATCTGCCCCACTGAGATGTTCTAATACTTATTAAAAGCCCCCCTTCCTATAAATATCGATCACTCTCCTGAACACTACAATGTAATTCCTCTTAAGCATGACAAATGTTCAAACATTTCAAATTTTTAACATAAAACCTTAGGAACATCCCAAGTCCTATGTTCTCCAAGTCAAACATTATTGAAATCTTCAGCCTTTTTTTATATGGCTTTTTCATCATCCTGACTTCCTTCCTCTTCAAAATTATTTTAGTTTTTGACTGTGTTATGTCACTTGTTACCTGAGATGCCTAAAAATAAGCACTAAGCAACTAGTAGGGTATGATCAGTGTTAGACCGTTTATCAGCTCCTACTTCTCATATGCTTCATCTTAATCAAGTGTTCTAAAATCACATGAGCTCATTTTGTTGTGAAAGCCACACTCAGTACTAATTTATGTTGTAACTTATATAAAACTCCTGAAGGTTGTTGTCATTGATGTTGCTCTTGAAGTTTATCTCCTTCATTTTTTTATTTGAATTTTGCCTTAAATTTTTTTTCCTATTATCCTTATTCAACTGTGCTTTGTAAAACTCCACCCCTAATCCAGCCTGTGAGAACTTTTGCACTGAATTACTCTGAGATGTTTACACATTGGACCAAGCCATAGTGTCTTAGTAACCAGAAATATCTAACAGAATCAGAGGTTTCCTCAGCTGAACTTTGAAAGTGCAAACTTTTTCATTCACAGTATAGGACCACTGAAGAGAATACCAAAGCATCTAATTTGTATGGACTGACTTTATTGTGCAATAAACAAGTCTGTCATCCATGTAAATGTAGTATATCATCTATATCCTACCATTTTAGGAACAACAAAAAAATTAAACTTCACTATTTTCACTGGTAGATTAAGCTGGCTCCCTTGGCAACAAAAAATGTGTGTGTGTGTGTGTGTGTGTGTGTGTGTGTGTGTTCTCCAATAATTTTTCTTTCTAAGATAAAAATTGAAGGACTTAAGGACTTTCTCATAATAACTGCTTATTAAATTTGAGTCTATAAATTCCCTATTTTTTCAAGGAAGGAATACAATTAATATTGCTATTATGGGTTTGTTTACATGTCTGTCTCATATTCGGGATGTACTGAGAGGTCAGGAGACATGTTATTGTGCTGTTTTTTCTTTCTAGTGTAATTAATTGCTCCTAGTGTAATTAACACATTCTACTGAATGAATAAACATATAAATGAATGAAAAGGTCATACAATTGAAAAATCAATACAAAAAAAAAGAGATGGTCTTGGAATAATTAACCAACTTCCTCTCTGGTTGCAGAATTCCTCTGCCAGTCTTTTGTGCACTGTATTGAGCCAATCACAGATTAAAGTAATTACAGTGAATTCTTGATTACTGTCATGCGCTCTAGCTATTTTGTGAATAACCTATCACAACTAATTCCAAACTTATCTGCTGCCACCCAGCATATGTCTGAGTTACAGTCAGCCTCACTGACAGCAGATGTATGCTTCAGGAAAGCACATTTATGTTGATATTTCTGCACAGAATACACAATTATGAAATTTATTCTCTTGGGGGTTGGAAAAAACCCACAAGCATTCTGAAATAAAATGCAGAATTTTTTGTGTGGATGAAATTTTTGTGTGTGCCAAACTTCAATACAAAAGTTTAAATAATGATTTCCAACCTCACCAATGAGTATATGGAGAAGTATAAGAAGTTAACAATCCTAGTCAGACACATTTGAGAGTCTTTCCTCTTTCCATATTTATGGAACAGCTTTTATGCTGTAAGATACGTCAGGAGGCAGAAGGCTAATTCTTGCCCTGGAAAAACCTAACAAGCCAGAGGTTAGACATACGTAAAGCAATAAACATTAAATCAGGATTTCTCGGCCTCAACACTATTGACATTTGTGCGTGACGATCATTTGTTGTAGGGACCTAGCTTCTGTGTTGTAGAATGCTTAGCAGAATCCATACCCTCCACCCACTAGATGCCACCCTCCATGTGACAACCAAAAACATCTCCAGACATCACCAAATGTTTCCCTGGAGGCAAAATCACCACTGGTTGAGAACAACTATATTATAGCCACATTCAGTGGTTTGAGATTACAGAAGAAAGAATAGCTAACTGCATAATCAGGAAATGAGGCATCATTTTCTGGGCAGGAAACCAATACAATATCTTCTTCATTCCATAATATTTTCAAGCAAAGGGAAGTTATTCCATAACCACCAGGCAAAAATCCAATTTCCCTTAGTGGTACTCTGATCCCGGAACACATACGAATTTGGAGTGCTTTGAAATTGCAAAGGGAACACATTTATTGGTAATGCCAAAGCTGTCCAGACATAAAACTCCTTTCATAAAAATGAGAGAATTTACTTTAGTACTTATCTGTTGTATACAGTTGGAAAATCTTTTTTTTTTAATTCCTTTAAATCACTTTTGGCAATACATTCTCATAATCAGAACTATGTTTCCATAATCATGTGGTTCAGGGCGACACTAAATCAGTCTCATGGTACTATAGTAACCCTTTAATAATGTAGTGCTGCAGACTTCAGAATGTCAAGAGAAAAAATATTTTCATTTCAAGTAAGAAAGACTAAATCAAGTGATGCTCCACTTGGTCTCACTTATGACCCTTTTGTTGTTGAACTGAGAGAAGCTACTAAGAAAAGAAAGCAAAAAGCAAAATTCTTCTGTGCATTTATTTAAAATCTGCAGCAATGGAAGACAGCATAGGCGACAAACCCTAAAAGGATATTTGCAATTGGCATAAGATATTATCTTGGTAAAAACACTGGATAGAATATGTTATCACTTCTTAAATGTAATTCCGTAATATCTCACTATGTACACACTTCCAATTTAGAAACAAATTTCTACATTTCACAATAGCCAAGTCATTGGAACACAAACCTCTGCATATATGAATAGGGATTCCCCAAGTTCTCAGCATGATGTTCTACATTGTGGATGTAGACAGCTAATGGCAAGAGAGTTTTCTGTGGAGAGAATAATGTGATTCTGACAATTCTGCTTCCTGTAAAGGAAATATGTTAGCTACAGAGAATTTCACACTGTTGGCATCCCTCTCTGAAATTCCTGGAGAGCACCAAACAATTTTTGGTTTTCATCACCACTGTGAATTTTTCCACTTGGTTTGTATTCTAATCATTATCAACACCTTATTATCGTTTATATTCCAGTTTAAGGAAATATATCATGGGTAAGCTGGAAGACCAAGAACCAGAATTCAGAGGATTTTGGAAGCTAGTGATACAACCTTGATCTTGACCTCAGTTTCTTCAACCATAAAGTGAGGACTTAAAGTATATCATTTCTGTAGTCCCTTTCAGCTTTACTAATAGATAAGCCAGACTTCTTAACATGCCCTAAGTAGGATTATATTTTCCCATGTATAGAATTTATACCTAGCTTATAATTTGAAACTAATGAGGGCCAAAATGAACCAGAAATTTAACCTGGGGGGAACAAAGTCAAATAAAAGGCTAACAAGGTGCTCTACTTCTAAGTAGCTTATATACAACCTCTGTCTGACCAAAATATGATTTTATACCATTGAACATATACCAACTACAAATAATTCATTGAATGTTACTTTGATATGTACCTGTATATGAAGGTAAAAGCATTGGGTTTATAGTCTCAAAAAGAGCAACAACAAAAGCAAAGCTTCCTAAGAAAACATTAAGTAATATAGTACTACACTAGAAATTTGTGTGTGGAAATTAATCCCATTACTTTAACTATACTGAATTTAGTAATCATAAATTTTAGAACTTCAGAATAGTTAAAAATTATCTATCCTAAATCCCTCAATTCACAAGTGTTGAAATAAGGGATACACAGCAGAAAATAATGAATAACAATTAAGGAGGTCATTTCTTTGTTATTGTGTTGCTTTTTCAACTACATTGTGCATATAACTATTTCACTCATGTGGTTACTATAACATGCAGACAAGCATACATGCATTTAGTTGCTCAGATCCACTGTTAAGAAAATACAAATATCACCCTGGTTAATCATGTTATACCTGCATGCAGTATGTCACTAGGAATCAGAAGCAAGAGAGTGGGGGTGAATCAGAGAAAGTAATTACCTCTACCGGAAAAACAACTCAAGATCCTGTAATGCTGATGTTGAATCGTTGGAGGCATCATCCTCACATACAAAGAACAGTACTTCTAGTGTATAAGGTGGGGCTGTCATGTAATACAGCTGATTCAGCAAACAACCCAAGAACATTTCTCTCTTGCGCACATGCTCCCTTCTGCAATCATCTTTTCTTAATTGCCAAGTAGCTAAGATCTTCCTGCATAAACTGCAAATGTCCATGCAAACTCTTTTTAATGTATTATAAAATATATAGATCCAAAAATAGTTTTAAAAATGATTTTGATATGGAAAAGTGTCCTATGTAAACAGCAGTTAAAAAATTCAATTCAAAAGCAGATGACAGCATACTGGGTACTAGAGATTCAAAGATAACTATAAGATGTTTTCCTTCCTCCTTGAGCCTTAAACCCAATTACCAAAACTGAAATAAGCCTGCATACTCTTTAGAAGAGTCACATGTTAAATTTGGAAAGATTAACAAAAATACAATCCTAGTACCTTCACATTAATTTTTACATAAAAATTTTAATACAGATTATATCACCTCAAAATTTGAACATTATAAAAGGCAGATGACGCTGTTTTTCGTCTTGGGGCAAGATTGGCAAGAGGGTAATCATGTGGGAAGAGAAGATCCTGGGCAGATAAGCAGAACCTCAGAAAGGTATGTCCTTGTTCATATAGGCTGCCGAAATATGTAAGACATGATGCACAAGTTGAAAAGTAAAATGAATAGACAATCCATAATTAAGAAATCCTAAAGCTTTCCAATTTGAAAATATGGCTGATGCTAAAACAAAGAAACCAAAAAAAAAAAGACTTAATTATTCATTTACACTTGCCAATGTCCTCTCTGCTCTACTTCCTCAGAGCAGTACAAAGTGACTTTTTCTAATTCAGTGGTGTCTTTTTTGACAATCAGAGAGTTCACTGAATTCTTTTATCCCCTTAGGAAACTCTCCTTTTTAGACCCTCCCTGGAGAGAGAGAGGTCATGATTTTGAAGGCAGAGAGAGACCTGGTGCTCCATTACTTAGCAAACACACTGCAAAGTATTTAACTTCTTTGTACCTTAAATTTTCCCATCTGTAGAATGGGAATAATGAGAGCCACCCTTCAGAGGTTTGAGAATTGAATGCCTTACTGATGTTTGTGTTTGAAAAGAATCGAACACACGGTAGGTGCTCTAACAAAGACTGATTCTCATTTTTTCACTACTTTTGGAATTTCCCCACCAATGAAACCTGAAAGATTCCCAGCCTCAGTCACATTTTCATGAAAAGTTTACTTTTATTGATTTTTCTTCTGAACTTCTGTTCAAGGTACCAATTCGTTGAGAGACTTCTTTCTCTTACTTCCTAATGTGCTTCACTCAGTCTTTACACTTTCCTGTATCTACCAGAAGCAAAGTCCTGTTGGCTTTTAGTTTCCTTCCAATCAGCTAAATTCTTACCTTTCTCAACTAAGACAATTTTGCCTTCTAAAGAATCAGAGCTGGCCCGGCATGGTGGCTCACGTCTGTAATCCCAGCACTTTGCGGGGTCGAGGCTGGTGGATCACTTGAGGTCAGGAGTTCGAGACCAGCCTGGCCAACATGGTGAAACTCCTTCTCTACTAAAAGTACAAAAATTAGCTGGGCGTTGTGGTGGGCGCCTGTAATCCCAGCTACTCGGGAGGCTGAGGCATGAGAATCACTTAAATCTTGGAGGTGGAGGTTGCAGTGAGTCGAGATTGCACCACTGCACTCCAGCCTGGGAGACAGAGTAAAACTGTGTCTCAAAAAAAAAGAAAAAAAAAAAAGAAGAATTAGAGCTTTCTCTGATGCACATACAGGGGAATGAAATTAATAGCTATTGTTTTCAAAATATCACACACTCAGAGGGCAGTATACAAGTATTAGGACAGATTATTGACCTAATCTGATGTCAGTGTGCTCTCCTAATTATACCTAAAAATTGATAAACGATTTAAAATGCTGTGTGGTTATCATATATTGACCCTTAATGTCCTTTTCACCTAGGAAAAAGCCCAGGATGAAAACCACAGTTTTAGATAGGCACTTTGTCCTAAAAATGAGTATGCACTACAATATAACAAAAACAAAATGAACAACTTCACTACAACAATAAGAGTAGCAATAGTTAAGAACAAAGAGAGAAGGGAGAAAAAAGGAAAGGCTGTTTGCAGGATACTGTAGCTATAAGCTGTAGTGCTCAGGATGAAAGCTAGAGAAGAGTAACACTATTGGCCAAACATATGTGTGGCCACAATCCGTCAAACAATGCAGAATTCCTGAAGGTAACTGATTGTTATTTCCACTACCAAATGATAAAATAGCATGTGGCATGTTAGAATAATTCAAAACAGAAACTCAATATATTCATCTCAGAAACTATTCTCACACAGGACACACTTAAGTTTAAAAAAAAAAGACTTCATGTGGAATCTCAGCATGATAACAAGATGAAGAACTAAATGCTCAAGGGATGCTAACCCAATGGTAGGAAATCAGTAAACAGCTCATTAACCTGCTTATGTATACACAGGCTTTTGCTACTCTTGCCTACCAACAGACTCTCTCTTTGCTACAGAGATGTATTAGCAATATAACTTATATGTGCAGAAAGGTATTTCTAAAATAATTGTGGTATTTTATCCTATTAATGTGCCTAGCTATAGGCCTACCTCTGAATATAACTTCAGTGATAAATTTACTTAATTACTTGCACCGGTTAGAATAAGTTTATCCTCACTACAAAGAAAAACTTATGCTAGCAAAACAAAATAAACAAAAACAACAAAAAAGACATAGCAAGTTGGAAATAAAACAGAAAATTATTTGTAAAATGTCACAGTGAATACCCAAATAGATAAAGAGATTTCACAAATCCGTAAGGATGGAAAGAAGAAACAACATGGTTGTCTCAACACAAATGAGAACAAAAGACACAAAAAGGTAATTTAAAGGCTTCTGCTGAATTAGTGATAAAGAAAAAAAAGAGACTTTTTCAACGTATATCAGAATGGGAAGAGTATAAAAAGACTGGCAAAAGTCTGTATTAGCTTTGATAGAAGGAATGGCAACTTGAAGCATTACTGGTGATGTATGGCCATATGAATCAATGTAGGCAAAAGTTCATATGTGTATCAAGAAACAATTTTTGCACAGAGATATACTTGGATATAAATTTGCCAAAATATTAACTATGAGTTTAAGTGGTTGGTATAGTTTCTGCTTATTTTTATTCTTTACTTAATTCTGTGTTATCTTAAATTTGTGCACAAAGCATATATCATTTTTACAAAAGCAATATTACTACTTTTCCAATGAACTGCATTGTTTATGTGAAGAGTTCTGTTAAAATGAATTGTAGCACAAGGCAGAAGACTGGGATCTGCACTTTGATTCAACATAAACAAAGGAGAAACGATCCAGAACAAAAAAGGCTAATATAAATTACCTGTTTTCAGGGTCTCAAAATACAGTTTTAACCAAGATAGAACTGGTGCAAAAGGTCAGTATGAGGTAGAGGAAAACACACTTAATGAACTGTCAGGATACTCATAATAGACCTTGTTGTATTGATGCTCCTTGGCAGGACAACCTGAGTTTCAATTCTCTCATCCCTAAAATGAGGAGTCTGGGCTCCAATTCTAACATTCCAAGAACTAAGATCCTCAGAACACACCTATGCACAACCCAGACGAGCTTTACTTACACAAAAAGTCTTGTAAGATTTGCAGGAAGTTCTGCAGACAGACATAAATTGAAATTATAATGGAAAACAGCTCCACATTAAAAGTTAACTTGCTGAAACCACATCCTTTATAAAGGTTAAAGGGCTGTGGTCTTTAACAAATAAGATGCTCCGAGTGAGGGGAGTTAACTTCTCTATGTCACCCTCAATAATAATGTTAATGACTTGATAAGAACAGCATCCAGACAGTCTAAAATGGTTAGGTTTCTACAGCATTGCTGATGTGACGCAGACAGAGAAATTAGGTTTCTAAAATATGCCTATTAAATGAAAGGCATTCAGAAAACACACCCCAGAAGAGAAGTCACTGTAAAAGGTAGCAAGGTTGCCATGAGATTCAAACAAGAGTGGAAAAGAAGTTGTGTTTTGACAGTGGGTTTGAAAAGATTTCATTCAAATATCATCGTTAACCTTGTTTTCTAATTTCAGAATGTATTTAATTACATCTCTATTTCAACCTCCACGTTGAGTCACCACCACTACCACTGTTCTCTCATAACCGAAATGCCTGACAAAGTAGAGTCATTTGAAGATTAAAAAAAAAAGAAAAAAGCTTCCAAAATTATTTGAAGGGTTCAGTGTACAATTTCACAATTAGGTTTCAGAAAGTAAATCTATATTTCTTTTTGACAGTAAAAATGTGAATTTTGAAAGTCAATAAATTCATATTTTTAGTTGGTTGCATATATGTACACCTCTGTTTGCAATCTTATTTGAATAACTTTTAGTTCTGGCTTACACTTGTTTAAAGCATGTATATATATATATATTTTTTTTTTTTTTTCTGATATCAGTATAGTAAGTACTTACAAAATTACTTACAATTCACTTCACAGTTATATTTTCCTAAGCATGAATAGAGTGCCTATACACGTATGTATCAAATTGTGATTTTATATTTTATAAACAGAAAAATTTGTGATCAAGCTTATACTGGTATACAACAACTGCAGAATACAGATTCCATTTTTAATATCTGACTTCTAAGCTTTTGTAAAATCCTATCATCTTGAATTATTTAAGAAGCTCAAAGTTTAATCTGTATTTCTTCTTTTACCTACTAAATTCTCAGTCTAAAAGGGAAAGAGAACATATTCTATTATGAAAAGTTAGTTCCAGCAATATCAAGGATTAATACGACTCCAGTACATACGTGGTGGGAGAAGAATTTGTCTCTCTGTTCAGAAGCAAAATGTAAATACTCCAAAGGATTACTATAAAAATAGTGACTTAGCAAAGATAGAAAAAGAGAGTGCTTTAAATTTTGTAAAATTACTTTTTTTTTTGGTAATCTGTTAATTCTTCTTTTCTTCTTGGCATATCCTCTCAGATGAACTAAATTTAGGTGTAAGGGTGAGAAACATTTTGTTTAAAACTGACATAGAACTCACTGTATTTTCTAAAAATGTCCTCATTCCATCAAAAGTAAGAAAATGGGTTCAAGGGAAAAAAATCAAGAGGGTTAAGTTCTTACTTGGTACTTCAATAAAATTACTTGTCACTGCATTCAGTTGATGATTACCCAGACGGTGCCCCTTACATTAACAATGCCGACAGATCCGACATTTTACTGATGGCAATGGCCATCCGGCAGATTAAAGTACAATGTAGATTTAATCTCCCCAATGACTTGATAGCCTCCAATGAAGGATTCTTAAATTTCATGGTTCTGACCTATTCAGGGTGAATACGTGTATAATAAATTACCTGTCCCCTAGCTTTGCAACAAGAAAAAGAACAGAATTGCCCTATTCCTGTGCTAACTCCAATGTATTACTATGTATTACTAAGTTTACCAACATAATCTGCATGCTACAGAGCAAAAGATCATCCTCTTTAACAGATTTCAAGAAATTAACTTGCATTGATATACGACCCTGTTTGATGCCAATAGAGTAAATGTGGTAGCAGCAGGTTACAGAGAAGCCAGATTTCAAGAGAGGCTCATTTGACTGGTGATTAAGGATAACGTCCAATAAAAGTGATTTCTCATCAGGAAGAAAGGATGAGTTTGCCGCAAACAGCAGCAGTGCCCACTGGCCAGCTATTGTTAATCACAATCACACCAAGTGTACATGTCACAATCACATCAGATGATCTGGGGAAAGGGGCAATGAGCAACTGATGTCTTAGAAAAGGACCAGGATGAACAAACACAATAAAGGAAGAAGCACCAGGTCTACCTGGATATTCTGTTCTGATCATGACAAATCAAGCATCTTTACAAAGTGTTCATTTGTATTGTGCTTTCCCTAACTCAGGCTGATTAAATTAGAATCTCCATTATCCAGCAATAGTGCTGCCAATGCATGGATGCTTCACCAATGTGTGGCTTCCTGTCCTTGTCAGAAGCCCCAGAAATACCACAGCAGCAGATTTTGTGAACACTGAAAATTAGCAATGAGCCTTCCGCCTTCAGAAGGCAAATGCTTTCCTCCACTTTCTAAGTAGAAGAAAAGAAGCTTGAGCCAACGTAATTGCTAGATCATAATTTTAGGTGAGTCACTTAACTCAGAACTATACAGCTCCTGATCAGTAAGGTATAAATAATAATACCTGTTTTACCTGAAAAGTTTTTCTTTTCAGAAAAATTATACAAATTACATAGAACGTAAATTTTACTTCTTGAACACTCCTAGGAAATGTATTATGGCCATCATCCCACTACCCACAACCCTCCTCTTCCACTTTTCCAAGTCCTTCAAACTAATATCCATGGTAACCAACAACAACTGTAAAAATTCCGACTCTTGGATGACACTTATAAAAAATATGCATGGCTCTGGTAGTTTTGCTTTTGCTGCAAACAATTTTAAACCCTTTTTTCATATCATACTTCCTTCTGCTTATCCCCCAAAGACCATCCCTCGAGGACTTTCTGTCTCTGAAATAGTGTTTTTTCCCTTTAAAAAAGTAATAGGAAGATTCAACCAGATCATTTTAGAGCTTAATAAAACTACTATAAATCCTCATATATTTAAGTTGAAATATGATACGGGAGGAATAAGAAACCACAAAAAACCCAAAACAAACAAACAAACAAAACACACAGTTAGGGACTGGTAAGCCTAGTGAGTAGTAACCCAGTTCCCTAAATTCTTCAATCAGTATTATATGGAGACATTTTTGATTTTCATAGCTGTCAATGATGGAAGAAGGTGAGTTACTACTGGCATCTAGTATGTAGGGCCAGGGATGCAGTTAAACGTCCCACAATGCACAAGAAAGCCCCTAAGAATTAGATAGTCCAAAATGTCCAGAGTGCCAAGGTTGAGAGGCTGTGATGTAGCCTATGAGGTGGGGGAAACTGTGATTTTTTTAATAGAAGACTTTATTTTTAGTGGAAGTTCTAATCAAGTTTGAATTATATCTTGAAATGTCAAAGTTGGTGTGTTAATAATGGTTTTCCTTTCAACTTTCCATTCTCTGCCCAAATATACCATGGAACAGAATGTTTCCGATTCTGCGTAGAACTGGTATTTACTATCATCACATTTCATTTTACCTTGAAATGTTAATTGCCACACAGCAGGGCTGCATGGTTGATTTAAATTTACATTTGCTTTTAAATTTGATTAGGCTAGTCTCTTAGGAGCTCATTCTTCCATATCTACTCAGAGGGAAAATAGACTTTGGAGTACACAATGGCTTTAAAAAAATCCTGGCTGATGTGGTAGTTACATTTTTACATCCAAAGTGACTTTTAACTTTAAGCAGAAAAAAAAGGGATGCTAATAGAAGAGCAAAATATATCATCATTTACACTTGACTTCTGTCCTGAAAATCTTAGGCATGCTGTGACAGAGCAATAAATACAAGAGAACAAATAGCTTCAAATGACTTCCCATATTCCAGAAAATATGCCACCTCTTAGTGATACCCTAACATGTTTGATTAAAAATAAAAATAAATATATAAAACTTGAATGAATCCTCCTAGGATCTAATAGGGTTGCTACGTTAAAACACTGACTATGTCTAGCTTCTGGCTCAACTTATAACCCTGTGTTCCCAAATTATCCTGGTGGGCATTGCTGAGTATAGGCCAGAGGCCCATCGTAGGAAGAGTCTTGTGGCTACACCTAGAAGACTTGATAAATGGTAAATGGAAGAGAAATAGCATTTCCTAAATATCTAATACTCACCGCACACTCTCCTAGACATTTGATTCCTCATATCTTGGAAATAGACTGGGAGATTGGTAGCACATTTTAGAGAATAAATTAACACTAGGTAAAGTTAGTTTCCCACAAGGTCACACAGTTAAGAGGGATGGATCAGGATTCAAATTTATGTCTCTCTGACTCCAAAGGCCTAGTTTTTTCTTTTAGAAATTCTTCCCCATTTCTCACTTTCTAAGCCAGAAATGGCAAATACTGGCAAGCACCCATCCCCCTCACATTCCAAAGCAGGTGTCTCTAATCAATCATGTCACTTTCTCAATAACATGGATCTACCGTAAAGCCCTTCTCAAGGTAGCACTCCAGAAAGCCATTACCAATCAATCTTTATGAAGCAGCAGGTAGAATGAAACCCATTTACCATCTCCGATAAACACTGGGAGCACAGACAAGGAATTCTCTGCTGTTCAGTGAAGCCGAATCAAATTCTCAAACAGAGCCTTCTTTTTTTTTTTTTTTTTTTTTTTTCCTGTGCTTGATAGACCTGAGTTTGAGTTCTGGTTCTGACAGCTCCACATCAATTTCTACCAATTGCTTAACCTTAACCCCCATCTCATCCGAGGCCAATAATGCTGGAATTCTGTCAGGAAAGTATTGAAATTTGGAGGGCACAATATTATTAAATAAGAGGCTCATGTGCAAAGTTTTAAAGTCCTTCCTCCTTCAGGGATTTTTCAGAAGGACCATTATGATTCAATAATGAACGTCAAGTAGGGCCATTTGATTTCATCACCAAGAGATTTTCTACTCTGCCACCATTTTGGTTAACATATTAATAACTCAAGACTACTTCAAGTAGTCTCAAGAGATAGTTTAGGATTCTGGCTGATTAGATGAAATAGTATTGCTGAAGGACACATTATCCTCTGACATATCTGAAGCCATTAATTGCCTGGGATACTATCTCAGATCTAGAATAATTGTTTCCCTATCCTCTAATCCCCCACTGCCTTTTGCTTTCTTGACTTAGGCACATTGCTAAATCCTATACTACATGAATCTGTATATATCTACATATAAACAAAGGGACTTCATTGAATCCGATGTGTTTCTGTAGCTTGGTAACTAGTGCTTCAGCATGATATTCTATATTTTGTCATAGTCTCTTAAATATAAAACATTAAAATGGTACAAAAACACTCAGATTGCTAGACATAAATAGAAATGCTTATATTACAATCCTTCTTACATAAGAAAATACTGTTTTTAGGTGCTTTGTTGAGGTTAATAACATAAGATAGCACAGAACATTAAATGGTACCTTCTACATATTTTATCTATTGCTTTCCATTGAAAAATCTATTTTCCTAAGTTATAGCTAGCGTTATCTTTGAAAAAAGCCACTGAGTTTCATTACTTCTATGTAGCCATGATATGTGAGTTGATTTTGTGTGTATATGTGCATTAGGTTTTAGGAGTAAATGAATGTAAATTATAATTTCTAGGTAAATATATCCCAATACTGACTCATATTATCACTTTCCATCGAGTTTACCATCTTGACAATATATTTTCAAGAAAAATTAATGATAACCATTACTTAAAGAAGTAATGGTTACTTCTTCTTTACTACACTCAGTAGTGGTTACTACACTCAGTTTCTTAGGATGAAGAGAAGGTAGAATAAGAGGTCTATTAATGCCATTTCCAAAAGGCATCTTTCACATACATGATCTAATTTTGGTCATACAGTTACAAATGAAGCAACTGAAGCTCAGAGATGTTAAATAGTTTGTCCAACCATTTAGTCTTCATTCATTTACCTTGAAGTAAGATGAAGCCCATTTGCCTTTCCTGCTTGACACTAAGTCAGAAAACCATAAACACTCTTTTCTTCAGTGATATTAAATGAATATACTCGACCAGAGAATGTCTTATGTCACATTTTATGAAAAATATAGATTTGGGAGCCTGGTAAACTTTGGTTGGAATTCTGACTCTAGCACTTAACTTATAATTTTTCCCAAGATCACATATTTAGTAACTGGAGAAACTAGATTCAAAAGTAGGTAAGTCTAATTTCCAGGCCCAAATGTATCTCATTATACCAAAAATGAAATGTATCCCTCTAATGACATGTGTTTTTAGCATTTGTGTGATACCTCAACACAAATGCATGTGTATACACACACACACACACAGACACACACATTTACTTTCTGAGCCTCTCAGCTTCAGGGTCTACAGGAAAGCTGCAAGGTTATGAAGAACATGTCACTCACCTTAAACAAGACACATTTCCAAAAGTAGTCCTATAAAATTTTACAAAGAATTTCCAGAGAACAATCGCTTGGCTTCCTTTAATATCTCCAGCAGTCTGAATAAGGGAGGAAAAAAAATAGAGACCAGGCATACATAATGTTTCTCTCAGGCAAACCACTGAGGAAAATGCAGGGAGCCAAGGAGGATCAGCCTGGTATCCGAAGAACAGTGGCAGTTGATGTTGGGAGAAAATCAAGAAGTCCTCATGGAGCCGACATAGTGTTATCAGGTGGATAGCTAACCAAAAACGCAAGGTCTGGGGACTAGGAATAAGCAGGCAGTGGGCAACAGGCTAGACTGGTGTCTGGTAGTGAGTGTCCAGCCGTGGAATAGGGCCCTGACACAGAAGACTACAAAGAAAAGGGTCATGCCTCAAATATGGACACCAAATGTATCAACTTAGTTAAACAACTTCTGTGAAGCATGGGCACATACCTGGAATGGATGCAGAACTAGAAATATCAGCAACAAAACCAACCCCCTCCCCCCTCCACCTAATAAAAAAGAAAAACCCTGGTTTATAGACTTTAAATGGATTCAGGGTAAGTCACTTAGGTTCTCTGGAGGTCAGTTTTTTTCATGTATAATATGAGATGAAACCAAATTATCCCTAAAGCTATTTCTAGCACAAATAGTCTATGGCTTGGTCAGAGGAATGAAGAGAAGAGCAGTTATTAAAATTGAAGGTAGAGGGAGGGGAAAATCAATATGAAAGCGAACTCAGCGCTTAGCCATCAAGTTGCAGCTTAAAAGCCCATTCTCCTTTATTCCATGAAGACTGAGCACAGTCATTGAGATACACTAAAACCTTGCCCCTCAACCACAAATAATATGTACATATATCAAGAATACAGTCTCAGTTGAACTCTTCACAAAAAGTGTAATTCAGTTGTACTTGTAATAAAATACGAATATATAAGAGACAGTAGCTGGTCTCTGTGGAGAGAGACAGTTTTGAGCTACATGAAGACAAAGGCAAGAAAAGAGATAAAGGATCTAGAAGAAAAGGTTAGCCAAAGGAAACAGAACAGACTGGTTCTTTTGCAGAATAAAGAAAATTATGCTATAGGCAAAGTAATGTTATAAACAAAGATTGGGGTCCTGACAGAATTTCATCTTTCAAGAGAAGAATTTTGACCCGAAGCTAGAAAGTATAGACCTAAGTCCCAGACTAACACAGATATGTCTCTACTCACAGAGAATGGGAGAACCTATTCTGCCTTGGATTCCAGGAATAGAAATTAAAGAAATACCAGAAAAGAAAGGAGACCTCACAGAATTTGAAGCTTGAGAAGGAAGAGGACAATGCGAGGGTCTTAGTGGAAGAAAATGATCGATGCTTTAAATTTAGTGAATAGATCTCTCAGAACAAGCAGCAGGTTTATATTTTACACACAAAGACAATGAGACCCAAAAAGGTAAAATAAACTTACAAAATTATATAGCTCATTACTCTGGAGTAAGCAGAAGCTACACATTCATAATAACCTAACTCATAGACACACACAGGCATGCACACATGCATATTGTTCATCCATGTTTTTTATATTTAACATCGCTGAAGATCTGTCCTGTGATACAGTGGTAAATCGGAGGGAAGAAGACTGAAAGTAACACGAAATGGGCAAAGGCCCTGAAAGGTCAGTCTGCCTATTCTGAGAATCAGTAAACACATGTTGTGATCTTACAGGTAATTTGCTCTTGTCTGTGGAAGTTGTCTCAACTTTAAGGTAGTTGAGCTAACATGTTTTCTCACTATGAATCTATGATTTCCCCAAGAGTGGTTTTTGGAGGGGAGAGGGAGGTCAGTGTTCTCTTACACACAAGCCCATGACTACCAAAAGGCCAAGTTTCATCCAACAGTATGCTCTCTTGGATGGCAGTTTTCCATACTGACATTTAAATCATAAAAATAGACTTCCCTATGCTATTTTTCTCCACTGACAAACCACAAATAAGTGAATGTGTTTAGTTAGAATGGAATGTTAAAGGCCATAAGTGTTATTAACAAGGAAAAAATATTGAAGCATCTTCATGTTTAAATCTATAAAGAAACAAGCATGATTTCTCTAAAGGGTTCAACCTCAATAGTGTGCTTTTCCATTTTATAATTAGTAATAAGAATAGGTCTTGAGGAAAGAAAATAGTATTTCCAAAGCCCCACCGTCAGGGCCAGTTGATCACCTAGCTAGGATAGTACAATTTTAATTGCATACTTAGGTCATTGGCTGTAAGTACTGATAAGCTGTTACCATGAAACATCCTAAAATCAATAAAGAAAATGTTAGAAGGAGAGGAGAGTTGTAAATGGAAATGTTAAGAGATTCTTAACTATGCTGTCTTAAATGCTACTGTTGGAATACAAACTGAACTTTAAGCATGATTTGGCAGGACTATGAAAAGAAAGACCTCTGAACCACAGCACTTATTTTCAATTGTACTGAAAGCTAGCAGTCTTGTGTTTATGCCAGACTAATTTAGTCAAGAGTAAAAGTATTCATTTAGGCACACAGCCCTCATTGCATCTGTCCTCATCTGATAAATAAAAACTAAATGAAAAAGGAAGGAATGTTCTTTGCTATAGAAAATTTTTTAAATACTCAAAATCACCATTTAGTATGCCATGCTGTATGCCAGCACTGTGGTAAATACATATTAAAATTATAATTTTGCAGAGAATCACCTGATGACATATTACCTCAACTATTTTTGTTTTCCTACTGAATTACCTAATTGTTTACACAGAGTACCTTAAATTTTAAAATATATTTTTGTTTGCTACCTAGTCAAAGTTTAGCTACATGCAAAGTTTTAGGCTCTAGCAAAGATTTCAGATTGCCGATGCTATCTTCATTAAAACTATTTCAGAAAGAAGTTAGTCCAGAGAAGGGAATGTGATTGCACAACTGCATAAACTTGTGCTTATAGTGTATACAAATAATCTATTTATATGGGTAATCCATTTACATAAATAATCCAATCCATCTTCATATACATTAAAGACAGAGAAGGCATATATCAAGGCAATTCATTAAATATATATTAATAGCTGCAAAATGAAAAAGTTTAGACTTTTCTCTTGAAAATCGTTTTATAGTTAATAGTCTACCTTTATTCGTGTCAACTCTAAACCCTAGGTTCACACTGATATATTACTAGGTTTAGAGATTCAACAGTAGTACCAATATGAACAAAGTAATAAAGGAAGAGTGCTAGTGAGGAAAGAGCAAGGAAATAAGATAAGATTGAAAAGCTGTGGTAAAATATATAATTCTCTAAAATGAAATAAAAATCATACTGCAATTTGTTTATAACACTTTACATTATTAAAATCCACTATAAAATTAACTTAAAATTATGATTTCAGCAAAAGTCAACTAAAAATTTCTATCATTCTTTTTTAAAAAAAAGTTTCACTAAACTATCTATCTTATGTATGAAAAAATTCCATGTTCACTTGGTTGGCTGAAGAAGTAATAATTTAACTGTATACTATTCACATTGCATTGTGCCTTTGTCTATGTGAAGGCAAACAAACATTTTGGCAAGTCAGACATTAATGCATGTGGATGTGGGCAACAGTTCCTTCACAGGACAGCTGGGTGAGTCCTGCAAAGACGTTTCAGCCAAATGTTTATTCTAAAGCCTTCTGGTGTGAAGCACAAAGGGAGGCCTGCAACACAACTAGTTTGAATCAGCCCTCTAATGCAGAAAGCTAACACTACTCATAGTGGATTCTCACTCACACATTCCTTGAGCTACAGGGTGTAAATCTGCATCTGTCTTCTGTCAATCCACCACATAAAAAAGAGGTAAAAGCACAAAATCTGATAGTAGCATTATAAATTATGAATAAAGTTAAAACCTTTTTTAAAAAAATGCATTCTTTTTTTTTTACTTATTTATTTATTTATTGACAAGATCTCACTCTGTTGCCTAGGCTGGAGTACAGTGGTATGATCATAGCTCACTGCATCCTTGACCTCCTGGGCTCAAGTGCTCCTCCCACCTCAGCCTCCCAGGTAGCTGGAACTTCTTGAACATGCCACCATGCCCAGCTAATTTTTAATTTCTTGTAGAAATGAGGTCTTGTCATGTTGCCCAGGCTGGTCTCCAACTTCTGGCCTCAAGCAATCCTTCTGTCTCGGCCTTCCAAAATGCTGAGATTATAGTCATGAGCCACTGCCCCTGGCTGCATCCTGTCTGTTAAAAGCCTGATTTCTACACATAGAACTGGAGGCTAAACATACCTGGACATATGCATAGCAAATATTTTGAACAACAATAAAATGTAACTGCATATTTACCTTAGAAACAATAGTTCTCAACAGGCAATTCTTTTTAGTTGATATTTGACAATGTCTGGAAATACTTTTGATCCTCACAACTTGGGTGGCACTATTGGAACCTAATAAGTAGACACCAAGGATGCTGTTAAACACTTTATCCTGCACAGGACAGCTACCCACAAGTAATAATTGTCTTAGTCCATTTTGTGTTACTATAACATAATACCACAGACCGGGCAGTTTATTTAAAAAAAAAAAAAACTCACAGTTCTGGAGTCTGGAAAGTATAACATCAAGTTGCCAGCATCTGGTGCGGGCCTTCTTGCTGTGTCTTCCCATGAAAGGAAGAAGAAGGGTAAGAGAGTACAAGAGAGGGGGAGCAAGGAGGCCAGATTCATCCTTTTATCAGAAATCCACTATTCTAATAACTAATCCACTGCCTCCTGTGATAGCAACATGAATCCATTCATGAGGGCAATGCCCTCATGACCTAATCACCTCTTAAAGGCCTCAACTATCAACACTGTTGCATTGAACTTTGGGGACACATTCAAACCGTAGCAAGAATTGTCTGATCCAAAATATCAATAGTGCCAACATTGGGAAACCCTGGTATAGATATATTCAGACCATGTTTTAGTTATAGCTATCACTATAAGTAAAATTTTAATGTATGGATAAATAGTGTAGCTGCTCATTAGACTACCATTATTACCATTAGACTACCATTATTAGACTACCAATAATTCCAAGATGAAAATTCAGTTTCAAAAATTCAAAATTTCTTAAGCACTTTTTACATAGTATTGAGTTAATCAATTTCTAGTTTCACAGCATTCAAATAAGAATAGAGAGGCCAAGTGTGGTGGTTTACACCTGTAATCCCAACACTTTGGGAGGCAGCTGCAGGAGGATCACTTGAGGTCAGGAGTTCAAGACCAGCCTGGGCAATGTAATGTTACTCTGTCTCTAAAAGTTTTTAAAATTAACCTGGTGGCACACACTTGTAGTCTCAGCTACTTGGGAGGCTAAGGAGTGAGGATGGCTTGAGTCCAGGAGTTTGAGTTTGTAGTGAGCTGTGACTGCACCACTGCATACTCCAGCCTGGATGACAGAAGTAGACCTTGTCTTCAAAAAGACAAAGAGAGAATACACAGTAAACCATCCTATTTCCTATTGCGTTGTAACTTTACACCAAATTTACACCAACTTAAAAACATGTGTTTTTAAGTTTCAAGCACACCACAATGTAAGTGGTATAATTCCATAACAAATTCACATAATATTTAGATGTATTATAAGGTTGGGTTGGTTTTACTAGAACTGGAACTTCAACTCCACAAGTTAAAACATATAAATGCATACTAAGCAAATTTCCTACAAATTTTCCAAGTTATGCTTCCATATCAAAATAAACATCTCACACTAACATTAGAAATAAATGTAAGAGAGAATATTTCCATCAAATACAACATCTGAAAAGGCTAAAACCTCCTGTTAAAAATACCAATGTCCTTTTAATGTGTTTCACCTTTTCAAACCACTGTGTAATAAGACCCTCAAATTAAGTAGATTGAATTTTAGCTTAGATAAACTAATAGCACAATTAGAGCACCGCATAATTCACCATTACTGCTCCAAAGGAAATCACTTAAGTATTTAAGCTCTTTAGAATAACTTCACTGATAAAGGAATGACAAAACTCCCCTGAAGATTAGTGGTTTTGGTGTCAGTGGAAGGGGAAAGAAGGAAAAGAAAACTAAAACCAAAACAAAACTCCCTTCTTATTCAAAGATGCACTTTTGATGGACAAAATCATACACAGATTTTCAAAGACTTCTGGTGTATTGCTCACCTCCGTCCCCCTCAAAATGTAGAAAAGAGATGGCATGGCTAGCCCACCTGATTTTAACCCTGTGGAATGTAATTAGAAGGGTTAAACCTTAGTGATCACATACATTAATCTGCTCTCTTTCCAATATCTACCACAGCCCCTCAAGTTTATTTCATTAATATGCAGATTGCAGTATGCTCAAATTCCTTTTGAAACAAAGATGGCTATATCTACAGCAAAACATATACATGTTTGTAAATAATGTGGTTTGTGTGAATAATTGATTTGGAGGAGGAGATTTACGATTATTTCTTTCCATAAATTTTTTCTAACCACCTTAACTCTGTACCTACCTTAGAAATGACTATAGAAGCTGTTCCTTGAAAAAGCTAGAAAAGCTCCAAGTATGAAAAAGAAAGCAGGCAACAGAAGTATGTGGAAGTCGATACTAACTTAGAATCCACAGAGTTCACAGAGGATTGACTTAAAAAGCAAATATCTGAAGAGCTAATTTTTCTGGTAATTATAGCTAAGTATACAAGAAAAAAATTTAAATTGCTGATTATACTATTTGTTATTTCCACAGTGACAATTTTGCAATTTTGCAATGATAAGATGAGTTTTTATTTGTTTGTTTAGTAACATTACATGACACAGGAAAACTCTTAGTTTGGGATCGTATTGTTGATGCTTACTTCCTATATATTTATTTAACAGGAGTTAACAGAAACATCTGCATGCCACATACAAGAACATAGTGCTTGTGAAGCATCCACAGGTAGCAGGTAGCAATAACCTCAGAATAAGCCACTTATGTAAATAATCTGACATTCTCAACTTTTCAGCTAAGAAACTCCCTGGACGCTGGAAGCAAGAGAACCATACAGTGCAAGTAATTTGTAATAGGAAACAGAATTTGATTGTCAAGATCATGACATTTGCTCCTTGTTACTATGACTTTTTTTTCTTTTATTTTTTATTTTTATTTTATTTTTTTACCAGTGAAACCCACAGAGAAATCATCACTGTGGATGTACTCCTGAGGTTTTGAAAGAATTTTAAATGCCTAGGCACAGTGAAGTCATTTATGTCTGTAAGAGAAAGTGCAGTCCATGTAAACTTAAATAGATTTTCGTACTGATAAGAAGAGGCCATCCAAATCTTGATGAAAAGGTAAATTGCAATCTCAGCCCAAATGTACCACAAAAAAAAATCTAGGTAGTGCAAGAGCAAGTTTGTTATTTAAAAGTGTTAAAATTAGTTCAGATAGATGTTTGGTTTTTTGTTTGCTTTATGTCTAATAGCAAACACACTGACAAAGTAAAGACAGAAATCAGAAAATGTGACAGACTTTGCAAGTAATCGCTACATCCTCAACTGGAAACATTATGTCTATTTTCTTTAAAGTTCTATATTCCAGGCCAGGCGGAGTGGCTCACGCCTGTAATCCCAGCACTTTGGGAGGCCAAGGTGGGCAGATTACTTGAGGTAGAGAGTTCAAGACCAGCCTGGCCAACATGGCGAAACCCTGTCTCTACTAATAACTGAAAAATTAGCAGGGCGCACAACTGTAGTCCCAGCTACTCCAGCGGCAGAGGCAGGAGAATCACTTGAGTCCGGGAGGTGGAGATTACAATGAGCCCAGATTGCACCACTGCACTCCACCCTGGGCAACAGAGTGAGACTCTGCCTGTAAATAAATAAATAAATAATAAAGTTCTATATTCGAAAGATGGAATGTGAAGAAGTGTCCAAAAAAAAGATTCGTAGAAATAAGATAAAATATATAGCTCAACTGACACTTATAAACTGTTCCCTAACTATGCTCAAATTATAAAAAAAAAAAAAAAAGTCATTTGTTTATTCAATAACATTGAGGCCCTACCATATGCCGGTAGTAATTGCTAGGGTTGCGGCATTGCATAAGACAGACGCTGTTTCTTCTCTTATAGAATGATAAGCAGGACTTGATGGAAAACAATAGAATAAGTAGACAAATATCAGAGAGTAGTAAGCACTACTGTGAGCAAAATAAAAGAGTGCTATAAAAATTACTGCAGGTACTCTATCCAACGTGCCCCCTGCTGCTGTCCCTCTCGTGGTTCCTCCTCCATATAACCTTCACAGTGGTCTGTTAAACCGTAAATCTTATCTTGTAGCTTCCCTGCTAAAGTTCTTTCAATGCCTCCTACAGAATATAAGCTAATACCTATGGTGTTCCAGATCCTTCACAACCTGCCTTCCCCACCTGTTCACATTCCAACCTCACCTTCCACACTAAGTGTAATCATATCACATCATGTATAACTTTCATCATTAATTCACACATCCATCCAATCCATCCACTCACTGAATACAGTATTTATTGAGATACCTATATGTTCTGGGGATATAATAATGCATATAAATATTTTTGGTCCTTTCCACTATAAGCACTTAAAATGTGGTGTAGAAGACAGATACTAATCCAGTTCCATGAGACTGCCAATTTCAAATGTGAAAAGTGCTTCAAAAGAGAACATGATATCAATAAAATTCATAAAAAGATATGAACCCCAGAGAAAATGATGACTGGGCATTTATTCAAATTTATCTTACTATGTTCCAGTTATGTATTTCTATGCATTCGGTTAATTTGTGTGCTCCTTAATAAGTTATTTCTGGGTGCCCAACCCCATATACAGAGCACCATATAAAATATTACAAGTAATAAAGAAATTATTTCCAATAAATTTATACCTCTGCCTATCATATTGTAGATAGCTGGAACTGATACTAAGAGCAGAGGTGGAAGACTTGAGCCCAGATTTTATTAATGTCAAATATGTTTTCCACATCAGATTCTCCTCTCATCCTCATACCCAGCTCATGGGACCAACGGTCTTTGTCTTTCTTCCTTCCACTTTCTCTGAAATTATGTTCTCAGACTCAACATTCCTAAAAAAATATATAATATTAACCTGCTGACACCTATTCTAGTGGTAAGGGTCTTAAATGTATAAACCAGAGGATTATCTGTCTCAATGGACAACTCAGGAGAATATTAAATTTGATTTTCAGTTTTTAGGGTGGTAACATCCCCTTTGTAACTACACTATCCCCAGATATTAGCCAAGATGCACTGGAAATTATAAGGAGACAAAGATAAGTCAGGGTTAGATAACCCTGACCTTGCCCAGCATAGTACTTGTTTATATCCTTATATTCTAGGGTATATGTGTTATTTTACATTTTCACATATACAGGGGGGTAACTCCAAACCCACATTTACAGGGCAAACATTCAAGCTACCACCTATTTCCATCTATTTGTGCTTAATGCTTAAGGCTGAAAATGTTTCAAAGAGATCACAAAATCACATCACGTCAGAAAAACAAGTTTCTTAGAATGTCTGGAGGGTAATGCTTTAGATAGATTAAACTAAAACATCATATCAAAGAAGTTGCTGGACTGCAAAACATAATGTTCTTTTTAACTGAAAAGATAGAGCACAGAACTACAGAACAAGAATGGCAGAGATATTTAATTTTTTAATGTCTAAACAATTTAGTTCCTTGAACTCATTATATCAAGATGAAATTTGAGAAATCATTTCCCCTATAAAAACCTCCGGAAAAATATATTACTAGGAAGCAAATTGTGAAGTCTTAAGGTAAAATAAGTGACTTTTTTTCATTGTCTTTCTTTGTGACTGTCTTAATCTAAGGTTATTATCTTGAAAAGAACCAAATTATACTGAAAAATGAAGGTTTCTTTCTTCAATTTAATTCTGTTTCTTTTACAGAGTACATTAGAACTATGAAAAAGTATTTTTAGGCAGGTGCAGTGCTTCGAGATATATATATCAAGATCAGTTGCATTTATTTAAATTCCATAGTCTTACGTTTTAAGTGTATTTTTTAGTTGTCATTTAAAATGCTTTTGCAAAAGAATCGGAATTCCCAAAAACTGGGTCCTTATGCATGGCAGTGTTTCCTTGAATATGAGAAAGCAAACTCTTGGTTTTGCAGAAAAAAAAAAAGGGCCAAAGAAATTATATGAGAGCAACTGTACGTCCTTTTACAGCTAGAAGTTGGCTTTACACATTCCACGACTCATAAATAAACAGAAGAGTTCTGTGAACTATATGCAGATGGCTGGGTCTACACTGGGAGGCTTTTGTAATGACTTTGGTTTGCTTCCCTGTTTTGCCATCTCTTAAAATATCTGCAAAAAAAATTTTGTTCTGCTCCTCAGAAATAGGACAAGTAGAATCCTGTAACTTGAGAATTTGCCCTCTGCGTAGTTGGGGCTTTATAAAGCTTGGAGAAATCCATTTTTTTTCTCATTATTGTTTCTATAAAAATATCTACCCCCACAACTATCATAAAAATGCTTTATGTTTTAAATATTTATTGTTTTATTTTTAAAGGATAATACAATAACGGAAGTATGAGATAGATGAAGCTGCAAGGTGGTCAAGGGACGTAATAAGGCAAAGAGGGGAAAAATCCCACAAACCACATAAAGGAAGCGATGAGATCAGCCACTTAAGTAAGCGAGTTTAAGGTTACCACACTGGCACTGAGCTAAGGCATTCCTGCCAAGTCCAAATGAGAAAAGAAGTGGAAAGAATAAGGACATCCGACAGAGCAAGGCAGGGAGACAAGGCACCAAAGTCAAGTGGAAATGCTAAGACAGCAGTTTTGTGTCTTTTTTTTCTCCTACCTGATTATGGCACAGAAATCCTAGCAGGCAGATAAGGACATTAGATTAAAAAAAAAATAACTGAAAAGAAATGCATACCAATATTTATTATCATTTCAGTGGTGCAAATATTTTGTTCAACTACCCCTACTCCTCCAAACAGTTACAAAACCACACACACACACACACACACACACTCATCATCATTGCTACTGTCGCACTAATCATTTGCTTAGCTAATCATAAAGCCTCTTTCTCAACAGCAAAAGCCTAAGGGCTTTGGCAATGGAAAAAGTATTGGCATTTCTCTGATGTATATTCAAAAACCCATATTACAATTCTTAATTTAGCATGCATGAGTCAGCAATAGATATACTGTATCTTTAAAAAGACATGAAGGTTTCCAGTCAAGCCTTTTAAAGCTTTACAAATAACATTTCAAGAGGGTTGAGAATATAGACTAAGATAGCAGATGGCTTTTAGTACAATACTGCTCCAGGATCCTTTGATTTTATTACTTTTGCTTTTGATGGTGCTCTTTTCTGGTTTGTTTTGATGACTTTGTGGCCTAATGGACTGAAATCAGACAGTGAAGCTGAAAACCCTTAAGTCCTAATGACATAGAGTGACTTATTGGGTGACCTGGGGTAAGTGTTACATTTCTCTCATCACAGGTTCTATGGCAAAAAATAAAAATTACCGTGACCCCCATAAGGATGGGCCTAGGATGCCAATAATTATTATTCAACTTGCATAATACGAAATCATACTTGCTGCCACTTATTATTTCCATGAGCCAGACACTATTCCAGGTATTTAGCATATTTTGCAGCTTACACACAATAGCTATATAAAAACTATCGTTACTTCTGTTTTACATATGAAGAAATTAGGCCCAAGAAATTTGAGGACTGAACTTAAGTCAGCTTGACTACAAGTCCCCTTCTCATTCCTTTTGGCTATATTATCTCTACTAATGAATAATGATAATTCAGGTCCAAAATACTTAGTAATTATTAATTGGTTATGTACACACATATATATAGAGAGAGTATACTACATAATACATAGCAATTATTATATATAGCAATTGTGATTATTATATATACTACATATAACATAGATATATACTGTATATTTAATAATTATTAATTGGAGAAACAATATTATAAATTCAGGATGCCCTTTCATACTAGTGCTCTATTGTTACTTGATTTTACTCAGTCTCTGCCTACTAATGTAATACTTCAAAGTAAATACCTTAAAAAAAGAAGGATGGAAGGAAGGAAGGTAGGAAGAAAGTAGGGAGATGCTTTTCTCCCTATAGTCCATAAATTAGTTAGATTTTTCAACATGTGGATGAGTTGATTTCTAAGAAACGTTGGCCCCTGATCTGAGGGTATAGTCTTGGATGCTAGACTTTCTGCATTTAGTGGTTCTCAGTTGAACTATTTTCCCTGTAAATCACTGTTCTGCCACAGAAAATAAGATCCACAGTTCTTTCCACTTCCAGGATGTGCATAGAGAGAACCAATCTGAATCTTCACTAAAGAAAAAAAATACAAAGACGGAAAAAAAAGAAAAAGAATTCTTGGGCTGCCTGAGCTGCTCTAGCAAAGCCAGGGACTGGCTTCTTAATTGAGTGCTGTTTTTCTAGATAAGCTTTCTGATAGATCACTTCCACGTGGCTTAATGCATTGTCTATGTTTATTTTAAAAGGGGGAAAAAAAACCCTTTAAAATGTGTTTGAGAAACATTGATAAGTTAAGAACGAGGCAAGGGATTTGACTGGAATGATTACAGCCCCTTCTGAATGCTAAGGTGTCAAGAAAAGGCCTAATTTAAGTACATCTCCCAAGAGTTCATTCCAGAAAAGGAAGGATCTAGTCATTGAGTTAAAATAAAAAAAAAATGTATATCAAATTCCTAATTCCAGTGCCTGGGGAGAACCACATGCCTATGGTTTCTTTAAAAAATGTTTTATTTTTCATTTCATTTTGCCTGCCATTCATTCAGCAAGGGCCTCAAAGCACATTAGAACATTAATTTATAATATTTATGCATATGTAGCAGAATTCCCTAAGATTTTAAGGACTCACTTGCCAATGGAAAATAGGCCATATGGAGCACCCAGGCATTCTGTACACAACTGAAGTCGATTATCTCTCCTAGCCCCCAGCCCCAGCATGATGAAGAAGATATTTCGCTACAATATTTTGGAACTTAACATGCTCTTGTGGATTGCTAATGCCAAATTGGAACAGAATTGGTCTCATATAAGACATTAATGGATTCAAACACAATAATGTTATATATATATATATATAAAATATACATAATAAATATATATTTTTAAAATAATTGATTATATATATAAAATCAATTATTTTTAGAAATGTACTCTGTTTAGTGTCTTATATTAGAGTTTCATTTATAGAGACATTAATAATAGAGCGAGAGTTAATTTGTAAAATAAAGGTTTCCAGCTGGCAAGTCTGTTGCCTTCAACTTACAAAACATTGACTTTTCAGAGAATTCATGAAACTTTGTCGGTACGTAAAGGAAAAATTTATCAAACCTTTGCGTTTATTAACTCAAAAACAAATGAAACAGACAATGCCCATCCTCCCTCAAACACTCTACATACTCCCCTCTATTCTCGTTTTTTTTTCTCTATTTTCTATTTTGTTTTTAATTTCCTTCCTTATTTGTAACATAACCAACCTCTTAGGTGTCACAGTATGCCATTTTTTTTTTTTAATGACACAACACTCTCCTAGATAAAGTGGTAGGCAATTATCTCTGGAATGCTGCAGAAAAGAATTCCTTAAGCCTCTGGCTAGTTACAGAAGGGCTTACATTAATCATTCTCTCTCTGCATGCTTGTCTCCTCTTAGTAGTGTCCAATGTCAAATCAGACAGTCCATGCAGGGCCCTGGATAGAACGTTAAAAGGGCATTACCACACACTGCAGGTGGCCAGCAGGAACAAAGCCCTTAGCCCGGAGTAATTTTAATAATTTCTGCACAGGTCTAATCCAGTGCTTTGGTGCATATTTGCTCCTGAAATCTTTGTTACACTACTTATCATACAATCATTGATTCAATGTAAAAAAAAAATTAAAAAGACACAAGATGCAGTTCTTACACTCTTAACCACTCTAGACTTCGTGTATCTGTCATGTGGTACTCTCTTTTCAAAAATACTGACAACCAAAAGCTGGTTTCTCAATGTTCCATGTTTTATATGTGTCTCAAGGAGGAGCCTCAACTGTCCTACTGTGCTGGCCAGTACGGTTTAAAGTGAGTCGGTGATAATGAACTCTAAGGCACTCGGCTTGGCTGTTGAAATAAAACAATGAGTTACTCTGACAGTCATTCCAGGTCACAAGAATGTAAATGGGTGTATTCGTGGTGGGATTTTCATCTCTTGTGTTGGAAATCTGCAGATATTATAATCCTATTTTGGAATGATCTGAACCAGCTAGAGTGAGATTTTTTTTTTCATTATGATAACCTCCAGGCTACAGGTTTTTATCATAACATTATTTTACTCCTAGATCTCCTGGTCATGTTTTCAAAACTATTCCTCTTTGCAATAAAACTTTCAGGAGAGAAATTTAAATTTTCATAAGCCACAGTAAATGTTGCTATGAAAAAATTTGCCAACATATACAATCTCCTGGGCAGCATTGGTTATTCTTTATAAAGCAACTTAGGGGATTTCCATAAAATGATAATACCTTCTCCTACACTTTCTATTTATTCCACACTGCTTTATTTTAAACTATGTTTTTTCTTGCCAAAGACAACATTCAGATTGTTAGTTACGTGGTTTTCTATTTCATATGGTCACTTCCTCCTGTGGATCCTTGCAGCTATTCTCTCACAGCACTTAATACATTTGGTCTTGTATGCAAACATTTTATTCCCATTGTCACTAGTAAACTGTGCACTCTGTAAGGGTATAGACTACATCTTATTTATCTTGTTTATTTCTGTGCCACTCATAATGCCTTATAAATAATAAATGCTCAATAACATAATGAAATGAATCAAATAAGTCAGTACTTACAACATCTTCATGTTTTGCCCTCTCCATTAGCTATCCAAGTCAACCAAATATGGATTACATAACATGGTGAATTAAAGCTGAAAATAAATTAGCACTGCTAACATCTTCAATCTCTTTGTTTTGGTCCAACAAGTATCTGAATCACCAGATATGAATTATCTAAGGTAAGGTAGTAAAGTAGGGATTAAAATAATATAGCAGTGTTTCATGCTAAATAAGGCTTCTTTTTCATATGTTGTGATTTTATTGCCTATGTCTTATTTGGAACAATACTTAGTGCAAGAAAAACACCTTAATTTAATGCCTCCCTCCTCCTCCTCCCATTTTAAAAAATGTTCAGCATGCATTCATATTTATGGATCCATTTAGTAATTACATCATCTCTGGAAGTAGGTAGAAGGGATATTATTAGCCCCACTTTACAGATGGTGAAATATACATAATGGCTGTGAGCGGCCCAAAGTTACATGTTTTCAACTGATAGAATCATCATTAAAATGTCCAAGCCCTGGGCTTGTGCTCCTACTATGCCCTCTCTTCCAGTCTTTGCCATACAGTCTCTCTGATGAGACCTCCATATGATTGGATCTCTCAGCTCAGCAGTCCCCAGCCTTTTTGGCATCAGGGACCCGGTTTCCTGGAAGACAATTTTTCCTCGAACGAAGGCTGGTGGGTGGGAGATGGCTTTTGGATGAAGCTCTTTTACCTCAGATCATCAGGCATTAGTTAGATTCTCAGAAAGACCATGCCACCTAGATCCTTCACATGAGCAGTTCACAATAGGTTTCACACTCCTGTGAAAATCTAATGCCACCGCTCGTCTGGCAGGAGACAGAGCTCAGGCAGTAATGCTCGCTTGCCTGTGCTCACCTCCTGCTGTGTGGCCCGGTTACTAACAGGCCATGAACCTGGACCGGTTCGTGGCCCGGGGGTTGGGATCCCTGTCTCAATCTGCTGACTCTGCGCTCCCGGGAATGACTTTATTATTCTTACTAATACAATTATTACGAATTTTCCCTCATACTGCCTAGCATATGGCACACAGCAAACCCCAGAAGATGTGCATTAAATTTGTTTAAGGTGTAACAACCGACAAATTCAGCTACCTCTCCCATCCTTCTGGTTTATTATTATATATGGCTCTCCTATTCTCACTTTATTGCATACACATGTATTTACATTTATAGCAATTTTATTGATGAATATATATGTGTGTGTGTGTATATATATACACATATATATATATATAACACCAATGTTTATAAAGTTCAAATTTCTTCAAGATAAATTAGGACAGTGGAAAAATATTGCTTTGTGTCATTTTATCAGATCTCTCCAGAAAATTTTGCTGTATAAATCTAATACATAATAAATAACATACCTTGAACAAGGGAACATCCTCAGACATATGACTATGCAAAGGGAAAAAGCTGATTTTTGCTTGTTTACACAAATGTCTTGGAAGAGACTCAGGTTTTTTTTTTTTTTACTTTCATCTCTATTAGTTGAAAACTGAAATGAACATTTTTACCAAAGACCATCAAACATAATTCTGTTCAACAAGCACTTACTGAAAGCTAACCATGTACCAGACAGTGTGTCATAGTTGGGGAACAGACACATTTAAGAAGACATTATCTCAAATAAGCAGGAGAGTGAAGTGGTTCAAAGCACCTCAGTTTAAAATCCTGGCTCTCTAATGCAACAGCCGTGTGACGTTGGCAAGTTAACCCTTCTATGCCTCAATTTCCTCTTCTACAAAATGTTGATAATAATTGTATCTGATATATTGCTTTATCGTGATGAGCAGGAGCAATGATACAATTTATGAGGCCTCGTGCAAAAGGAAAAAGCAGGGCCCTTTGTTCAAAAATTATTAAGAATTTCAAGATGGTAACAGCAAACCATTAAACCAAGTGGGGATCTTTCTCAGTGCAAGGTCCTGTGTGACTTTCTAGGCCAGTGCCCTAGAAGTGGGCCCTGGTGATAAGTAAATGATTACTACCTGTGAAGCAGTTGGAAAAGTGCCTGGCACATGGTGTTATATGTTTTAGCTTTTGTTATCAAAGAGCTTATGACTTCACTGAACACGTAAGAAATATAAAGGAAAATGGCACATTTTTAAAGATTCTGGGTAGATCTAAATTTCTAATGACCTCTAAAGTTTGCAACAATGTTCTTAGCTACACTGGATTTGGGATCCTATCAGCAAAATGCACCACCTCTTACTTATTTGACAGACAACTCTCTTGTCCTTCCTTCATACAAAGTGTTCAGAATGTTCTTTCCGTCATCTTTATACAACATTTATATGACATTTTCCATTTGATTATCTGCGTAATTTCTGTCTCATCATGGCACATAGTGCATGTAACAACGCAGTTTCTTAAGCGATTCAAGTTCTGATCTCTCTCGTGTTCAGATGTAAAGTACTTTCCTTGTATTGTTAATTTTCTACATTTTCTCCCTGATATACAATCCTTAGCTGCACCTTTGTGCAGAATAAAGACTCTCCTCCCAAAGATGCCCACATCCTTACCCATGTACCCTATGAATATACTATGTTATGTGGTGGCAGGGGGTGGGGATGGGACTAAGACGACAGCTGGAATTAAGGATGCTAACCAGATGATTTTAAAATAGAAGATTATCTTGGTTTATCTAAGTGGGCCAATGTAATCACAAGGGCTCTTATATGTGGAAGCAGAAGGCGGAAGAGTCAGTGTCAGAGTGATAAGAATTTGAGACTCCCATGACCAGCCACTGCTGACTTTGAAGATGGAAGGGGACTGTAAGCCAAGGAATACAGCCAATGTCTAGAAGCTGAAAGAGGCAAGAAAACATATCCTCCCCTAGAGCCTCCAGGAATCCTGCTGATATCTGGATTTTAGCCCACTGAGACCCATTTCCTGCTTCTGGCCTCCAAAATTGTAAGATAAATTTGAGATGTTTTAAGACACTCAATTTGTTAGAACAGCAATAGGATGCTACTATAATGTCTACAGACATAGCATGTGTACCCACATGCATGCACACACACAAAAACACATTCCAAATAAGCCCTCCAGCATTGAATATTCCCATCCTTAATGTCCAGTAAATACTGTCACAAAGCAGGCTCTTATTGCTTGAAGCCAGCAGAGTCTATACTTTAACACTGGATTCCAAACAGGCTTCCACCTTTCTGCTACAGAGATATTGTAGTAGAAAGTGCAATTAGCCTGCCTTCTGTGACCTACACTGAGTATTTCGACCTGCCACATTGGTTCTGCTGCACTGAATCTACTACTCCATTATTGCGTTGATCACATTAGTTAATGGATAATATATTTATCCATCTTACTCACTAGACAGGGACTGCCTGGAGGAGAGGAACTGTGTCCTCATTCATATCTGCATATCTGGTATCTAGACAGTGTATGGCTCATGACAGGACCATCAAAGTTTCTTGACTTAAATTAATGGATGAATGGCTAGAAAAATCTTTAAGTACATGCACATGCAGGAGCACAAGTGCATGCACAAACACACAGAGGGGATAAATTTTTACTTCTATTTTTTTCCTAACAACATTGTTACAAGGTAGGCACTATATTAGTGATGACAGAAATGGATTTAAGCTCTGGTTCATGCTTATAACCACTAATCATTAGAGCCTCTGATCACTGAATATTTATCAATGAAAGAACAACAGGCTTCACTGTTAACAGTTAATATAATATCACATTATTCAAAAATCTGTCGATGCTTACAAGATATTTAGTTTCAGAATATACCAGATGTATCCAACAGTGAGAAAGCAAGAAAGCAAGTAAGCAAGAAAGAAAAAGAGACATAAAGAAGTTCTTCAGGAGTCTAAAAATTAGGCACCATTCCTGCTGCATGTGAATGGATAAGTGAGACAAAATTCTTCAACAGTGGAGTCACGGGATGTTTTTGTGTTATTATAGGTTGCATCCTTTCTAGCCGAAACCAGGTTTCATTCCCCCATAGCAAGAGAAAGCTCACAAGTCTCCCTCAACCTGTGATGCTGAGCTCACTTCTAGGTGTGAACTGTGTTTCTTTCAAAAGAAATTGAACAAATCTCATTGAGTCATGTATGAGTTACTGTGCTTTTCTAAAGTGTTACTTTTTGAGAATCGTTTAAGTACTGATTCATATATGGCTAGATCTCAATGAGTGGTGGCCATACATTAAAAATGCAAAATTATGAAAATTACAAAATATCTTAAATACAAATCATTCATGCTACTTTAATATTAGAGACAGAACTCATCATAGGAAAAAAAACTTGACTAGCAGAGCATGACAAAGAAGTTTATTGATGATTGAATATTCATCAATAATAACTCTATGAAAAGGGGGTTTATGCCCATTTTACAGATGAGATTCTGTTTCAGTAGCTGGTATGAAAATAGGCCTTATATCATCCTACCATTAGCTGGGTAACTATAGCTAAATTTGACTCTAATGCATTTCTTCCTGGTTCAGAGTTAGCCTGATGAGAGAGGGTGTATACAATGAGTAGAGGTCCTTCTTTCCTTTTTGTTTGTTTTATTTTGTATTAATCCGCTAAGAATAGTTTTGTGGTGTATTTACATAATGAAAACAAGCAATGCTTGTGAAATCTGTTGAATACCCATGTTCAAGACTTTATCTGAGAATTTGTGCCTAAGACTTTACAAATGTTATCTAATACAGTTTAAAACTGATATTACCCTATGTATAGTTGTTATACTCATTTTATTGATGGAAGTTTTGTCCCATAGCTAGTAAAGGCCAAGACTATGAATTGAACCCAATTCTTTGAGTTAATCAAGTCCATATCCCAGGCTCCTTTTCTGGAGTGGGTCTCAAGACGGTGGCACAAAACAGAAATATATTTCATCTGAACCAATTCTAGTTATGATGCTTCTTAATTGTCCAGGCATAAATAGACGAAGCGTATGAGGGACAAATTCTGTCCAGTTGGAGAGGATGTGGAAGCATCATAACCCCCACAGAAAACAAGATGGAGATGCTGCAGAGATAGCAGTGCCTGGGAGGGTAAAGAAATGCCTAAGAATGAATTAAAATACACCTGTGGGAAACCGTTAACTAGTGGGATGTCGGCACACCCATACTTTCAGAAAATTATTTTTGATGAAATGCTTTTACTCTATTAAAAGTGACTAGAGTTATATCAAATAGAGAGAAGTCCAACATTTAGTGAAGAGAAAGATGGAGAGAGTGGAATGAGTTGAAGTAGAAGAAAGTGTTAAAACATTGGCAGCATTATGAGGAAATGAGAATTGGAGTAGTAATCTTTTAGCTAAAGTGTTTAACATTATGATACATAAAACTTTTGGAATAATGAGATCAAATACAACTGGAAACATGCAAGAAATCTGTGGGCATGTTGAGAAAAGCATAAATGATTTTCTTTCTGAAATGGCTAGCAAGCTAACTAAAAGCAAAGAAGTAACCACAATGACCTCCCAAATCCCAAGATCTAGGCCCAAGATTTCTATTATTATTATTAGTGTTAGCACTGCAGAGCAGGAAAGAGAGTCAAGATAAATGAAGAAAAACAAGTCCTATCTAAACTGAGGAAATGAGAGCCAGACACGGAAGGAAAGCAAAAGGAGCGTGAAGGATGATTAAAAAAGGAACTAAAATAACAAAACATGTTATTTTTTAAATCTTTTTTTAGTCTAAAATAATAAAATAGAAAATATGCAAAATGTGAAATCTAAATCCATCATCAGCAGGATGTACAAAAATTATAATGTCCTTATTACATCACCATACGTAGTACTTTTGATTGCTAATTACACTATCAGATGTATAGATGTATGTGATGTGAATAATTTATTTTACTTTTTTTAAACTAACTTTGGTTCTTGCATACATTAACAAGATTCAACTCTACAACATACATAATGTGAAAATGCAGTTTTAAGCAATTATGATATAAGTATACACTTTTCAAAGCATTCATATTTAATTTAAATAATATGCATTTAGGTATCATAGTTGAATCAGATTTGACACGTAGTGCATTTTAAAATGTCTCAAGATGAGAGTCTATTAAAGAAAAGATTGCTATTAAACAAAGAGCAATAAAAAATAAAATGAAAAGCAGAATAAATAAGTTTTAAAAATTAACGTGCATGAAACCAGAGCAGATTCTGATTAGCTAGATGTGCAATCATGATTTACTAGCCTATTTGCTCTGCTTTTCAATAAATAACATGGTGTCAATGGGGCAACTGTCATATTATAATGAATGCGGGCTATAAAGTGGTCCATATAACAACATATCATCAACTCCTCTCCATCCCCCTTCTATTTTAGAGCAAACTGTGTGCAATAAGATGATAAAGCTTCCTACATTTTATTAGCCATATTTCTAAATACTGTGGATAATGCAAATTGTCTGGTTCTTCCCCACCTCCCAGTTTACTAGGATTGGTGACATTGTCATAGTCTTATCTGTTTAAAATAATGACATGTGGTAAGATTTCAACTTAGATACCTGATAGTGGATATCAATTAGCTACCACTGACAATTGCTTCATGAAATAGGGCTGCATCTGTGGGTTCAGGCTGTTGCTTCTAAATACTGATATACTGATACCTTCTCTACCAACACTTTGCTTCTAAAGAGCAAAATCTGATTCATTAACAGAGATTTTCCCTCCAGCCTTGGGGGGTAAAATTTCTAAAACTGCCCCTCAACTTCTTCTCTGCTGAATGATATCATTTAATTTTACATCACATTTGTGTAAATCTGAATTCTACCTGTTTGATAACTAGGAAATTAAACAAACAATTTTCTATATTCATATATTTATATGTATTTAATTTACATTAGGTATTTAATTAATGCTTGTGGAATGAAGTATTCAATTATACATCTAGAACCATTTCATTCTTTCTGCCTATAATGTGGTTCCCTGGGTAGAGTCCTCTCTCTCTCTCAGCACACACAAATCCCAGGATCAGTTTCTCAAATGCTCTTCCCTTCCAAAACCAAACACAAAAGAATGGCAGCTACAGTTTGAAAAGATGAAGCAATGAAATAAAGTGCAGGTACATGTGTATCTGCACATGTATATGGCTTAGATCTGAATTAAACTCAGGCATAAACCTTCATGTTAGTTTACTTTAAGGAAAACATGTCCTAACAGCCACATTCAAAAAGAACTCACAAGGCTTACAGACCATTAAAGCTTTTATAAAACACAGTCAAATGACAATTGCAAATGAGTTAAGAAATATATTGATTAACTGTCACTATTAAAATCATGGGTTTAACAACAACAACAAAAAAAAAACCTCAGGGCCAAGGTAAAGGCAAACTGTGTAGAGAGTCTTATAAATGACAAACCAGAAAATACCTTCAGCAGCCATAATTGCACAGGCATGATATTCAATGTGTATATTGCGAGTAGAGAAAAGTGAGCAATTCTTAAAAGAGTCAACGTAACCAGAGAACCATGCTCTCGGAACCATAGTAACCAGCCTTATGTTTTTTTGCACACAAGAGGCAATTCAGAAAAACATGCAGGTTTACAAACCACATTTTTTCATTACCTTTTTTTTTTGGTATCACTCTAATTAGATTTCATGATGAACACATGCATTCTCATGGGGGAAACTGCCTCTTAACTGAAGAGAAGACTATTAATGAGGTAACTGACATTGTTTTAAGCCACAAAAATGTGAATAGCTGGGTATATTTCATATGTTGACACTGGAAGTAGAGAAGCTCATTGTGCCACATTCCACTTGAGAATTTCTTTATTAATCACCAGAACCAAACTCGTGGTAGTTACTTCAGCAAGCATATATTATGTATTTATTCTTGTTTTTATAGCTTATGCACATGACGTTTCCTCTGCTTTCAACATATTTTTTTTTCCTTTACTAAGGGTAATTTTTGTTGAGATAGTCATTGCCTGAAATACTTTTTATACATCAACTCCTTTTATCCTCTCAAAACTAACAATAATAGTACCACCTACTTCTTCTGCATATTCAATGGCTTATTTATACAGTGCTTATGATAATGCACAGCACAAAGAATGTGCTTTGTGTTTGTCCAACAACCATATGAAGTAGGTTATATGTGCTATCCTCATTTTATAGATGAGGCAACAGAAGTAGAGGTAGATTAAGGACCTCCCCAGGGATCACAAGCTAATAAATGATGCTGCTGGACTTTATACATATCAGCAGTGTAACTACAAAACCTAAGTTCTTAATTATTCTTAACTGCTAGGCTCTGCCTCTTATAAGGATTGCATGGATTGCTCCTTCAACAACTTGATCCTAAACATGTCTTCCAATAAGTTTTCCAGAATTGACATCTATGCACATACTAGATTGTATGTTTCTTGAGAATACGAATCATGTTCTGTCACATAGTAATCTCCTACAGGCTACTCTCTTCACTGATCTGTACTCAGCAGATATGTACTGCATGCACAACTGTCTATGTAGATTGATGGCCTTGTAGGCATAATATATGAGATAACATTTTAACTTTAAAAATTTAAGATATGCATTGAATATTTCATGCTTAATGACACAAATATACATTCACTTTAATTATCCTTTTATTTTTTATTTCTGAGTAGATGATACCTAGGTAACTGTTCAAAGACCACTCTTTCTGTACCTACCTTTACCAAAAAGATTTCTAAAAACATGCACTGAAAGTCATGTGTGAATATTTTGGTATTTTTTGAAAAACAAATAATAGTCTTTACAGACAGAGACTTGGGTTTGTGTCCCAGCCCTTCCACTATGTATAGTACTAGTTGTAAATTCTGGAAAAAAAATTCCTTAAACTTTATGAACCTCAGTTGCCTTAGCTTTCAAATGGAAATTGCAATATCTATTTAATAAAGTTGTGAGGAGAGTTAAATAAAACAAAAGAATAGCTGGCCCAAAGCAAGCACTATATAGTAAGTTTGTAAATTGCTTTGCAGGCTTTTTACAAGGAAATGACATATAAGTTAAAAACCCACAAACATAAAAATGAACTTAACTGTAACTTTATATGGGTTAAATATGTGGACTTTCTTTGCATTTGTATCTTTCTAATACTAAGGTGAAAATGTATCCTCATTGTTTATATACACATTGACTGCAAAAGGCAGGAAACATAAGAGAAAAATCTAGAGTAGCACTGGGAAGATTCAAGTTAAAAATAAGAATTCCTAGCCTGGGCAGCATGGCAAAACCCCGTCTCTACAAAAAAAATACAGAAATTAGCTGGGCATGGTGGTGTGCGCCAGTAGTCCCAACTATTTGGGGGGCTGAGGCAGGAGGATTGCTTAATCCCCGGTTGTCTAGGCTGCAGTGATCAGAGATGGTGCTGCTATACTCCAGCCTGGGTGACAAAACGAGACCCTGTCTCAAAAATAAAGTAAGATAAAAATTTCCTGAGGGTAATCAATAGTCAGATTACAGGACCCCTAGGACTCCTCAGATGACACCCTCTTGTAAGCGTCATGGTCTACAACATTGGGTAGTTTGAAAATCTCTAGACTTTCTTGATGAGGCATATCCATTTCTGGGTGAATCCCCCAAAGAAGAAACCTCCTGCCTCTTATTTCCACAGTGATGGCATAGGTCAATTATTGCCCGAAGTGGAGCATGCTGGGAATAAGTTCCAGAATGGCTTCTAATATACTAGATATGCTGGAGACTCAGTTGGACCGAGGGTGGATTATTGATAAACTGTATTACTGTGATGCATTTTTTAAAAGCATATGTTTACTCCCATAAGGCACTGTTCCAAGGCTGTCTGAATGTTCAGTGCATTTGTTTTATTTATGTATATAATCCATGTCCCAGAGAATCCTAACCACAATATGACAAAATACACTGACTTTCTATCAGTTCTGCTTCCCTTTCACGAAATTTGTAATGAATATTTATGATTCTAAACTCAATATAGGTCCTTGAAATAAATAAGCAGTAGTGTTGCCATGGCTTTAATGAGGTTATCGAATGGAATAGAACTTATGATCTGCCATTGTGTTTTAAAGAAGGATCATCCTTAAGAGTGAAGCCTTCTTTGGGGCACAAAGAGTGAGAAAGAGGCAGCAATGATGCTTGAAAGAAAGGAAGAAGAAATGGCAGAGAAAAAGGGAGGAAAGAAGAAAGGACAGAGAGGGAAGGCGAGAACAGCTTCTATATCCATCTACAAGCCAGAAGCCAAATTTAAAGAATATGCTACATTTATCCAAGTCATATTCACTATTCTTTTAAGGTACTGGCAGCCACCCCATCTTATTAAACATTAATTTTAAAAGCCTGTCAATGCTTGGCCTAGTCTGACCTGCCATTTTAGAATTTTAAAACAGTAAAAAAAATAGCCATACAAAAGTACATTAATACCTTTTGATATGTTAGAAATGATCCAAGAACTTAAGCACTTAAACCACTGTGGTCACTTCTCAAAAGTCCCCAATGAAATTTTGACCCATTCCTTGTCATTGCTGCATGCATTCTTTGAGCTTTTATGGAAAGGAAACTACTTAGGACCACCATCACAGTAATGCAGCAGTTAAGCAAGAAGCATCAATAACAGCAATACAGATTTCTGACATGTTTTCTTTTATCTGGCTTGCTGACAATCCTCAGGAAATGAAGCATGTGGTTTTGATGAAGTAGTTCCTTAAATTTTAATGTGGCATTGATCTATCTTAGGATTCCTAAAGGTTCATGGGCAATACACTAAGGGAGGAGAAAAAACAACAAAAAAAGATAAAACATACTGAAAGTTTAGTTCTATCAAAACATTCTGTAAAGTGTAAGTTAGAAATGGTACTACATTACACCAAAACATAATATTGATAATCTTATGGTTCATATCACAGATTTTCAAAGTTAACACTGAAAAGTGGATCACATAAATAATATGCCTTGTCCATAGCTGAGGCATGACTCAACAATGTCAAAGCACTAGAGGGAGGAAGGAAAGCAATGGTCATATTACCTAGTGTCTAATGTGGTACTCTTTGTGTCAGATATTGGAAACATCTTCTACTCCATTGTCTAAAACAGGAACCTTAAAATAAATGGTATGGGTTGTCCTCATGAATACAACACATCCACATCTATTCACCAAGCGCTATCCATTCAACTTTATATATGCCTTGTACATCTCACCTCATCCCTCTTTCACCATTTTATTTGTCAGGGTATTCATCCTCTGTCTCCTAAGCCCCACTCCAGCCTCTGTGCCACTGAATTTTGTCTTCCCAAACCATCTACTGCAAGAATTATTTTCCTACAACACAGATCTCAAATAATTACTATTTATAAGCTGTTGATAGCTTCTATTTCCTACAAAGTCGAAGCACGTTTCTACAGTATTCAGAAAACCCCAAGTACCTGTCAGCCCAAATATTCTGCAATGTGCTCTGCTTCCTCAACCACAACAGAATCCTGAACAATCCAAAATCCCTTTCATGTTGCTAAAACCGGGCCTGTATTGTTTCCTCCTACTCTGCCTGATAAAACCGTACTCTTGATCATAGTCAAAGACCTTCTCCCCTAGAGTAGCCACTGCGCCAAGGTAAGGCAATATCACTCCTTTGTCCTTCAGTAATTCTTGGGATATATCTCTATCAACTAGTTGTGATTGGTTTGGGGGCTTCATTTTTGAATGGCAAAGTTAACGTATACCATCCATCCAAAAAGGATGTTTAATACTTGAGTGTATTCATTTTTAAAGGAAAATAATGTCTTTGAGTTGCCTGTGATATCTCTCCGTGAAATATTACAACTACAAATCTGAAGTTTCCCAGGAGAACATTAAATCAGATTTCAGAGCTTGTGTTTAAATTTTTGAATGGAGGGAGAACACACACAGGCTACACTTGGTGGGCAATGACTACAGAAAATATGAGGTCAGCTTTATGAAGAAGAGCTAAAAGAGAAAGATTTCCCAGAAGATAGAAGGAGAATCACATATATGAGGGAAGCAAAAAGAAAGAAAGAAAGAAAGAAAGAAAGAAAGAAAGAAAGAAAGAAAGAAAGAAAGAAAGAAAGAAAGAAAGAAAGAAAGAAAAGAAACCCCGCTTTAATTACAGACTATCAGACAGCCAACCATCAAGAGTGGCTCTGCCTTTGCTATGACTGATATTTCTGTGAAATCCTTGGAACTTACTGGCTTCTCCAGATTCTGGGTTCTTTATTCCAAATTTGATGAGGAATAAAAGGAAACTGCTTTTGCTGAGCTAAACAAGAAAAGCACTTTTGGAGTGAAATGTAAATGATAACCCTAAAATTAGAGAAATTGGAAATTCTCATTTTTGGTTGGGTGCTATTTGTTCTGCAGAGGCAGCACTTTCGGACCTATGCTGAGTTAGCCCTATCCTATTCTAGGATAATTTAAGAGCATTAGCCTTTCTACTAATCTAACCCCCAAGATCCTAGCTCTTGATATTATCAATCTAATAGTAACCAGGTGTTTCCATAATATGATTTCAAGAAGCGTCTCATATTCTGATCTCTGGAAGGCATTTCTTCAAATGGTTCTCGCTATCAAAGACCCCTGTACGCCGAGGTAGCATCATATTTGAATTTGCAGGGACTTTATTGTAATCTCAGCAGTATCTGGCTGTCAGCAAGGAGGTGGCATAATGGACTATAATCATTTTGCACAGAGTAAGGACAGGTCTAGCAGAAAATGTTTAATTCTAGGTGATGGCTCTTGCAGAGTCAGTAAAGGGCACGTACTAATAAGGAACTGCAAAAAGTACCGGTGACGACATGCTTGCCTTGAAGAGCAAGCTCAGCAGATTTTCCACAGCTAATAGAACCATTACCGCTACATGTCAAGCTATGAGAAATACCAAAGGACATAGGCATCGGAGTGAAAGAGATAAGAAGAAAGCAACAACAACAAAAGGAGATAAATCAGAAGACCCAAATCATGCCTCCATATTTTTACCAGCTGAAAGTTGTTAAGCCAACCATGTTATCAACCCTGCGAAGCAAAAGGGTGCCAAAAAGCTTGCACAGGACAATCTCCATGTTTTAATGTGTTATAAATATCACATACAGTAACCAAACTGTTCACTAGATGAATATCCGTGCAAAGCTCATTTCTGGTGATGCCTGTATTGTCAACTGCCTCTGCATCTGGGCTCTAAGGCTTTTATCTTTGCTATTTAATGCTTACTTTTTTTCCCGTTCTTACTCACATATAAAACGCAAAACGCTGCAAATGAAGAAAAGGAAAATGCATGAGAAGGATCCTGTTGCTTTCAAAAGAGAATTAATTCTACACACTATTTCTAAAGGTTTCTGTTACCACTAGTAAACTGAAAGTCAAATGGGTTCTTTAGAAAACAGAGGGGTAGTCCAGGAATAATATCCAGGTTTTAAGATCTTGTGTAGATTATCCTCTGCGCACTCCCCACAGTTGCATTCTGTAATAAAGGCAATCTTTCTTGTGCAATGACCACAAGAAGCACCAGTGTTTAAAAGCCCAGTATTTGAAATGTCTAACTAAAAAAAAATATAAATTTTTAATATAAAGAGGTGGAAGCACAAAATAAGTAAACCATGACGGATTCATCAAAATGCACACAATATCCCCACAGGAATGTAAAGTAGCTATTTAAGGCTTACAGCACCATTTAACAGGCAGAAAAATAATAACACAAACCAAAGATGAAAATGCAGCACCTGACCTTTTACGCAGCTCACTGTTACTCTGTGCCAGGCTGTCGCTGTTTAATGCAACACAACAATGAGAAAAGGTCTCTGGATGTGGCGTGTGGCATTCCAAACCAAGCGGTCGCTGGCCTGCACTCTAATACTTTGATAGCATCCAGTCCCCCATCAGGCAAAGCTTCAAATTTTTACTCATTATTTTGAGTAAATGAAATTAAATAATAGAAGTTGCTTGCAAATAAATGTGAAAGTAGGTGCTCTTTGAAAATGAATTTGCTTAGGATGGGAGGGCACTCTCATGACCTCACTATCAAGGAGTTTAATTAGTCATGCCTGGAAGAGAGAGGAAATGCTCGGATTACAGACCTGCCCTTTAAGGACTTACTATGTCTGTGCCATCACCCAATATCTGAGATACCGATCGTTTGTGGTCACCAGTTACTATGCTGCTACGAGACAGGGCTTAACTCAATTTATCTCACTCTTAATTCAACCGTTAATAAAAACTGAGCATCGAGGAACATAGCTCAGAAGGTTCTGAATAGTGCCTCTGGGATACACATTTTATCCTTCCCACTGTTTCTATTCTTGTTACATCAGTATGCAGAAGCCATTTCAACTGAATATTCCTAGAAACAATAAAATTGTATGCAGAAGGATGGGTTTGAGTTTAAATAAAAAGTTTTGAATTCCGGCAATTCAACTTTCATGCATACAGCAGCAGTGTCCTAAAAACCCTGGGTTCCCATGAACACAGACCATTTATCACTGAAGATTATTAAGGAAATCTGTGAAGAAGCAAGGGTATCTCTTATTTAAGACTAAGAAGACAAGTGCATTTGTAGTAAGAGGAACACTGCCTTATACCGATTTCAGGCCCGCCTAAGGGGTGGGAAATCTTAAGCACACAGGGCTATGCCCAGCATCTGAACGAGACCTTGAGAAGGCCACCATCCTTAGCTGTATGTCAGAACCAGTCTAGCCTCATTTTTATTTTCTGGACATTGTGCCAAGCTACAGGCACACCAAACACCATGAGTCAACTGTGCAATTGCACATCTTTCCTCCCACATCTAAATGGGGATGACCCCTTTCCTCTGCATGATGTTGGTTCTTCTGGAAGTCTCTAAGTTCAAGAAAGTGGATAAAACTTATCTGACCCATCGCTTGGCTGACAATGTGGAGAACAACACTTTAGGTGATTTTCCAGAATCTGCAAAGAGGAGGTAGAATAGTAAAGACTTGATTTTCAGAATCAGACATACCTGAGAGTGAACAGAGTGAGATCATTTACCAGTTACAAGGAGGCAGAGAGTGACTTAACCTCCCAAAGCCTCAGTTCCTCATCTGCGAAATGGGTCAAATAACAGTACCTATCTCACGCAGTCATTGTGACAATTCATAAGTCCTTAGCACAAGCGACTGACATTAAGTGCTCAAGAGGTGTTGTACATTGTGATAATGTTCCAGTATCAATATTTAAGCCATTAGTGTCATTTTTTTTAAATGAGGCACAGAAAAATAATTCCATTATACGAACAGTGCAGGTGAGAACCTGTACTTAAAATACCATGCAAAATGCAATAACAACCCCTCAAATTTTCTTTACTGTAATTTATGAACATTGCATTTTCTTCATGTGTCATCGCTAATAAAGTCCTGTGGCTTGTGGTGTTTTTGCAAATGTACTAAATAGATCAATTACACATTAAAATATTCATATTCACATGAAAACATGTCCCCCTCCCCATTTTCTCCTAGATTAGCTGTATTTTTATAGTCTGATCATCATTTATATATGATGTGATGGTTGTGACCTACATATTCTCAAAACTTCTTCATTCCTTAAAAAAAAAACTAGTGTTGTTTACTTCAGTTTTCTCTTTGTCACAGTAATATGCTCAGTTTCTCATCAGAATAATACATTACTATTTTTAAATCCATTTGAATATGATTTATCATCTTTCACTGTTTGCTGCCAATGTGGTTCTTCATACACAAGAAGTAGTCAAATACGCAACTCCTTGTCCAATCAGACTCTTCACAGTGGTCAAACTTAAGTATGAAGAACCGTTCAGTTTAATGTGTCACTTCCTACATATTCCTAGAGAGTTACAAAAAGAACTATTTTCATTTTTTAAAAAAATGCTTGAGTCAAAAGTATGAAAATTAAGAAAACTAAGATAAACTAGCCCCCTCCTGGGGCTTTTTAGACAAGGACTTTCTCTCACACACAAAAAGTATCTATTTTATTTTACTATTTATTTTGCAACTTTGGGCCTGTTTTGAAAGCATTTCCATTATTTTCTCTCTCTTTTCCTGTATTCTGTGTTGCTGTTTTCTTTAATAGCAAAGGAATTTTCCTATCATTGAGTTACCTAAAAATGCTAATTGAAAGTCCAAGAGTATTATTTTGGATGTTGAATCTTGACCTATTAGCATTTTTACTCTCTTAATTGTTCTGGTCAATGACTTAATGAGAATTCAAGACTCTATTAACATATTTAGAGCACCCTTACAAGGCAGGACATGTTTCCTATCTGCTCTACTGCTTTGAACTAGGATTTATTCAGAACTTGTTTATGGCAAGACTACCGCTCTTGAAGATAGGAGAGGCACCATTACACATATTTGCCCCCATCCTCTCCCAAAGATCTTTAGAATAATTTGCTATAGGATTTACTTTTAAAAAAAAGAGTGAGCTCTTTGTCCGGCCCAATTACAGAAATTTGTTCACCACACCTTCTTACAGAAAACTTCTACCTATTGAAAAATGATCTGAGCAAAATCCACTAAACAAATAATTTCATAACCAACTTTAACTTAGTTATTCAAGAGACTATCATATCATAACACCCCCATCAAATTAATGGCAGGGATAGACAATCTGAAGATGAATCATTTAATTTGTCCTTAGCAAAACGGCAACGAAGTCTATTTTTACTTTATCTATTCAATTTCCCCCAACAATGTTAAACTCTTGTATGAGCACAAAACCATCTGCACTTAATTAATCACACAATCCACCCAAACATTATCAGATCCCAAGAGAATGAAAAAGTGTATATATAGTTAAATAGAGCCTTCATGTAACATATTTAAATCAGAGTCTATCTAAATGATCTAGAAAAAGCAGCACCGCTCTACCCAACCAGTGAAATCTCTAATTTCAATGCAGCAACACAGAGAGCCAGGCCTAGGTTCCCCACCACAACTTTTTATCCTCATGACACTTATTTTTCTTCCCTAAAAGACACTGTTTACACTGAAGGTCTTCATACATATGATGGGAAATTTCTAGAAGACTTTATCCACTATGAGTCGTGGCTCCTGTACCCTCACAGAAAACAAGAAGCACATCACCTTAAAAAAGCACTCAGCAATGTTCTGTGCTCTGTGGATCACAGGTCAGCCACCTCTGTCTCATCCTGTGACAACAGGAATGATGCACTGTGAAAGGTGTCTTTCCCTTTCCAGTTAGAATATGGAAACTCAAAATGGTTAGGAATAGAAACAATTACAGCAAAAATCAATCAGATGAAATTTTAGAACTATAAGTGTAGGGAAAATAAAAGAGATTGAAAACCTCTCTTTTGAGCCCTGTTTTGTAATCTTCCCTGCCAGTAGTCCATTGGATTTCAGGTATTGTCATGAGTATTTTTGTAATCTTCCCTGCCAGTAGTCCACTGGATTTCAGGTATTGTCATGCTTATTTATTATTGGTCATATCATCCCTTCAGGGCTAGTTTCCTGGGATCATTAAGCTGCATATATTGGAAAAACAGTGCCTTGGGAAATTGGTGTTCCAGATTCTAATGCAAATCCTCCTAGTCAGTCCTGATTTTCCAGTTCTATGGAGCAAATCTGAGGGTTACTATGTTTGTATGGTTACATATACATATATAGAGAATTAATTATGATCATTGGAATTGTTAGATTCTCTTCAAGGGGAAAGCTGCTCTCTCATTACAGGGAGAAATCATCTGGTGTTTAGAAGTGAAAAACAACTAGTCCCATATTATGGAGAGAAGACTCATTTTCTTGACCATAAGGCTTCCTTTTGGCATATGATAACTAGAAATATGGAAGCTGAGAAACAGTAAATAATTTTCCTATTCCGCTCCATAGACATTCCTAACCTCTTGCAACTTAGATTCTAATGGGTGAGAAAGAAGTAAGCTAAATAAATAGGTAAATATCACACATACATACACTATACATATATATCCCAAGCTGGGTTAAGGGGAAGGGAAGAAGAATCGGGTTTGGGGTATAGAAGGAAGGTGCAATTTCAAATAGAGTGATCTGAAGGAGCTCACTGCTAAGACGACCTCAAGGAGGAAACATATTGAGCTCTGAGGAAATTTGGAAGAAATGGCTCAAAAGGCTAAGCAGGTACAGATCCCAGACAGGGACTAGACCTGGCCTTGTTGCAAGAACAAGGAGGAGGCCACTGTGGCTGAAGCTGAGTGAGAAGAATGTGGCAGGAGTGGACTTGAGAAACCAGGTCCTGTAGGACCTTGAAGCTTTTGGCTTTAACTTGGACGAGATGAAAAAAATCTCTGGAGGCATCTAAGCAGAGGAGTAATTTGAATTGTGTTTTAAAAGAAGTGTTCTGGCTATGGTTTTAAAAATAGAGTGCTGTAGGGGCCAGGGTTGGAAGCAGGGAGACCAATTTGGAGTCTTTTAGATACTCTTTGCCAGGCAGAAAAGATAGTAGAAAATGAAACAGAACAACACAATAACATGCATGACCTGATCTGAAACCACAACAAAAGCCCTCTAAAAAAAAAAATCCACCATATCCTGAAAAATGCTGACAGGTCAATTTTCCCAGAGGTTGAATAGTCGTCTCAGAAGGATGAGTATTAAAAACTGCATGTTCTTCAACAAATTACATAAGTCTCTAATGTTCCATTTACTTTATCTCATTCTTATGTATATATTTCACACCTACTTATTTATTGACATTTTTAGAACAGATATATGCAGACAAAAGGACAAATTAAGAAACAAATGTTTCATGCATAACACAGCCTCTTATCTTAGGACCAACTAATAATTAAACTAAAATCTAAAAACCAAATTTCAAAATACTAAAATAACAACTCAGCATACTGAAACATAGAGAATGAATCTAAAATGCTTGAGCACTATAAGTAAAAGCCTCAGAAACTGTATATCCTTGAGCCCTCACAACATCCTATGAGATAGATGGAAAAGAAAAATCTAAGCTACAAAAAGTGAGATGACCTGCTTAAGGTCCCATAGCAAGTAAATATCTTGCATCTATTTAAATCAGGTTTCTAAGTCCAGGTGCCATTTTCTTCTCCTATATCACAACTGTCATGCTTTTATTTGAGAATTTCTTTATTTAAATTCCTCAAAATAGAGATTGCATAGCCAAATAATCAAATACCTAAGGATGTTCGGTATTGTTAATGACTTCTCTTGATATGACCAGTCTGTACTCTCTATGTGCTCGCTGAATTTCTGGCAAAGTGATGCAAGAATAGATACTATGCTAACTCATAATGAAGCCAGCTGATGAAGTTCTTTCTTCTACATTGGAATGCAAACAAAAGGCCTTTAATATCAAGACCAAAGAGTAAATCCAAAAAATGCCCCTTTTCCCTATTCTTTCTGATAAATATCCCATGGATCAGCTTATTATTATTACTATTATTATTTTCCTTCTAACTCTTCATCGTGCAATTCTGGCTCAAATTCACTATAGAAAACATCTTGAAAAATGAATATACATTTTTGTATCATATATAATCGCTGTTTGGATAAAAAGTGTTGTGACTTCTATTGCCTAAATGAAGAGAGGAAAAAATGTTTCAAAAAATTATTGATTTATCATTGTAAACATATGAAACTCTACTCCCCAAATTTAAGAGAAGTTAAAAAAAAAAACTCATTCCAAAATATCACCTTATTTTATAAGAATTACAGCACAGATTTAATTTAAAAGATACAACATAATTAAAGGGGAAAGTCCATGCTTACATATTTTAAAAGGTCAGTGTCAAAAGTTGTCACAAGAAAATGTGTTTCAAATTGCACCTTTTGAATTTAAATTCCTTCTTAAGCGTTTCCCTACAAAGTCAATCACTGCAGGAGAGAAGTACTTCAGAGATTTTAGAACTGAAAATTTATTTTAAAGCAAAATATGCCACTAGCAGCATTATACAAAAACTCAAGAGAGAACATGACATCATTTGAATTTCTTTAAATATGTACAGTACAATATATTTTAAAGCACATTTGAAGCTCATTTCACCTAATTTAACTAGATATATTACCTACATTTACTATTAAAAAAATCAAGAAGATATTTTAAAAGGATGAACAAAACCAATAATGTATCTATAAAATAATGGAAATTAATAATTAATCAGCAGTCTCACTGGAAGAGTGATCCTTTGTAATTTAGAGGTCCATTTATTAATTTATTGAATGAGTTCACTTGTATTGTTTCAAACACCTTTTCTCAAACTTCTAGCAGTAGTGAGATACTCTTAGAGTTGGTAGCTAGGCAGACATTAGCAGGGCAGGACAGGGCCCTCCCCTGAGGAATGTCAGGCGACCATCAGGTGATGATCAGGCAGTTGTTAAACTGTCTCTCTAAAATAATAATTGGTCACAGCTGGCACCAGCTGAAACGCAGGTTCCCAATAGATAGAAAAACTTGAAGCTAGTGATCAGCAGCTTCCCAATAAGATCTCATGAGTTGAGTAAGTGGGCTCCCACATGTGCACTAAGAGGCAAAATGGCAGAGTTTTACTGGTGTATGATCTTCCTTTAGGAACGCTCAACTGGTAATGGATAAACGCCTCAAATGAGCATGTGCTCAACGTCAGTAAACACACCGCGCATGCGTCCTCTCCCCAAAGCTGGCAGGCCACAGGCATGTGGACAGCCCGCTCCAAGGGAAGAATCAGGAGAAAAGAAATACAAATGAAAACCCTGGAAACATGTCATTGTATAAAACCCCAAGTCAAGGGTTGGGTCGGATGGAGCACTTGGATCTAAAGATGCCTGCTTGGTCCTCTTCCAAGTGTAGTTTACTTCCTTTTGTTCCTGCTCTAAAACTTTTTAATAAATGCTCATTCTTGCTCTAAAACTCATTTCGGTCTCTCCCCCTCTGCCTTAAATCTATTTCTGCCCCTCAGCCTAATTATTTCCTCTGAAGAGGCAAGAATCCAGTTGTTGCAGACCCATATGGATGGATTCACCACTAGCAACAGTACTGGGTGTAGATGTGCATGTATATATAAATTATAATGAAAAAAGATCCTTCTTTTTTCATTATAATTTATATATGCATGCACATATACACATATAATCCTCACAGATTTAAAAAGACCTATATATTTATAATATCCGTTGTATAACTTACAATTGAGCTGTATTCTCTTTTTTATTAATATACTGCTGTTTATTTTGTGCTTGTTAATCTGTCTCAAAGCTGTACTCTTTGAGCCCATCTAGTACAGGGAAAGAGACTTACACTGTTTTTTACATTCCCATCACGTCAAACATAATATAGGAAGGCAGATGCTCAATTCATGAGTCTTAATTAACACATTTGCTTTAATAAAAATTATGGGGAAAAAATGACTCTAATTCACTCTTACATTCTTACCTTAGAAATTAAATGTGAGGAGCTAGTAACTTTTTCCAAAACCTAAAGAATATCTTTAATTAATCCATCATATAAAGTTTATACCAATATTTTAAGCCTTAGAAATCTTTCCCAAGAGGAAAGAAACAGTTTGATTTGTTTCCATATCTTTGTAGCAATTATTAAGTGAGAGAGTAATGAATGGTGAATAAAAGTCAACAGAGATTGTCAACACAAAAGGGCTTCCTTATATAAAGAGAAAATTCAAGTAGGTAAAAAAAAAATTTCTTAGGCCAGAAAAAGGTAAAAATATATTACCAACAACAACGTTCAGAGAAGAAAAAGTAAATAAAAGAGGCAATACTGCATTTAATATGGTTTTAAAAATTCACTGAAGAGTAAAATAAACTAAAGGAGCTCACAACTAAACGAGCTAATAATAGAAATTCATATGACGAATTGACATTTTTACTGTGAATCTGATATGAAATTAAAGCTGCAGAAAAAATTGCAAGGCATGATGAAAATAATTGTCAAAATGTGATTAATGTTATTTGCTTTCTTCAATATATATTTAATATAGGCGTATTACTTATATTTGTATATACACATATATATACACACACACACAAACACACCTTTATTGGCTCACATGTAAATGTAGCTATTTACATATTTATGTAAAAATTGCCTATATGTAAAATAAATAAATGTTACCTATCTGTAAATATACATAAATACAGGTAATAAATTATGATATTATAATGCATTTGCTTATCAAAATATAAAAAATAATAGTACAAAGATGGGATAAAAATTTCATAGCTTCGGTCACAGATAAAACTAGGCATATTATTTCAAATAATTAACCCAATTCCTTAAAAAATAAAGTAAGCCGATTGGGCGCGGTAGCTCACGCCTGTAATCCCAGCACTTTGGGAGGCCGAGGCTGGCAGATCACGAGGTCAGGAGTTCGAGACCAGCCTGGCCAACATGGTCAAACCGCATCTCTACTAAAAATGCAAAAATTTGCCGGGTGTGGTGGCAGGCGCCTGTAATCTCAGTGACTCAGGATGCTGAGGCAAGAAAATTGCTTGAAACCAGAAGGTGGAGGTTGCAGTGAGCAGAGACCATGCCACTGCACTCTAGCCTGGACAAAAAAAGTAAAACTCCATCTCAAAAGATAAATTAAAATAAAGTAAGCTTCTGTGGACCCAGTGACATTGACTTGAAGCAACCTTCACTGACATCCTAAGCATGAGTTTAGTACTTTCCTCTACACTATATGATGCACTACTATTAGTCATATCATACTGTATTTCCATTTTTCTACCAGAGTGTACATTTCTTGAGGGTAGAGATTGTGCCTTATACAGTCCTACAGTCTCTGACTTTAGCATAATGTTTTGCCAAACCAACATTTTCTTGAGTGAATAAATAACATTTATTTTGGAGGATCCGGAGATTGATAAAAGTCTTGCAAAATCACTCAGTGAGTAACATACCAAAAGGAACAGTTCACTTTTTACTAATGCCTTTGTCTGCCTCCCCTGAATGAATTTCAGAGTTGCAAACAAATATGAAACAAATGGGGAAAAATGTGTTTTAAAAGCTAATAGATCTATCTCCGTATTTAGTAAACATAGATTGCAATATCCAAGAATCCAACTGCTTTCTTATATGAGAGGCTGGTATTCTTTAGTTCTGAAGATTCCCAATATGACGCACCATACACAGGCACAGGCTTTTATTTCCAGCAGCTCTCCTATAGGCTAAGATTGATCTGCAAAAGTTCTAGTCAGGATAGAGCTAGACACTGGAATTCTGATTGAGTTGCCTCATCTCCCTAGATGTGTTAACAACCAGAAGCCCAATATATCTTCATAATGCTTAGAATTATGTTGCCTTCATTTTCTAATTAAAGGCCTGATTATATTTATGACAGTTAGAGAATTTAATATGTGCATGTTTACTTAGCTGAAAAATTAAATTCATAAGCTCACCTACTATTCACTACAGCTTTTATAATAACAAGAAAAATGTAAGTAGCCTTAATGTTATTCACTCAAAATAAATTAGATGAATAATGTTTTCCCATCATTATACAAAGGGGAAAAATAGAAGATAATACTGAGAACAGGGTTTAGAAAATACCAAGAGAACCTACCCTTTTAGAATTTGATTAAAGCTGAAATGGAATTAACACAATAGCATATACTAGATTAAAGTTTTGATTTATGCTCTCATATTTTGAAAATAGCTTAACAGAATTCATCAATATGAATTGTATTACTATTCACTGTTGAATTTGGATTTGGAGTTTATTCTAGAAAAAGAAAGTTTATTTGTTTATGACTAAACACTTTCATACAATATACTTAAGAATTAATGTCCTGACTAGGGTATTCAACTAGTCCTGAGTTAATTTCTGGGGGTCAAAATGTTACATTATTTTTCATGTAAATTTGAAATGATATATTTCCAAGTATTACTTTCAAAATACTTAAGGATAACAATAAAACAAATATTGGTAAACATATAATCACTTGTAAGTGAAGATTTCAGGACTTGAGGATGATCTCAAAACTGTGCTGTCTCCTACCCTACTCTCAAATACATTACACAGACTAGAACATCAAGAGTTATACAATGGTAAACTTTTAAACAGTTTTGTTTATTTAAATAGTCTAGTTGTAAAGCTTTAATTCTCAGAGACCTTTAAGATTCAGGAGCAGTTGCCTCATTTGCCGTTCTTGGAATAGAAATATTTCTTCAATAATGTAACTTTTCATTCACATACTTTTGCTTCTATCCACTGACCTGATAAATCTTTTCATTTGAGGACCGCGTCTTGTGCATGTCTGAATTAACTCATCCTATACTTTCACAAGTCTGGATCTTGGCTTTGGTTAACCTTTCTGGCTAAAAAACCCTCCTATTCTCCACCTGGTGAAATATTATTATCACTTCAAGGCCCAGCTCCAGTGATCTGAATCTTCTCCTTCCTCTCTGACTTCCTTCTCCCAGTCAGGACCACATTAGGACTTTCATGGCCCCTAGGCTCTTTTGCCTTGATGGGACACTTTCATCACTAAAAACACTACAGATTATATTTTATGACTATATTGGCATAAAGATATTACATACTAAAACATTTCATTTTTCCTAAAAGGTCCTTGTTTCTCTTCTGACTTTAAAAGAAATTAAAATGTCACAGGACCCTAAAAGTATCATGTGACCAAAGCTCTGTACCTACTGTACCCTGAAAAGGGAGTCCTGCCCAGTTGCTTCCCTCCAACATCAGAGTCAAATAGATTCCACATGACTTTTTTCCATAGCACTTCATTAGCATCCAGCACAGCGTTAGGCAAAGAAGGCAAAGAACAGCCCTTAATAATTGTTTGTTGAATGTTGCCAATTAAACTGTCATCCTTTTTTTTATAGGTAATTGATTATGTTTGGCGTCCCTAAACTTACTGTGAGTTCCTCCACAAAAGGGTCAAGGCCTTATTTACTTTTATATATCTAGAGAATTATAAACTAATTGGTATATAATAAATGTCTGTTGAATCACACTGAATACAATTAAACTTATCTTTGCCAACTCCTATCAAGTGCCACTGACTGCCATCCCAGAGGAAATATTCTTCCAGTAGAAAGTACACCATCCTTCTACATGAAAGGAATGTTTGAAGCTTCTGGCTGTCATTCAGGTTATCCAGTTGTCTGAGCCTCAGTTTTGACATGAAATGGACAAATAGCAATAATCCGTCATGGTAAACCATGATGCATAGTCACAATTAGCTTTTATGAGTTGTGGCCTTATGTTGCCATAGCACCTCCGCTGTAACTGTTAAGGTTTAAGTATAAACCACAAGATAAAAATACTTCACATGGTACAGAAAAGGAATTAGAAAATGAGAAGTTGGCCATACGTGGTGGCTCACACCTGTAATCTCAGCACGTTGGGAGGCCAAGGTGGGCAGATCACTTGAGGTCAGGAGTTCAAGACCACCCTGGCCAACATGGTGAAACTCCATATCTACTAAAATACAAAAATTAGCCGGGTGTGGTGGTGGGTTCCTGTAATCCCAGCTACTTGGGAGACGGAGGTGGGAGAATAGCTTGAACCGGGAGGCAGAGGTTGCAGTGAGCAGAGATTGCACCACTGCACTCCAGCCTGGGTGACAGAGTGAGACTCCCTCTCAAAAAAAAAAAAAGAAAATGAGAAGACGTTTTTTAAAAAATCATAATTTACAAGAAAATGAGAAGACGTTTTTTAAAAAATCATAATTTACAAGAGTTTTCATCATTTAATTATTCATTATAATTTTATTTACTTTATTATGATGAAGAAATTTATTTTACCATTTATTTCCAATGAGTAGAAAAGCAAAAAAAAAAGCTAAAAAATGAAATGTATTATATTAAGTGCAGATCCAATTAGTTATTAGCTATTTCATATTGCTATATGTCTACTTATTAAATGAAAATGAACTACAGATGTAACATATTCGCCCATCCATTTATTCAACTGACATGTAATAAACGTTTATTATGGATATTGTAGCAGACATAAGGAACTATATGTTACAAGATGTCTCAGTCTAGTGAGACAGATAGTCTATTATATTATACTCTGATAATTATTATGAGAAGTGAACATCTGTGCTAATGGAACATACGAGAGAGAATTCTAATCCTGATTCAGGTTTCAAATTAGGTATTTTAGGTTTTTGTTAATAAAATCTTCAAATGGCATTTTTAGTTATAAAAGCCATGAAAGAACTACAAAAGTGAAGTATAAAAAAGAAAACTTTAAAACTACCTGTAATCCTGCCACACTGAGTTAGCTGCACATTGAAGAACAAGAAAAACTTAGCAAGAGAAAAAAGAGATTTTGCACTCCAGGCATGTCCAAAAGCAAGTAAGAGTGACATGGCATCATAAAATCAGAAAAGGTGCTATAGCACTGGGGCCAGGGACACAATATGTGTTACATATAATAAACACCAGACCAACCCATTCTGCCAACCCCGAGATGTTTACTAGGGCGTCGAAAGTAAAAAGGAAACGGAAAAATCTGTGTCCCTTGTAAAGAATACCCATGCAGCAGTAGATGAAGGTTAGTGAATATTCACAAGCCTCCAAAGGGCCTAGGTTCAGAATGACGTAGGGCTGGAGCAAGTCTACAAATTGTTTTTCCTCAGAAGTTAAATATTTTATTATTTAGGTGGACAATCATTGTTGTCCTATTTCAGAAACCTGCATGATCACAGCTACCTCTGAGTTCTAGAAGGGGCTTACTTCCACAAAATATTTTCAAGTTCTTCATTTCTTTAATTATTCATAACAGCATTTATTATAGACTAGCAGAAAAAAATTCTTGCATTTGACCACCGTAGAAACTGACTCTCAGAGAGATACAGTTTTCTCAAGGTCAGAGTTTCAAAATAACAAGGTCAGGAATGTCACTTCCCTTTCCCTCTTTTCAGGGGAGAGACTTAGGTATTCAAGACCTATTAATCCTACAGTGGGCAACACAGATAGTTGGGGAGGGAAGGGGAAAGACGATTTGATAATGCTATCCAGATGATTGATTATGAGTTTTCTTTGTTTGCCTTCATTTATTCAGATTATTGCTCTAATTTTCCATTTTGTTAAATATATGAGCTACATAGCTATGTCGCTAATCCAATTTGATTTTTTAAAAGGTTGTAGACTTAATAGAGAATGCGAAAAGGAATGATAAACTCTATTTTGCCAGATACATTTGTATCTTTTCAAGAGTGACACAAATACAAATATTTCATAATTGCATATTTTCTTTTTTGAGGACAAATTGCCATTTTAGCATAGAAACTGTTAATAGAATTACCAGATGGGTGCTTTATTTGCTTTTAAAGTGGGTTACAAATAGTAGCAATTAGTCACTGATGAAGACCTCTAAGTTGAGAGGTTTTTCAGGATTTGGCACCATGATAATTTTTGGTATCATTTGCAAAACAATAAATACAAAAACGTTTGTAAAAGCAACATATGTCTTGACAATTTTCTAATTATCTGTATGTAAAATACTCAATTCTGCACAAATGGAACTTTTCACACGACACATTTGTACTCTAGAGCATACAAAATATTACTAGAAATTAGTGAGCCTATATTTCTACAATTTGTTTTTATCTGATTCAATCAACTCAGAGCCCAGTTATATGTATTTTTCCCCACAAAAAAAAGTAATTGCTTATATGAAAAACAGAAGGGAGGATGAATGTTGAGCTGAAGGCTGAATTTACTTAGAAATATCATTAAAAAGGAGACTCCACTCTTTGTAGTGAAAATAAGAGGGAAAGGATGCCAGATGGAAATTAGCCAAATGGTGTTCTTTTAAGAATTGTGCCTAAGTTATCTTGAAGAAAAAAACAGCAGAGAAAGAGAGGGAGATTTAAGCAGAATGCCCTGAAAAAGTTTTATTTATTTATTTTTTGGTTTTATTTGCCAATAAAGAAGCTAAAAAATAGTTGTTATTCAAACATCTTCTTAACAAATCCATTAAGAAAAATTACCGAATATTTTAGGCTAGGAAAGTCAATTTATAGCAGCTCTTTGGTCATACTTGAAATTTATCGACTGTGCTCTCCAAAATCAATTATTAATCTTTGAATTTAACCTGTTTTCAGTCTGTTTGTTCATTTAGTCAATACTAGCATCTCTTCATCTCTTCTATCCATCTGACAACCTTAGTACATGTTTGGATCTCAGTCAGCTTCTGCACACCAACACAGAGATGTGCCTACAAGCCCTCCCCTGCCTCCTACACCAGCTAAGAAAAGGTGATGCCCATGTCACTGTAGACTCTCCAGAGAGCCCGCTGTGACTGCATATACTTTTTGCTCCTTCATGAAAAACGAAACCTGGGTGGACACCTCTCATGTATCAGAGTCTCCATAAATTTAAGCTCTAATTAAGCATCTCAGTTTAGAATTTATGAAATAATTAAGATCAAAGCCTCTCTCTGGGCCCTCTCTATCAATGAGAATTTTGAAAGTGTGCCTATATCACCAAATTTCCTTTTTTTTTTTCACAAATAGATTTGACTATGATAGTATGTGCTGGGTTAGCCCTTTGCTCCATCACATCTTTAAAAACGCAACCAGAACTCAAAAATAGAATATTTGTTGTTTCATGTTACGCATTAAAAGCCTAATTTTACCTTAAAATTTTAAGTGATTATAAAGAGTAGAGATTGCAAACATAACATTATTTTTACATTTGCTGAGTAAGAGTCTTTCTATTTTTGCAGAGGAAAGCTCATGATTGCAGTTCTTTAAAGCCCAATATCCTCATCCGTACTGCTGTCACCGTAAAACAGTAATCCATGAACATGCCTCCATGGTCAATGTCCTGGTCCATAACAAATAGAGTCCCAGAAAAATAGGTATCATTGCTTCGAAAATAATGAGAAATATGTTTTGCATTGCTGTGCTCTAAAGCAAAGTGAATATAAGGAAGACAACGTCTTTTTTTGTATTTTATTGTTTATGCTTTTGGAAACTAATGATAAAAACAAATAGAATCTTCTGATATATTAACCTTATTAATAAAATAATTTGTGATTCAAGGGAAGAATTTCCAGGCTTAAGCACAATGTTCAGGTTATTTTGGTAATTCTTTCAGAGCTCTTAAATATATGAAAAGGATAACTGCTCAATTTTCCAAAAACATGTAGTTCTTCATGAGAAATCCAGATCCAAAACAACTACTATTTTATGCGTGTCAACATTTGCAAATATGAAAAGGATGGCTGGAGATGCTTACCATTCCAAAATTCCTAATGCATTAGCAGATACCAGTGTACTGTCTAATAGTGAAATACAAGGCAAAGTATACACAAAAATAAAATTTAAGAAATTGGATGATGAAAATGTAGATAATCAGGTAAAACAAGTGACACTCTACAATAGATTCTTTTATTGTTTTCAGATTTAGGTGTGTGATCAACATGGGCAAATTAAGGTTGGGGCAGGGACTGAAGATTGAAGACCTTAGTAAATGCTACAGAAAATAGAAAATAGAGTATTTTGACAGAAAGTAGTCAGAGAAGCCTCTGTCAAGACATGGAATTTGAAATAAAATTTAAATGAAAAGGAGGCAGATATGAAGATCTGAGGGCAAAAACAATGTTCCAAGCAGAAGAATAACGAGTGCAAAGGCTTTCAGAATGGGAAATGGTGGCCAGGCGCAGTGGCTCACGCCTGTAATTCCAGCACTTTGGGAAGCCGAGGCAGGTGGATCACGAGGTCAGGAGTTCGAGACCAGCCTGACCAACATGGTGAAACCCCTTCTTTACTAAAAAAAGTACAAAATTTAGCCAGGCATGGTGGCATGCACCTAGTCCCAGCTGCTCGGGAGGCTGAGACAGGAGAACTGCTTGAACCCAGGAGGCAGAGGTTGCAGTGAGCCAAGATTGTGCAACTGCACTCCAGCCTGGGTGACAGAGCGAGACTGTCTGAAAAAAAAAAGGAAATCTTTAGGCATGTTTGAGTGATAGAAAAGGGGTCAGAGTGGATTTTAGTGAATAGCTCTGAGAAAAGAGCTGACTTTCCAGAGTCAGGCTAGTACTCAATAAGGACATGCTTGTACCAATTTGGGGGACTGGATTTTATTCTCAATGTGATCAACAGCCACTGAAGGATTTTAAATAATGAAAGGACATACAGGTTGAGCATCCCAAATCCAAAAATCTGAAATCCGAAATGCTCTAAAACCTTTGAGCACCAACTTGGCACTCAAAGGAAATGTTTGCTGGAGCATTTTGGATTTCAAATTTTGGATGCTCACTTAGTAAGTACAATGCAATATTCTAAAATCTGAAAAAATTGGAAATCCAAAACACTTCTGGTCCCAAGCATTTCAGATAAGGGATATTCAACCTGAATGTGCATTTACACTTTAGAGAAGTCACTCCATGGAGAATGTATTGTAAGAAGCATAGAAGTGTCAGAGAAACAGAGCAAATGTTGGTGGCCTGTACTGTGGTTTAGAGAAGGAGATGATGAACAGTGGTCAGATTTGGTATAAAATTTTGAAGTAAAAATAACGTAATGACTGATAGGTTGGAACAGCATAAAGAGGGAAAAGAACAAAAAATGATCTCTGGATTTTTACCCTAAACCAACTGGTTGGATGTCAGTAGTCTTCACTCATGAGAAACGTTTCTGAAGAGAATAAACTAGAATATTTGAGAGGGAAATAATCCATGATTTTACTTTTGCTCTATTATGTTTGTAATACAATTAATAATGAGCAGTTATTGAGCACTTAATATGTTTCAAGAACATTTCTACTTTTATATGTATTTACTTATTTATATCTTTTACTTTCTTAATCCTCCCCAAAACCCCATGAAGTAGTTCTTAGTATTATCCTCATTTTATAGATGAGAAAACTAAAGTACAGACATTAAGAAACTTGCCTTAGTCAGCCAGCTAATAGGTTACAAGAGCCAAAGAGAATCTGGCACCAAAACCTACCATATGACCCCCTACCATATGCCTTCACCTTTAGGAAAGACAGGTAAGTACTTGTACTGAGGACTTGTACTGAGCCCAAGGGAGAAGTCCGGGATGGTGATACATAAAAACAAAATCCTGGGGGCACTATAAGACATAGACATCTATTAGAACCAGAGTAGCAGACTGACAAGATGTAGTCAGCAATTAAGGAGGAAAACCAAGTAAATAGAGTGATACAAAGTGCTCCAGGGAAGGGAGTGAACAACTATTCAAATGACAAGATTTAGAAAAAGAGACAGAATTGACAGCTAGATTCAGCAAAAGAGACCTTGTGCCCTTAATAAGGGCCACGTCAGTGGAGTAGAAAGGACAAAACGAGCCCCACAGGACTCAATTAAGGAGACCTTAAGATGTGACTAATAGAGAACGACTACATAGACAACACTTAGACAAGTTTTGGTGAAGGAGATCAGAAATAAGGGGGTATCACTGGAGGTGGTAGCTAAGTCAGAGACCTTATTTTAGTTAGATATTTTATGTTTGTCTTAGTCTGTTTCTGGCGATATAATAATCTTTAAGTGGGTAGTTTATAAAAAGCAGAAATTTATTCCTCACAGTTCTGGGGGCTGGGAAGTCCAAGAGCAAGGCACCAGCAGATTCAATGTCTAGTGAGGACTGCTCTCTTCTTCCAAGATGGTGCATTGTTTCTGCATCCTCACATGGCAGAATAAAACTTAAACTCATTTCAAAATATACCTATGCCTGACATCTTTTTTTTTTTTTTTTTAGATAGTCTTGCTCTGTTGCCAGGTTGGAGTGCAGTGGCACAATCTCTGTTCACTGCAACCTCTGCCTCCCAGGTCCAAGCGATTCCCCTGCCTCAGCCTCCTGAGTAGCTAGGACTACAGATACACACCATCATGCCTGACTAATTTTTGGTATTTTACTAGAGACTGGGTTTCACCATATTGACCAGGCTGGTCTCAATCTCCTGACCTCATGATCCACCCACCTTGGCCTCCCAAAGTGCTGGGATAACAGGCATGAGCCACCGTGCCTGGCCTGCATGAAATCTTAATATGCATTTAGCCTACAGTATGTTCAAGTGGGTAAATGTCTTCCTCTCTACTACTAGGTCATGCCAATTTACATTTAAACATATGATAATATAACCTATTTTAAACACTGCTATGGCTTAAATGTTTGTGTCATGTCCAAAATTCATGTTGAAACTTAAACCCAATGTAACAGTATTAAAAGGTGAGATCTTTAGGAGGCGATTAGGCCATGAGGGTTCTGTCCTGATGAAGAGGATCAGAACCCTTATAAAAGGGCTTGAGAAAACTGGTTAGTTTAAGTTTTATTCACATAGATTTCACTATATGCTAGAATACTGCTAAAAATAGTAATTTTTTGTCCCTCTTGGAAGTGGGACATTCTCTTGGATTTCCCCTTTCAATTCCAGGACATTGTTCCACTGCTTTATTTCAGTAAGTCTTACATTTACAAGGTCCAAACAATCAAACCTTCTAGCTGTCTTCTAAATCTAGTCATCCACAGTACTACATCAGTGTATTTGCATGTGCTATGCACAGTGGCTTATGCCTGTAATCCCAGCACTTTGGGACACCAAGGCAGGAGGATGGTTTTAAGTCAAGAGTTCAAGGCCAGCCTGGGTAACAGCAAGACCCTGTCTCTACAAAAAGTAAAAAATAAATTACTTGGGCATAGGGATATGCACCTGTAGTCCCAGCAGTGAGGAAGGCTGAAGCAGGAGGATCTCTTGAGCGCCGGAGTTTGAGGTTGCAGTGAGCCATAATGATGCCACTGCACCCCTGCTTAGGTGACAGAGCAAGACCCTGTCTCTAAGAAAAAAAAAATGCACTTGAATAACTTGGCAGCTGGTGTTTTATTGTTGCTTTTGTTGTTTCTATTGTTTTATCTTCTATAAATCATCACCATTCTCAATGACTTTGATGACATATTCCCCTATTTAGGTTTGAAATTCTTTTGCCTTATATTTCAGTGACAGTCACTTCTACTCAGCTTTGGCAATCACACTCACAGATACAAAATGGGCTGTTTTGAAACAAAAAAATGCTCTACTGTAATATCTAAAATTGTGAAATTTTCCTCTCTCATCACCTATCCCACTCACTCATGCTCACAAAACCTCCTCTTAAGCTTCAAAGGCTAATGACCTCCATGGCTTCACTCTTCCCTGAATTGGCAGTGTCTAATCCTTCCTGGCTTCACTTCCTTCTCTCCCTAATTTTGATCCCCCTGATAAACCATTTTCAACACACTTTCATGGGTGCAATTGATTTCTTCCCTTCTTTAACCTTCTCTCGCAGCTGCCTTGCCAATCCCATTACCAAATCAGTCCTACCATCTGTTTGCTCTCCTCCTCCTCCTGGGCTGCCAAGAGTTCCTGAGAAAATTGAATAACCATGCTGATTGACTCTGCTACAAATTTATGATTTCCGATGTCAGCTGAACCTTCAGAGCTGCTCAGCAGCCCTATTACTCATTCCTACTTGGCTGGTCTTCCCATTCCACACAGCAGCTGTTCCCACCACACCCTCCTCAGATCCCCACCCTTATCCTCATTCCCCTCAACCTCAACACATGATTTCCCCTCTTACTGCTGAAAATATTGAGCCTATCAGTTGTGAACCCCTTCCGCTTCCCTCCTCTATATCTCCAAATTTATCTGCATCTTTATTCATCTGGATCTCATTTTGCATCTCAAAAGAATCCTTATTCTTTTGTCCATCTGACTTTTTGATTCCACTCCTTCCTGCCTCTGACAGGATCTTGTTTCATCCATGTACTTTCTCCTTCCTGTTCAACCTCTAACTTTTTTTCAACCCACAAACCTACCAAATTTTCCTATTTTGTAAAAGAGATCATCCTTCCTCTCTTCCACTGCCGAACTGCTCTTTCCTTTTCTTTCCTGCATAAATTCTTGGCAAAGAATTTACTTAAAATTGGCTCCATAAAACTTGATGTATTATTAATAATTTTCTTGCCTGGCTACCATACTGATGAAACTATTAGAAATGCTATATAAAATAGCCTTTTCTCACTTCAGTTTTCTTGATCTGAATGATGGAGTTTGGCTTTGATATGAATTCATTCACTTACTAACCTGCGTGAATTTGAGCAAGTTACTTAATTACCCTAAGATTTGGCACCCTCACATTTAAGTTGAAGATCCATGAGTCACTTTTACACAATACAATTTTAACATACTCTTGTATTCTACTTTCTTTTGATAAGGACACCCTGCTTTCCCTTGAGCAAATTACTTTTCACCCACGGAATTTAGCCTGGTAGGACTGTTAGTCAAAAAATGTTACCCTTCTCTAACCAAAAGGTTGGCTAGTTTCTCCAACAGGACATTTCAGCAGCATTCTCTCTCTGGAATCTAAATAGTGAGCATAGGAATTAAATAAATTAACATAATTGGATTTAAGTCATTCCAGCAGTAGTGTTTGAAAGAGACAGTTTACCTGTTCCTATTAACTTCTCAATTTACTTCTACCCTCTGGAGCTGGAATACACCTTTTTCTTTCCTGCACATGTTTCTTCATCCTCCAGTATGACCTTGTGAGTTCCACTTCATGATTCATGAAGCTTTCTTTGGTTTAAAATATTAAGTGATAAACTTGAGTTCTATTTCTTTAAAACAAAATATGCTATTAGGATTAAATAAGATAATTTGTGTAATATCTTTAGTTTAAAGACTAGTGGCCTAGCAGGGATTGAATTGATTTTTATTATTATTGTTGCTTTTGATATTATTATTAGTATGTTGACTCCATGTATACTGAAACACTCCTTCTTTCCTTTCTATCACAATTTTCCCCTGATTCTAAGTTTACTTCATTGGCTTTTCTTTTATGCTCTCCTTCCATGGCTTATCAAGATTAGCATTCTGCCTTCTGTTTTTACTCTCTATATGCATATATTCACTGGGTATTTCATTTACTTGCATGGAGTCACCTATCACTAAGTGTAAATAAATTGTTTAATTCTTTCCTCCTAATGTTTATCTCCCACATTTCCAATTCCACTTTCTTATTAAAATGTTCAAAACTAAAATCTGAAGCAAATATCTTATCCATTACTATTTTCTCTTTTCCCCAACATCTAATCTTTTCCCAACATCTAACCACCTACCAAATAGTTTATATCCTTCTGTCCATATGCTTCTTGATCTGTCTCCAAGGTCAGTGTCCAAGGGCATGGCATCAAAATCACATAAGCAGACTTCATCAGACTGTACTAGTCCCCTGACAAGCATCCCTCCTTCCAGAGCTTTCACCATAAACTGCCCTCCACTCTATCAGCAGAGCCAACTTCCCAAAACAGGTATTTTGTTATCTCTTGTATGAAAACTTCCAATGACTTCCAAATGTTTATAGGATAAATACAAACTCCTAGGCATAAAAGTCAAAGCCCATCTCTGGCTAAGTCCAGTTTCTCTTTCCACTTCCCATCTAGTCACTCATCCCATGCTCCCTGTACTCTTAACCACACTGGATGATGTGCCTTTTGTCTAATAAATGATGCACTTTGATACCTCTTGACTTTGTTCATGATTTCTCATCCAGTTGAAATGCTTTTTTCTTCTGTCCTAGTTTGAGGAAACTTAATTTATTACAAGGTTCAACTCAAAAGGTTCTTGTATCATTAAACCTTTCCCAAATATCCTCACTTTTCCTGTCTATCTCTGTCTTGCTATAGCACTTCCAACACATCTAACTCTCATGGTAGTGAGGTCTTTGAAAACACAGATATTTTATTTCCTATATTCAAATTCAAAACATCAAGCACAGTGTCTGGGCTAAAGTCGCTACTCAGCAATTATTATTGAGTAATTATAGCTCTCTGGTGATACTTCAAATTGAAAAAATACATTTTCAAATAAATATATATATGTGAAACATATACATGAAGAAAAATCCATATTGCAAAAATATATACAAATGTATGTGTATATATATGTGTTTGCATGTGTATATCCAAAATAATCTAGTATTTTTATACTCCTACACTCCATTGGTTAATGCCTCAGTCAAGTCAGCTCATGACCCCACACTGACATTAGGATCCCTGATATACTTTACTTATGATATCAGTAGAAGTTATATTCATACGCTGGGCAAGGTGGCTCACGCCTGTAATCCCAGCACTTTGGGAGGCCAAGGTGGGCAGATCATGAGGTCAGGAGTTCGAGACCGGTCTGCCCAACATAATGAAATCCCGTCTCTACTAAAAATTAAAAAAAAAAAAATAGCCGGGTGTGGTGGTGTGTGCCTGTAGTCCCAGCTACTCAGGAGGCTGAGGCGGAAGAATCGCATGGACCTGGCAGGTGGAGGTTGCAGTGAGCCAAGATTGCGCCATTGCACTCCAGCCTGGGTGACAGAGTGAGACTCCGTGTCCAAAAAAAAAAAAAGTGATATTCATAAATAGCAAATTAAGAATTGAGAAAATCTTGAATTATATGCAATAATTCCAAAAATATAGATTATATTTTCTCATAATAATAAGTCTGGTAAGGAAACCTTGATTTCTAAGTGAATTTTAAAAAGAAAACTTTTAACTCTTTCAATTAGAAAAATAAATATTTTCTAATTGAAATTTGTCACATCATGAGTAACAGCAATGTTAAAGACCATATTCCCACTGAAACTTATGAAAACTAACAAAAAATTCAGATAAATATACAATTACTTGTAAGAAAGTACATGATAAAGTACATTGAATGTGATTGATATGGGATTTTGTATAAATTTTATGATATAGCATAATCCAGGCATTTTGAAAATTATATGCATGTGAATATTTATCTAGAGAACCATGGGTTAACTACTTTGCATAGATGTGTTATGTGCAACTTCTGCATTATACAGAATATTAAGAATGGCTTCAACAATAAAGAATAACTTTACAGGGTGTCTTTCTTGGAAAATTTAACATTGTAAGTACTGTACATTAATCATTATTCATAGGACAGGAATTCTGAATTTTTGAAATGCTAGACAGCCCCTAGCATGCCATAGGCCCTTTCAGCTCTAACAGATTGAAGCTGAATTTTCTTGATTGCAAGTCAAAGATCAGACAGAAAACATCCAGGCAGAAGCATCTAGTCTAGTAGAGTATCTTTTAATTAGAATTAAAGGTGAAAAAAGAAAGGAGAAAGAAAAGTAACTCTACAGACTATGTCTCCGATATTGATGATCCTTAAAATTTCACTGTCACAGAACTGCCAGAAGTGTCTTACTACAAATGAAATCATATGAATTGTTTTATATTTTTTTCAAAAGAAAACAGTGAGTCCTATAAACTACAGAACTGTGTAACTCATATTCATACTATTTGCAGCATAAATTCTTTTTTTAAACCAGGAAGCACAAAAGCAAACAAATTATTTTTAAAAATTAGTAATATGCTGCAAAGTATAAAACAAATGCAGCCTGAAATAAAAATCAGTTTATAACTTGAACAGTTAGTTCAGAGGATAGAGGTAGAAATGAGAGGCCATGGATTCGTTAGTGATGGTTCTTTAGCCTTCAACATCAAGATAGCCTCCTAGGCATGACTTCATTAAGAACCTAGCTTAACACCAAGGAAAGTCTCTTTTTACTGTTAGTATTCAACAAAGTAATTTTTAAAAATTTATATTAAAGTTATTCCATATCATCACACATAAATAGTTTAACTGAACTCTGTTCACAAAATGTCTTTGTGCCTACGAATTTTTGAAACCATGCATTAATATGTTTCTCTTTTGTTGTTAATTATACTTATTCCTCAACTTAAAGAAGTAAGTCTCATGTACCAAACATCATATTGGTGCTTAGAAATGACCAAATGCGATTGTTTCTACTACATCCTATCTTACATAAATTATGGCCATGAATGTCACAAGGGTTTTAAGTCTAATGGAGATACGTCTCAAGTAAGCATACAACCCAGATATATTTAGGGTTATTTGATTCTTTCTATAGTGCTTCCTCTGTGCCGTCATGAAAGTTATTGTTCTAACAAATCAAGGCATCCACTCCCCTGTCTGTAAAGACCTCTGCTGTCTGACTCCCATTCCTCCCAAGTTCAAGTTGAATCTCCTTCAACTTAAATACAACGTCTTAGGTATGTTGATTCATTTTCCAGCCTCATTTTATATGATGCTGCCTGGACACCAACTTGTCCTCCACTAGAGCCTGGACTCTTGGCACTGTGTATTTATCGCATATGGGTAACACATTTATCTTGGTAACAACTGAATTCCAGCAATATAGTAGATCCTGAGTAACACAAAAGAACGCGAAGCTCTAACGAAGTTCACATGATTTGTTACAGATTCACGTGATTCGTGACATATATGTATATAAACGTGTATATTACCTCAACTGTAAGACCCAGAATTTAATATTTTCTTAAGAATGTGATAAACTCAACATCTAGTATATTGTAGGAGCTCTGTAAATATTTATTGCGTGCCCCCAGAAAACACGTAATTTTCCAATTTACAGCATCAAATGTATTCAACCATTGTTTAGTAAGCAATCTAGTAATCTACTATAAGCAAGGCACTTTGCGAAGAACTGGGAAAGAAGGATAGGTAAATATGAACTACACCAGGATCTTCCCAGTGAAGACATTATGGTGTGATAAAGAAATACACATACATATGCACTAGCATGCACACAGTATTTCATTATTAAAAGTAGGAAGTGGGCTGGGCACGGTGGCTCAAGCCTGTCATCCCAGCACTTTGGGAGACCGAGGCGGGCAGATCACGAGGTCAGGAAATCGAGACCATCCTGGCTAACACAGTGAAACCCTGTCTCTACTAAAACTACAAAAAAAATTAGCCGGGCGTGGTGGCGGGCGCCTGTAGTCCCAGCTACTCAGGAGGCTGAGGCAGGAGAAAGGTGTGAACCCGGGAGGCGGAACTTGCAGTGAGCTGAGATGGAGCCACTGCACTCCAGCCTGGGTGACAGAGCAAGACTCCGTCTCAAAAAAACCAAACCAAACCAAACAAAACCAAACAAAACAAAACAAAGTAGGAAGTGGTCGGGCCTGGTGGCTAACGCCTGTAATCCCAGCACTTTGGGAGGCAGGGGCGGGCAGATCACCTGAGCAACATGATGAAACCTCATCTCTACTAAAAATATAAAAATTAGCCGGGCGTGGTGGCATGCGCCTGTAGTCCCAGCTACTTGGGAGGCTGAAGCACGAGAATTGCTTGAGTCCGAGAGGCGGAGGTTGCAGTGAGCCGAGATCGCACCACTGCACTCCACCTTGGGCTACTGAGTCAGACTCCATTTAAAAAAAAAAGAAAAAGAAAAAGCGCCAACAACTTAATAATTAGAAAAAGCTCAGTAAAAGAAAACGGCAGGTAGGATTTACTCATGTAAAATTAGAAAGAGAATTGCAGAAGAGATAACAGTAAGGATTAGGATAAGCTAGCAGGGAAGTGCAAAGCACGTAAAAGCCTTCGAAAGTTATAAGATTTAGTTGGAAAATAGAGCTCTAGAAGAAGAACAGAAAGTAAAGTGGGAAAGGGAGTTTAAAACCAGAGGAATGTGATTCTAAATCAAGACATTTAAAATTTACGTATTAAAAGCAAACTGGCACTGGATATATCTGAGCACACTCAAACAAGAAGTAAATTGTTCTGTCCTTGCAAGAATCTGAGGCAGCAGTGTATGGAATATTTTAGCCTTCTATGTAATATCTGAATCCAGTATATATAATTTGTCCACAAACTGTAATATCAGATCAACTAAGCTCTTCAGGCCTAACCATGATCTGTTGTATTTCATAGTTTTGATCAGTTATCACAGCAGTACATAGAAAGAGAGAACTCTTGCTTTTTTAAAGAACACCTATTTCCACGATACAATATTACTAGATGGCACAATAAGTGGAATGACTGCTAATAACAGTCATCAGGGCTTATCAATTTCAAATTCAGACTAAACAGTAAATAACGGTGACTACTGGGGAAGTCCGTTAGGCCCCCTATTGAGAAGTAGTCAATCTAAAGATCCAACTGTAATATATCTTTGAAAAACCAGTTAATAAGAAAAACTGCAGTAAAATATTTGAAGAAAACTGAAATAAAGCAATCCTAAACTTCACAGTTAAACAAAACTGAATGGCAAGAAAAATGATGTAGCAGCAGCTGAGAAGAGAATGTCAAGGTTTTAAAGGGATTTCTCATAGACACAACAGCCTGACACCTTTTATCAATATAATTCCAAATATTCAAAAAAATGAAAATGGAGATGAGAATATGAACTTACCTAATTACTCTGCTGAAGTCTACTAGAAGATAAATAAACTTGTTACATATTTTTTCGGTGTTTGTTTTAATAAATAGTTTCTATATTAAAAGACAATATAGAAACTCTTATTCTCACAATTACAACTCAGTGTGTGCATTGATCATTAATCATTTTTATTATATTCCCATTTACAAATATTACCATGTTTTATGGGCACGTTTATATATTCTAAACAATTCAAAAACATACTTTTCAAAGTCTTGGTAAACAGCAAGTGTATTTATCAAGGCTGTGAAATCTATACCAATAAATAGCTCTAATAAGTTTAGATGCCTGCAAACATTTAGGGAAATTAGGGTTTAAAATCAGACACAACCTTGCAATTCTCATGCCAGCCTAGTTAGTGACTGGTGTAAGACCTTTGGAAAATATGTGTTTGCTTTTAATAGCAGATTGCACCTAGATGCATTTACTGTATGCCAGGCAATGTTCGCTTTGCACTGAGACCAATTCTAGAATCTTAGCTCAACCAGTAAGTGAGTAGCTTTGTGACTTGTGTCACATTTCCAAGCCTTCTTTAACAACAGCTATTACTTACAGTTTCTTACTTTATGCCAGGAAGTGCTGTAAGTGTTATATATTATATTGTGTATGTCATACGTAAAATGTTCACTTACCCACATTTCCAAATAATGCCATCAGAGTGTGCTATTATCTTCATTTAAACACATAAGAGAGCTGGGTAAGGTGGGATTTGACTGTAATTCCAGCTACTCCGGAGGCTGAGGCAGGAATATTGCTTGAGCCCAGGAGTTCGAGTCCAGCCTGGGCAACATAGTGAGACCTCCATCTCAAAATGTATACAAATAAATAAACAAACACAGGAAAGATTAAGTAACTTCCCCAAAGTCTCAAAGACTGATCCATATCGGTGCTCTAAATAATTCGCCTTTTAATTTATAAATTATATATAGGTTTAAATTATATATTTTCATAGAAAATCCAAGAGGGAGGAAAAATAGTAATTTAAATACTCAATAAATGGATTTAAATTGAAAGATCACTCTCAGATCAAATCATTATCACTTAACTATCATACCAAAAATAAAACTGGAACTTTCTGATTGTCTAATGATATTCATGCCATCAAACTACAGAGAAATGTAGGTAACACATCTTTGTGTTTGTCTCAACAAAAATGTCTATTGGATTTTTTTATCACAAATTACAAATTTATTCTTATTTTACAAAATAGAACTTTCAATCGATTGTATTAAAAATTTAAAATGTATAATTTTTAGATACTTTGTATGTCATTTGCCAAAAATCCCTACTAAAAAAAAAGTGAGCCTTTGAATTTATGTGTTCAACAAAGAAAAGAGACAAGGAAAAAAAAATTAAACTTAAATGTCTCCCTTCTTATAAGGTTTTGCATAACAATGAAATTAGATTTCCATAAATACACAGTTCTGTGTGCAATGAATTATCTGTGAATTATGTAACAATTCTAAAGAAATTCCAAATGATATCTATAGATTAACTGCCAAAAGAGGCTATGGAACAATTTTTAAGAGGGGAAATAAGAGTCCTCTGCAGACCTACTGTATTATACAAATTCAAAGGAAACTAATAGTTTAATTATACAGTCCTAAAACAGGAGGCCAACAGCTTCCAGCAATTAACAAAGCAAGCTTGACAGAATCTTTGGATATTAGATCTTTAAAATGTTTTATTTTTTGCATGTTTTGAATAGTAAGCAGCATAAAATGAAGAGAAAAACACCTTCAGGAGGTTTGCTGTTTTTTATAGTCCAATATTCACAACCGTTGTGGCCATTTTTTATGCTGTTGCAAAATGGCAGAACCAATCTTCTGGCAGATGACTGTCTTTGGCTCTGCAGAAACTTCTATCTCACATGATAAAGACAAGCACACAGAATCTGAATGTGTTCTCACTGGGGAGGGGAGGAGAGGAGAGATGAGAGAATTCTTTTATGTCCTGCAAGCAACAAATGACTTCTAAGGTGCATATTTCTTTTCCTCAGGTCTGTCCAAAGGCAGAGTTCCATTGTGACACTCCAGAATGCTGTCCTTTGTAAGTAATTTCAATGGCCTTAATAGACTCCTATGAATCACATTATTATTCAAAACCATGATTACCTTTATACTTATCTTCTATGTTTGTTCCCAAAATAGTGAAAGGTACTTCTTTATCCAAGTGAATCCTTTGGGCATTGATTTGTGGTCATTTGGAATTAAAAATGTAGTTCCTTTAACGCTATTGCACACATAGTTACATATGCTTCGAGTTTGTGGAAGTCTTTCATACCATCAAAATGCCTTTTAAAAAAATCTGTTCTGAATTCAGGAACAAAGTATATGTGTATTCTCATGTTTTAAAGTCAAGAATTATATTTAATTCTGCTGGTATGTGACACAGCCATCAACAATTCTGCAGCTTTTTCTTTCTTTTTCTTTTTTTAATTGTCTTCACTAAACCCGTTGGGAATACAATGGCTTAGGTCACAACATGAAACATCATGCTAATTAAAGTGCTAATTAACTGGTATAAGAAATAAATTGCATGAAATAGACTGTTGTATTACTTTGTTTTAACTTTTGTGTCATTTCAGCTTGGTAACTACTAATTTAGAATCTTCTAATCATGCTCTTTAATCCAAATGTTAATCTCAAATGACAAGAGCACAGTTACTAAGCAGTAGTGCAAGATACATATTGTATTTCTTCCTAGTATTAAAGTGGGCTATTGAAAGATAAAAAGATTCTGTGTTTGCCTTCTCCTTGGTGTTAATTTGAATACAATCACTCTTAAGGTAGGACTAATTGGAAGTAAGCCTCATAAACATTTTCACAAACTTCTCAATCAAAATAGCAAGGCGTTTATGTGACTGTTCATCAAAGGATTTTTATTTAAAAGGCCCACATGATAAATTTGATTATTTCCTTAATATTACCAGTGTCTTTCTTAACATGTAATTTTTATCAATTACATAACTTTAACAATCAGGTTTCAATTTGGGGTTGAAAAAATGGCATACTTTTTTATGTAATAAGTATGCAGGGTTTTTTAAAAGTTAACCAGCAGAATGTTAGAATACTGTACCCACTCGAAATGTATTATCGGGAGGCAGCCAGTTTCTGATCTTTTTGGAATGCACATACCAAATGTCTGCTTCTTTCATAAGTCTGACACATAGGGGAGAAAAAACTCATGCTGACCCGCCTTTAACAGCTAGACACACAGAAAAGAAAGATTAGAGACCTGGATCCCCCTCAGCTCCTACTGAGATAGAATTTTCACTGACACAATTGAGCAGTAGCAATTAGAAAACAGACTGAGCTGTACCTGATCTCAGAGCTCCAATCTCTTAAAATTGGAAATGTTAATTTTTCCCCTAACATCGAACCATATAGGCTAAGACGTTCATTTTGAATCACCCTAATTTTAACTCTTCATTAGAACTTCAAAAAAAGCAGCTTAAGATAGGTTATTATGGTGATATTAACATCCATAAAAATAGAGTAGCCAGCCCTTCCATAAAATCTGTAAAAATTATTGAGATTTGTCATCTAATGCAAATCTGAAATTGGCTTTGTTTTTTTCTGATGTTCAGTTGCTAAACTATGATATGAAGTCAAAATATAACTTTCTTATATTTTCACACATGATACTATGTACTCCAAGACCAGAGGGCCATTTCTGAGAGCAACATTTTCCAGTCACGATTATTAATTAATATATTTCTTTCAAAAAGTAGTTTCAAACAAGCAAAACTGAACATTCTCAATGGTTGCTCATTTTATCTTCTCCAAAATACTCTTAGTTAACTATTTCCAATGAAAGCCACTGACTTTTCAGATATTAAATGTTGTCCAGTTCAATTAAGCAAGAATTTTTGTTTCTGTTCATACACTGAAATCTTATCACTTAATAAACACAGCACATTTGCTATTTAATGAAAAACTTTTGAAATAAAATCCTCATCAAATATAATAGACACATTAAATATTTGCAAAGTAACAACTATTTGTGAAATGGTTATCATAATCAGTGTTATCTTTTTATGATAATATGACAATTTATAATTCTTAGGTTTCATGATTCTTATGCTACTAGTAGTCGGAGGAACTTGTATATACCCTTATGACTGTGGATAAAGTGATTTTCAAAAATTATTCTTCAACCTTTTTGGAAACTTTCATCATCGGTTTGTGACAGAGATTTGATTTTGGCTTTCACAGTTTCCTTTCACTTGTCTATGCCTGAAAAAATTACAGCTCACAGAGCTATAAGATTTGAATTATATTTGAATTATAGCAGACCAGAAACTGGAGAACTTGTATCTGCTGAATTTTGCTGAGTTTCACACAATAGCATATAGAGAATATTGAAGGATCAGGGTTATCTTTTCCAAAGGCATTTCACCTTTTGACAATGACATTGGGTTTATTTTGGCCCATGAACATCTAAGTCTGCAACTACTACACTCTAGTCATATGTCAAGTATAGAAACAACAATAAGAAAATTAATAATTGCTGGCATTTATTGAATTCTTCTTATACCGGCCACACATAGGCTGGGTTAATCTAATCAACAGTCATAAATAATTTATAAGGTAAATAGTAAATATTGTTAATAACATATAAAATATGAAGAAATGGAGGCAGTAAGATGTAATTTGTCCAAAGTTCACTCAACTTGTAAATGTATGAACCACGTTTCAAACCCAAGCAGGCTGAATTCCAGACACTGCACTCTTAATCACTATGATATTCTGCCATTTAGCACACGACATTGTAACAACTAGCCTGCATGGTTGGCTGTGACCCCATTAGGCTGTGAACGCTCCCTGTTCAAAGAATGCAGTTGCCATTTTCCTCATTCCATCTAGGTTCCAGTGGCAAGATACTCATTTTCAAAATGTTTTTTGACACAAATTATACATATATACAGGAACATACGTTAAGCCCACAAAGCAGGTAAATTGGAAAAGAATTTCCCTTTTTTTCTGTCTACAGCATGTATTTATTTATTTATTGTTTTTTGTTTGTTTGTTTTGTTTTGTTTTTTTTGAGACAAGGTCTCTCTCTGTCATTCTTGCTGGAGTGCAGTGCTGTGAACACGGGTCACTGCAGCCTTGACCTCCCAGGCTCAAGCAATCCTCCCACCTCAGCCTCCTGAGAGCTGGGACTACAGGCACCTGCCACCACACCCGGCTAATTTTGTTTTTTACTTTTTGTAGAGATGAGGTCTCACTATGTTACCCAGGCTGGTCTTGAACTCTTAACCTGAATTGATCCTCTCACCTTGGCCTCCCAAAGTCTGAGATGACATGCATAAGCCACCATGGCCAGCCCTGTCTACAATATTTAAAGCAGATCTTCTATATCAGATTTCATCTTCATCCAATATTTCTGTATGCTAGAACTAATGAGTACCTTTCCCATCTTAAGTAATGCAAGTTGAATCCATCAAGCTACTGGTTATGTGATTTAAGGAACCATAAAATTCCTCTCTGCATCCCTAGATAGTTCTCAATTTATTAATTACTATTTGGCATCAAAGCTCTGAGGCCCTCCTGTTGAGTGTGACCTCTGGACTCAAAGTCCAGTTCCACTTCCTGCTAGTTCTGTAGCTTTACTAGTTACTGAAACTCTGTGTATCTCATTTTCCTCATCTGCAAGATGGGTATCATGAACATAATAGTATCTTCTTCAGGAGGTTAACAAGAATATTAAGAGAGCAATGAATATATCGCCTCTACAGAATTGACTCAGTAACTTAAGTTTCAAAAGTCATCAGAGAAATATTAGAATCAGTTCAACTAAAGTGTATTTACCAAACAGGGAAGTGAAATAATAGCATTCAAAAAAATAACAAGAACTAAAACCAAAAGCAAGGTTTTGATCCTTAATAGCACATTTTGGATTTTGTTTTATATTTTAGTGACATTTTTATTCATGCGAGTCCAAATCTAATGATGGATTCTGCACATAAGTTTTCAGTTGGTGATTCTCATTCACAGCTGTTCTTCTGCTGTAGATAGCCATTTTCCTTGAGCCAAGTTTAGTCTTCCTTTTCTTTTCCCCCAAAATAGAGGCAAGAGGAAAGGGTAGAAGGTTTATTTAGAAACAGGGGGACATAAGAGAGATTTGGTAGGTGGAAGTCTGCAACTCTCTCGTCTAATCTTCTAAGGAAAATAAGGAATTAATGGGACAAAATTAGATTTCCTTATCTCGGTTTCATCAATGGCCAGAAATTCACCTAAATAAAAAATTCAGTGTGACCAGTGCTCTAAATAAGGCTTTCTGAAGATTATCCACCACACCTTTGGGATTCTGAAAGTGACACTATTTTGCAAGTCAGCATGCTTCAGAGAAGGAAAAAAAAACCCTCTATACATGCTTTCATTTTGCTTCCTACTGGTTCCCTGACCTTTCACAGTTGGAGTAGTAGCAGGAAACTAAAATAAAAGCACTATTTTCTGTGTGAGGCACTTTGCAAGTAAACATTAATCGTGAAATTAAAAGTCACAAGACTTTCTGCCTGTTGCTTCTTCTAAAGCAGAGAGTTACTATTAGATGAAAGAGCCTACAGCAATAAACATCAGGGGCTAGTGTTTCCTTCTCTTCTGAACTCAATCAGGCTGATCCAAGTCCAGAAATGCCTTTGAAGTCAAGGAGACCTTCATGTGCTGATCAATCCTTGCAGGGGTAAAGAGCAAGAAAAACTGGTTCTTGCACTTTAATATTCTGCCAGGCAATGCATTCAACTCGATGCAGAACAAAAAGGTTTCCTCTGTTACAAATTGAGTGATTTTGTACTTGGGTACTGCTTGCTTCAATTAACTTAGGGGGGGACCTATTGATCCCAGAACACGATAACTTATACCTCAGTACATATTTCCATTAGGTTAAACTAATGGTGAGGTAGCAACAACTGTCAATTCATACTGTCCCTTGGTCTTGCGCTTGAGGTCAATTTAAGTGGAAACCAGCATGTGATTCTCTTAATATGAATGATCAATATTGATTATTAAGATGATGAATATTAAGTATCTGTTTGAAACATTTCTAAGTTACCAAAACCTTTGAAGTTAAGACTTAAAATTGTCTTAAAAATGATAGTGTATTCCAAAACCCAGTTGAAAAGTCTGAATACCCATGAACTCAAAAAATGTGTCCCTCATGTCTGGCTGTTTAGTGGCACAGCAAAATTTGACATCTAGACTTCTAACTTGTTCAGAGTGTTTCTCTCCACACACTCTCATAATTAACTCAGTCAAATCTGTTTATCTTAAGTGTCTAAGATAAACTCTTTTCTCTCCATTCGTAAAGCTGTAGAGAGTGTATTCTAAAAGCCAGCAATATGAACCTATTTTATGTCCCATTATCTTTTAAGAGACTGTTAAAATAGGAAATATAGGCATTTTATAAAGTAGTTTTTTTTATTATTTTGGTCACAAAAAATATTCAATACAACAGAATTATACAGTTTGTTGGCTTATAATTTATTATAGTATCATAAATAAGGACAAAAATCCCTGTAATATTACAGATAGGGTACTAACTGCAGTTGATTGTCACATAGAAAGAAGAGGTAAAAATTTTAACTATAAAGTCAATCGGCAAGATAAAAAGAAACGAGTACAAATAGCGGAGAAGAACAGTTTCAAAATTATTATGGCACATGGTGACTACACAAAAACATGTCAGTCTGCTTTAAATATTCACTATCTTGTTCATGTTGATATATCATTACTGGTTATATAATTTAGGTTGAAGAAAAGTGGGGGAAAGCACATGTAACTTATTGGTAGAATTAAAAAGTTATAGTTAGAACACAGATATTTCCCTATTTTTTTCTATAATAGCACCCATGATTCACATCCTGCCGCTATGTGAGACAGCCTGAAGGAGGACACTATGAGTTTCCAAGTGTCTGCAGACTAATTTCACATGAGCCTACTCTCATTATTTTCAGGCGTTGGTATCATCTTAATTTAAACGGCTCAATTGCATTAAATATTATATTTAATTGGCAAATTGTTGAAGTAGTCATTCTATTTTAAAATTGCTTCCTTTGTGAATAATAATCTTTAATAATGATAACAGAATGGCTTAAGACAGTTTACTCTACCTCTTTACATTCTAGGTAACAAACCAAAGTGCAAATGCTAATCATTAAATTTTACCTCCTTCCACTTGTACACGCACACATAAGTGCATACACATACCTTCACACCCATACAAAAATTAGACTTTATACAGTATCTTCAATTGAGCAAGTAACTGTAATGCAAAGAGGTACTTCCAGCATGCAATTCATCCTCAATAAATTTAAAAAGGCCCTCTTCTGCATATATAAATGTGTAGGATCACAAATTTAAAAGGACAGTTTCTTATTGATATAATGGCCATACATTCCTAGAACACTTACATAGTTAACCCCAAATTCAGTTGGAAACTGTGTAAAATGTCTGTGACATATACTGTGATCTATCTTCTGCTTTTACACCGTCATAAGTTATGTTTCAACAAGTGTAATAATTGCCTAAATTTTACTTCCTCTCACGTTCACTAGATTCTCACTTTCCCTGATTGGCAATAGTATTTCTTCTTAATGCGTTATTAAATAGCATTGAATTGTCTAATTTTCTCGGATTTCAATCCTGAGGTATACATTTCCATTTTCTTTGTTGATCTAGCACAGGCTCAGGTGATTTCTATATAATGCATCCAATTAGTTCAAACAAGGCAAATGAAATCCCATATATACTAATCTCCACATTATTAACTATAAACAGTAACAAGATACATATCCACACTCTTTGCTTGAGTCCATTCAAGTGCAAACTGAAGAAAAAGAATTTCCTGTTCTTCTTTTCATACTCCTGAGTATGGCGATATCTGATTCTGTTTCCCCACAGTAATTGATAAGATTGCAAAACCTCTCTCACATCCCTCCTTTATTCCATATTGAGAGCTTGATTTTTTTCACTTGTTTAAAAAGCACAGTTTGATTCCTTTTTGCAGAGATCTTATTTTAAAGCCTTTTTTGTTTTCTTCAAACTCAAAGCTTCATTTTAATCAGTTAGTGATCCTGCCCCTTGGGAATCGATTTCTTTTTACACAAGACAAATCCAGGTCTATTAGGATCCAACATATTGAGTTGGAACACTGCATATATTTCACTTACGAGCACATACATTCATTTTACACGATTCCTCAATGTGGCCAGAGGGGTTCATGGTCTGCACTGTATCCACCTATAAAAAATACAAAAATATATGTCTGCTTTACAGGGATGTGAGTAGGGTTTTGCCAGCCTAGTTCCAAAGCTTGGACTGCACATCTTGGCTGATAGTATTCTTTCCTTCTTTAAGATGTATTTGCAGTAGCCATAACCTCTTTCAGAAGCCATAGAGACATAACAGTCCTCACTACAATTAACAACCCTGAGGCATCTAAATCAATACAGCTGGCTAATCTCAGGGATGCTATCTCTGACAAGAGATGTTTGCATGGTATAAGAAACACTGCATTTAGTGTGTTTCAGAGTTTAAGCTTTTCAAGGCTATGAAATGTCAAAAGAGGGCTGGGGGAGTGTTGTTTGCTTTCTTTATATTACAAATACAAATAAGAATGAAATGGTAACTTTGTTGTCAGTGCTTTTACAACTTGCACATCCCTAAGATCTCAGAGATGTGAGCTTGATCTGAATGTTCACACCCTTCCAAGTAGCTCTAGTCTCTTAATGCAATCATTAGATAGCTCACTTTCTCTATAGAAATTGGGGCAAGTTATATGCTATCAACAAATGGCCTGCTAATCTCTGGTCAAGGATGAATTACGCCCCTTTTCAAAGTCATGACTGTAAAAGCACAATGTTTCCTAACTTTGTTTCTAGTTTGGAAAAATAAAAGTTATGATAAAAACTCCTTCAAAATATTTTGGTGCTAATGTCAGTTTTAAATAGTGTTAAATATTTCTCTGAACTTGAGCCTGACCAACAGGTCAATTTCTACTTTCGGTGCCAGAAAGTACACAAAGTGTCTTTTTCCAATTCGATGGTGGTACAATTGATGTTAGTAAAATCTTAGTAAGTCTGAATATTGCCAAAAAATAATAATAAATCACTTTCATAGAGTAAACATGGTACATTTCACTGCCCAAAGTGCTTATTTTTAAGAATTAGGATCAGAGAAGAGAAATATTCCACTTAATTTCCAATGTAACAATGCATCAGCACACTAGAGTCAAAGTTAGAAAAGAAATTAATGACTTATTTCACTGAATGTTGGACCAACTTATTTGTGAAAGTAAATGGTGTAATAAAACAAGTAATGACTAACTTTAAAATTAATCGTTTAGAGAACAGAAAATGCATTAAAATGCTCTGACAGTATATTATCAATATTAGCTGTATAAAGTTAAGCAGCATTAAAATATGTCTTAATTTTAAAATGTAAATGGTGTCTTCTTCTAGAAATAAAAACAATATCTTTTTGTTTCTCTAGCAATAGCTTTAAAAATTAATATATATGGGAATATTTGGGCTACTTACATAAAGCAAAACACATTTACCAAGGCATCTATAAGTGAATCTTTATGATTTAAATTGTAAGTTTCAGAAAGTTCATGTTAATTTACACAAACCATATCACTGCACATTTAATTCTAAAATTCCTTATACACAGATGAAAGCTAAATATTTCAAAGTTTCTGATATCGTGCGTTATTTACTAACCAACTAAAACTACCTTAAAGTAATGTATACCAGGACCACATTAGATTTTCCTATTATGCACTTTTCTTATATATGGTATGATTCCATAGCAGTTATCAACTATTTAACTATTTTTGTGAAGTTATTCATTTAATTATCACATTCTATACAAGGCTACCATGTGGTCTATGAAGGCAAATATCATGTACTTTCTGTTTCTTTTCAGTGTTTTTGGTACATGTTTGGTTGCCCTGAAAATTGGATTAATGAATACATGCATATTTGGAAATAACCAATTAGGGAAATCATATTACTTGTTATATCATAGTATCACATATGTAATTTTAATATTTTGAAATCACAAGGTTATCTTTGACTTTCTATTGTTTATCATATTTTAGATTGTGGAATACACCTCTTTCAAACTATAGTAAATGCTCTTTATTTTGCTAACATCCCCATTTTGCCCCTTTTTTTCCCCATCTCTCTCTTAAATTTAGTCTAACAACCTAAAATTTCATTAAGCTTCTCTTGTTAATTCTTCTCCTATAATAGTATTTCTCTTCTTTTCTTAAGCGAAAGATACTATGTAAAATTTTCTGCAAGGTTTTTAATAAATGAATAGATAGGAAAAACATTTTTTTAAAAAAATAGGAAATTATAGGTGTCAAATGTTTTAATTTTTATTTTCAGGACCTGATTTACACTTTTAACTTAAAAGCATCCCCAGGAATATAATGCATTTAAATGTTACATTAATCATATTGCTATGCAGCATAATGAAGTCCACGTATTAAAATGTTATCGAGGAACAGAAACTCTCTCATTTCATATGTTAACTACATAAGAACAGGCTTCTATTTTTGTGGTTTAAGCTGTGATGTGCTCAACAAATGCAATGGTGTACTAATACTCACCTGTCACTAAAGCCAAAAGAAATAGGTACTTTTCTCACCATTAAAGATTAAATGTTTAGAAACAAAAAGTGCCTATCTTGAATCACTTATTGAGTTTATACACAACTACTTAGGAATCACCATTCTGAAAATTGTCTTTGGTAAGGGTCAGAGTAGAACTGGATGTTACCAGAATGTGTTGGTTTTGATTTGAATCAGCTAATTAAAATGGCCCTGGAAGCAATTTTCAGATCACAGACACTGAGGAGATATGCTCTAGTAAATCAGACCAAACCAATCTTTCAGTCAAGTCCAATTCAGCTGAAGTTGTATAGACATGGCCTTTGTCTTTGCCTTTCAACCTTTCTCCTGGATTTGTTCTATCACTCAGGCAACAAGTCTCTCACACATACACACACACACACACATACACAAACAAATGCAGATGAAGCCACATCATTCCTTGAGCAGCTTCTACCAGGTTATCTCTGTGTCTCACTCAGCTTCCATTTCATACCCCAGAGGCTAAATTAAGCTGAGAACTTTACTTAAAAAAATCAGTAAAATGTTCACTTATATAAAAGCTATATTGTTTACCTTCTCTAGACCTTCTTGGCCAACAATAGGTAACTAGTGCTAGGAGAAGAAAACTGAATTATGCAGAGAATTGGAAAAGAACTCAGACCTCAGTACAAGAACACACTGCACACCCACACATAGGAATAAACCTGTCCTTTATCTGTGACCCTGAAAAACTTCAAAACCACAGACAGGGAAATATATATATTTTAAAAGAAACAGATGTCTGTTTTTCTTCTTATTTTTATTAGGTATGCTTCAATACTAAATCATGCACTATGTAATTGGTGTAGATTAAGTACAAGTATCTGTTGAATGTGTTTGCATATAATTGGCAATACGTAAAATGATTCCATGAATATTCATTATCTTTTTCCTTGTCTAATGTTCAAATCTAGGGAAAAATAAAAAGTATGACATAAAACGCAGAGTATGGTCCATGACCCAGAAAATCAAATTGATGTTAAGTTTCCATAGTCTAACAACAGGAAGTTGATGTTAATTTTTAGAGCATAAATGCATAATAGAGGAGTTGAACCATTGGTTAAGAATAACCAGTGTTATTATTAACATTGAAAAGTTTATTGGTTTTTTTTCTTTTTTAATACTAGGAAACCATTTGAAATGAAAGACAGGACATAGAGTGAACATGGGATTTAGGAAAGTGGAGGACTATGAGAAAGACAATTTTGGTTGGTATTTTGGTATTTCACTTTCTTCTCATTTATACAAATGATATATCAAAAACCATAAATGACAATAATTATTAATTACTGTGACAGTTGTATAGATGTTGATGGGGCTCAAGAAACACCACCCCAAAATATGGTACCTTGGCATTTGAGAAAACAGCAGGAGCAGGAAAGCCAACTCTCACCTTCCCCTTGCCCTTCTCCCTTGAAGCAGGTCATAAGACCCTCATTCGAGAGGTGCCCTCCATATACTCGAAGGAAAGGAACATCCTTATCTTTGAAGACACAGTGCCACACAGAAGAATCTGAACAAGTAGGCCTTGCTAAGTTCCCCTCAGTTTATAGACATTAAACCACATCTCTTTTGTCCAATCATACTTTTCTATGACTACCCACATCTTCATCAAACCCAAGCATAAAAACATATGTTTACTTATTTCTTTGGGTCTTCATTTTTTAATGAGGGCTCCCATGTCATGGAAAACTTATATTAAATAAATTTGCATGCTTTGCTGTTATTATTCTATCTTTTGTTATGGGTGCCTCAGCTATCAATCTAGCAATGGTTAAGAAAAAGAAATCTTTTCTCTCCTACAATGTTTATTACAAGATTGCATTTAACTATCTAATTTAACCTCAAAAAGTCCTTGTAAAGTAGGAATAATATTTTTCTCATTTTACACTTGAAACAGAAGCTCAGAGTGTTTAATCTGCTTATGTAAAATCACACAGGTAAGTGGTAGAATTAGGGCTCAAATCAAATAGGTTCCCCTTACATTATGTTTCCTCACATTTATTTTTTTAAATCCAAGTTCAAATCTTTTTAAAATAGACAGCAAAGTTATCATTGTAGATATCTCCATTTTTGGCATGTTTAAGAAAAAATAAGCAAACTTATACAAGTTTCCTAAACTAATATAAAAAAAGTGTTAAGAAGCTCAGTTCTAGAAACTTCCATATATATCATACTCTATCATGATTATTTAAATTCACAAATATATATTCTATCATAATTATTTAAATAGATGCATACACATGAAGCAACTTCTACATACCTGAAAGTTGTCTAAATTGCAACATGAAAAAGAATTAATTAAAAGACTCATTCTATCCAATCAAAGAAAGGGAAGTCTATACCCATTTACATAAGTTAGAGTATACACACACACAAAGGCCATTAGCGCCGTTTGAACTATACTCTTAAAAATAAGTATTTTAGTCAGCGAGTCAACCACTGATTAGCTACATAAGAAAAGGAGATAGAGGCCAGGCGTGGTGGCTCACGCTTGTAATCCCAGCACTTTGGGAGGATGAGGCGGGCGGATCACCTGAGGTCGGGAGTTCAAGACAAGTCTGCCCAACATGGAGAAACACCGTTTCTACTGAAAATACAAAATTAGCCGGGCATGGTGGCGCATGCCTGTAAACCCAGCTACTTGGGAGGCTGAGGCAGGAGAATCGCTTGAACCCAGGAGGTGGAGGTTGCAATCAGCCAAGATCACACCATTGCACTCCAGCCTGGGCAACAAGAGGGAAACTTCGTCTCAAAAAAAAAAAAAAAATAGAGAGATAGAAAATATTATACGAATTCCTCATCATAGATACTTGGCCCTGACTTCAGAGTATAAATGATTTGGGAACTTACAAAAGAATGCCTTGGGGCCGGGTGCGGTGGCTCATGCCTGTAATCCCAGCACTTTGGGAGGCCGAGGCCGGCGGTTCACGAGGTCAGGAGATCGAGAACATCCTGGCTAACACGGTGAAATTCTGTCTGTGCTAAAAATACAAAAAATTAGCCAGGCGTGGTGGTGGGCACCTGTAGTCCCAGCTACTCGGAAGGCTGAGGCAGAAGAATGGCCTGAACTCAAAAAAAAAAAAAAAGAAGAACGCCTTGGGTTGGATAGCCAAGCAATCAGTGTTTCCTCACTGGCTGTTAAAATCATGGAATCCCAGGATTCATTAGAAAGAATACCATATGTATGTATCAGCCCAGTCATGTAAGAGGCATGGAAGGAAATACAAAGCACCATAAAACACAGTCCTGGTTCTGAGGAAACTTTTATTTATCTTTTGAAATGGTAAAACTATTTCTTATAGTTTTACTTACTTGGCTCTTACATTTTTCTCTCCAAGGTTACAATCTGCTTATATGTACAAAGTTGACAGGAAGATACAAGGTGAGGTCAGAAAACAGTGAGAGGATTTAGTTTCCCTGCCTAAACCAGAGATTTTCTTAATTCCACTCAGCTCCGTCATGAGCTGTTTTTCCTATTGTCTCTACTTAGCTGAAGCCTACATAAAATAGAATCGAGTATACTAAGAAAAAACAAACAAACATAACAAGGCTGTTCTGAACATCCTCAATTAGACGTACACAGACAAATTAATTCAATAACTATCAAAAGACAGAGTATTCAAATAAAACAACTATTTGTCAAGAGAATGCTAATGTAATTAAGTATGTAAAGATTGGTGCTCTAGAAGAGCCTGTTCTTCAATGTTAAATCATCTTTCTCTTGGTCCATACTTTTATTTTATTGTTTTTATAAAAACAACTATTTTATTTGTTTCTTGCTTTTTTTTTTTTTTCTTTTCGACGGAGTCTTGCTCTGTCACCCAAGCTGGAGTGCAGTGGCACAGTCTCAGCTAACTGCAACTTCTGTCTTCTGGGTTCAAGCGATTCTCCTGCCTCAGTCTCCTGAGTAGTTGGGACTACAGGCATGTGCCACCACGTCCAGCTAATTTTTGTATTTTTAGTAGAGATGGGGGTTTCTCCATGTTGACCAGGCTGGTCTTGAACTCCTGACCTCAGATGATCTACCTGCCTCGACCTCCCAAAGTGCTAGGATTACAGGCGTCAGCCACCCCGCCTGGCCAGAAAACAACTATTTTAAAGAAACACCCTTTCTGAATCAGGGAAGGATACAGATTACTACAAATAGACCATACCACTATGCACTATATAAGTAAAACATTAGAATGGATCCCAGCTTTAGAGTTCTAATTACATTTGGCCAAAGTTAAGAGTTAATTCATTTCCATTCTGAAGGCTCATAATAAAAACGTAAAATGATACAAACTTAAACTATCATTATTATCCTCTTCAGGCCATAATACCGGCCACCTTTGGAAACAAAAGCAGTATTGGCTGGTATTCATGTGCCAAGGCTGCCTGAGAGAAACAGAGACTAGATGCTAATGAGAAGATGAAGTGAATAGCAAGTTTGGCTGTCCTTAAATGACACTAAAATTGCAATCATGTGCCTAAAAAATTGAGAGCTACTTGGGGAGCCTTGAACACCCACAGAGAAGAGTAGAAAAATACAAAGTATTTCCAGGTGATTGATAAACCCACTAACAGTTTGATCTACTAAAAAGCAAATTAATTAAATGTCCAAGGAATTAATTGAGACTTGAATTTGTAAATGTGAGATAGGACAAAATTAGAAATTACAAACAGTTTCCTCTTTATGAAAAATATGTTAATAATCTAAGAACTGGCACAGTGATTCTATATGATCCCTTTGGTTGATAATACGTGAATTTCTAAGTTGAATATAACTATCTTTTAATATGATTTGTGGTTTACCAGCTTCAAAAACCTATGCTTTCTGACCATTAGAAAGTTCTAGAAATGTTTTCAGAAAGACTTTTTGTAAACACTAAGACATTGATTTAAAGATTGATATGAACATATTTAAATATTGATTTTGGTACAAGAAAGACATTACATTACTATCTAATGTAGAAATATAATTTCAGAAATGAGACCAGGGGCTGGGCCTAGTGGCTCATGCCTGTAATCCCAGCACTTTAGGAGGCGGAGGCGGGCAGATTGCCTGAGTGTAGAAGTTTGAGACCAGCCTGGGCAACATGGCAAAACCCCGTCTCTACTAAAAACACAAAAAAACAGCCGGGTGTGGTGGTGAGCACCTGTAATAATCCCAGCTACTCAGGAGGCTGAGGCAGGAGAATCGCTTCAACCCGGGAGGCAAAGGTTGCAGTGAGCTGAGATTGCACCACTGCACTCCAGCCTGAACGACACAGAGTGAGACTCCGTCTCCATTTAAAAAAAAAAAAAAAAAAAAAAAAAAAACGGAGTAAGGAGGCCATTTGGAATCATTCTTTACCAGATTATTTACTTTACTAGTGATAATGCTGAAACCCAGAGATGTGACAGGACATGTTCAATATAACATTGCAGACCTTAGATTGAAAGCAAATGTATTCACTCTCAATTCGGCTCTTTATTTCCACTTAAATTATGAGAATTATATCACAAAGACGTTGAAGATTTGGGGATGAGATTATTTAAACAAAGACTAAGTATCTCTAATTCCAGTACAACCCAGTTGTGAAATGCAGGAAAGATAAATAAGTTACACCGGTATCCTTTTAATTTATAGCAAATTTTGCATTAATAATATCAGTTGGTTCATCAAAAAGAATAAACAGCAATGCAAAAATCCCAGCAAAAATGTGTTAAATACAAAAAAAAATTCTTTGTAGTAAAGTTTCTGTGTGATGTGAGATGAATTTGGAGAATCTCCTTTTATTTTTGAAGAGTTTGAAAAAAATCATAAAATATAATCAAAGTTACTTTAAGTCAAGCTTTGTCATATTTTCATTTTAAATTTTGGGGGTATGTTTCCAATCAATATAGCATATAATTTTAACATGCACATTGTATGAAAAGCATTGAAAATCTTATACTTCAAAATAGATCATAAGTCTTAAAATGCTTGATTACAAGGCAATATGGTTTTCTCAACAGAACAAAAAAAAGATTATTTGCTTCTCTTTTGCTCTTTTGTATTATAAGTGCAGCGTGATGTATTAGTTTAATTAAAGTCTACCAAATTATCATAAGGATTTTATGTGCTACAAATAATTGGCTTTTTGTTCTCTGCTCACTTTTTGTTAATGGAAGCAGAATTTTTTTTAATGATACTTAGTATATAAGACAACAGAACACTACAGGGAAGAAAGGCAAATGAGGTGTCTAATGAAGTGACCTTTGGCATCTTGGACTGGAAATAAAATGAAGACTGCACTAATGCAATGAAAAAGTCAATGTTTCCAAAGGGTTAAAAGGATAGATCATATTATGGCTCAAAGCCAAACTACACCTAGAATCCTACCATATATAAAAATGGCAATCCTATTAATATGAAAAGATGATAGGCTCTAAAATTTAGTAAAATGTACAAGCAGATAAGATTTTTTAAATGTATACTAGAATGAATCAATCGTTTTATGTGAAAGATTTAGGTTGTTATTCAGATAGAGTTATACTACCAGATACCTCTTTAATAATAGGCAAATATAGCACACAAGTGAACATAGAATTAATAAATGTAACGTAGTAAATGAAAGTTGTTTCACAAAGTAACAGTACTAACATAACCACTCTTACTAAAGGTGAGTGGGAACAAATTATAATTAAAATATACAAGCATTTACATGGCACTGCTATTTCTAACAGTAATATAATAAAAACTGAGAATAACCTCTGAACTTGAAATCAACCCACTGATTATAGAATCTGAAAATCAGAAACTACCAGTGACTCCCATACAGTGTGATTCTAAAGCACTTTACATAATATTCATAGGACGTAAATGATAATCAGCAATGCTTCTTTTGTTAAAATTATGTGATCACCACTCATTTACTACTACCTTGAAAGAAGCATAATGTATGTATTACAGGATTCCTGAAATGTTTGAGCTTTTAATTCATCCTCTGAATTACTTTTTAAAAATTTTCTGCTGTTATTCTTGGCGTCAAAACATGTTAAGAGTTTCAATTAGTGATACTAACATTCTACTGAAAGTTTGTAAGGTTTCAGGCTGACATGCCAGGTCACTAGAAAGTAGATACTATCCAGTGACCACATTTCACAAAGAAGGAACTCAGGAACTGAGAAATTAACTTTCCCCAAATCACAGATCTAAAACGGCAGTATTGGAGTTTTAAGCACAGGAAGTCTCACCCTGGTCTTTGTTCTCTTAAGTAGACTACACTCCACTGCCTTTCCAATGAGTGATTACATTGTTCTTAAAAGCAAGTTTTGTCAAACTTGTTATACCTTTTCAAATGTACCTCAACAACACTTTTCAGGTAGGGAATATTACTGGGATTTTTAATATATCCATAAAAATTAGTATCTAGCTAACCTTAAGTTCTTAACTGAAACTCTCTCTCCCACTTACACACACACACACACACACACACACACCACATATCAAAATTATAATCATATTTCTGAAGAACAACCAGTACGTGTACCTAATGATATACTCAAATGGTGTTAAGCCTGTAGGTTTTCCTCATTTCTTAAAGGCACCACTTTGTTCTTGTGAAATCTTATGACCTCAAAAGCCAAACTAAAAATTAAGCCAAGAAAATGATAGTCTCCCCAACTCGTGATACATTTTTTTCAATGATAATTCTCTCATTGGTTGTCTCTGAAGAAACGGTCTCAGGAAGGAATGTTCCTCAGTGAGTGCACATGCATACTTTGAACAGATATACTTGATTTACTTCATTTGTTTCAAGCCAAAGAGTGAAAGGGAATCTTTGACAAAACTGTCATCTCTAAAACATGGTGATATTTCATTTTCCCCTTCTGCACTATTTAGATTGCTTCGAACTGAAATGCTTCCAGCAGATCCTATGTCCAATTTTTCAAAGTTGTCACTTCCTAGCAAATCTGCTTAAGCAAAATATTTATGTTGTTAGAAAACAGAACAAACATACTTATAGACTACATTCCATTCTTCTTTGCAGGTCAGAGTCTTATTCAAGAATGGGAACTTGGAAGAACATGTGGAAATAAATTAGAAGATGACTATGATGGATTGGTTTAAGTCAATGAATGTGGTACACCTCTGATTAGTTTCCAAAGATACACTTGGACTTAGTTCAGTATAGTTTTCCATACAATAATCATATAATCAAAATGTTATCTTCAATGCATTCACCAAAGGTCATAAAATTTAAAAGAACAAATCCAGAGGAAAATGGGACAATGAAAGACGACCATGGTTACTCTTCCTTAGTTCATGTCTATAGCAGCTATTATAATGTACTTGCCAACATTCTATGTCTTAGAGGGAAATGAAAAATCGCCAAGCGTTACACTTGTAGACCTCTGGCCTTTCTGAAATGTGGGCATCATAACTCATATCTTTTTTTTTTGCAATGGAGTTTCACTCTGTCACCCAGGCTGCAGTGCAGTGGTGCAATCTTGGCTCACTGCAACCTCTGTCTCCTGGGTTCAAGCGATTCACCTGCCTCAGCCTCCCGAGTAGCTGGGATTACAGATACGCGTCACCATGCCTGGCTAATTTTTATATTTTTAGTAGAGATGGGGTTTCACCACGTTGGCCTCAAACTCCTGACCTCGTGATCCTCCCGCCTTGGCCTCCCAAAGTGCTGGGATTACAAGCGTAAGCCACCATGCCCGTCCTATAACTCATATCTTATAATAGCTGAATGAGAGAAAGCACAACAGAAGCAAAATTCGAAATAATGATTACAAGAATCAATTGTATGAAAGGAAACAAAATTTGTCATTCTTAAGCAACTTCCAAATGTAAGAATAAATATGTTTGAAAGGTTCAGTGATGCTGTCTTGAAACATTACTCAATACCCTTAGTATAGAGTATACTTTCTGAATATACACACACACACTCACACACACACTCCAAGTTGTATATATTTAGATATACAATATTTATCATAGATGGAACTTATTCCCCTCTATGCATGATTACATAATGCTTGCTGAAATTAATCTTTTCAAAATTATGCACTAAAAATTACCTAAGACTTACAATTCCTTCCATTACTTTAAAAAGCTAGTCATGTCTCAGCAAAAGCCAAGACTGCTTATGGTGTACAATCTGAAACCCAATTCTCTCTCGGCACTTTAACAGTAGATCTGTCACCCTTTAACACCACAAAATCAATACCCTGGAATGTCATGGTTCTCTGATGGCCCACAAAGTCAAGACATGATCAATTTCAACTCCCTTACTAGACAGAAATAGACTTAGACAAATAAAAGATTCCATTCAAGTTAAATTCTATAAAACAAAAGAATAAAGAAGGAGTCAAAGCTGTTAGAATTCAGTCCAACAAATTTACACTTAAATCTAAATCAATTTTTAAGCCAACTAAATTGCACACACAGTCATAAGGTATGTATTATAACTTGTAAAAAGCATATGAATTACTCCAATCTATAGATTAAGAAATACTATCAGTTAGGTATGTCTTCATTACATTTGGTAATAAACAACAGGAGAATGACGGCCTCTGAGTTCTATACTATATATCCCTAGAACATAAGAGCAGAAATCTTCTATTTCTTGTCATAAACTGTATATTGTACGTAGAACAGTCCCTGATGCAGAGTAAGCCCTTAATAAATATCTAATTACTCTATGAAAAGTATTGCATACTTTAAATATATCTGGCACATAAACTCTATGAGGGCCAAGGGTCACTCTTTCTTGTTCACTGCAATACCCCGGCTTCTGTTGTGCCTAGCACATTAGCAGGCACTCAATGAACATCTGCTGATTTGAATAAACAGAGGATTCTGCGGAATTTAAATGACAGACTTCAAGAATTTTTTTCTGTAATAAACACTTTATACACCAGTGGTTTTATTTTGCTCCAAAATTTTGACATACATAAACATAAAAACTTATTATTTAGTAATACTTTAAAAAGCTAGGCCTAAGAGTTAAGAGGCATGGAGTGTGGTTTTGGTTCACTAACTTGCTGTGTAACTTTGCCTCTCCATGTCTCTCCAGTTTCATCTATGAGATGCAAAGGAAGGGTACAGAGAGAACAAGACAGTTCTCAAGTATCCTCTTGGGAATATGTAGGTATATACACCCTCCTGGGTATGGGTGGAGACAGGGATTCAGAAGAAATCAATGAAAGGGACTCTAGAGGTCAGAGAAAAGTCAGAAAGCAATCCTATTAAGAGACATAAAAGAAATTGAAATCACTCAACTGAGCAAAGAAAATGCTGAAAAAGCGTAACTGAAGCAAAACTACATGGGAGAACTTAGAAGCATGTGGTACCAAGATCTCAGGTGCTACTTCCAGTCCCACTAAATGGAATATGGGATGGCCCATTCCTTTGTCTTCCAATGTCATAAAAATTAAAAAGAAAAACCTTCACACTCCCATCTAGCTTGTCCCTAGGGGAAGCTGTGTGACATAATTCTGACCACAGAATTATGTGGTCAGAAGATATACAGAAAAATCTTTGGGAAGGGAATCCCTCCCAGAATAGAAAGGAAATGGGATGAAGTGAAGTTTTCCCTCAACTTTCTCCCCACCTGAAATAGGAACTTAGTGGCTGGAGAGACAGCAACCCTCTGGGGAATATGGTAATGAAAATAAAATATTTATGATGGTGGGCAAGAGGAAAGCAGCACCATGATTCTTCAGTGGAAGTTGCGGATGACTTCTAGAGTCTTGTATAAGGAAAACATAAACCCCTCATTCCACTCTGTTGAATCTATTTCTTGCAGCTGAGTGCATTCCTAAGCAATACATTCCCAAAAAAGAAAAAGAAAAAAAAAATAGAAGGTTTATCCAAAAAAAGAGAAGAAAAACACAATGTATGATTATGAGAGGTCCATGATGCTACTAACAGACACTAAATACAGGGCTGTAGGTGTTTTCGTCTGATCAACTACCATGTTTCACATACTTTTATATTGCTGACACCTTGCAGAAAGGAGACCACTTTCAAGTGTAAAATCTTTGAACCAGGAATCAGAAATCATGGGTTTCCCTTCTGGCTCTTTCACTTAAAAACACACTCAACTTTTAGCAAGAAATTCTTCACTATAAAATAGAAAGTAGGCTGGGTGTGGTAGCTCATGACTGTAATCCCAACATTTTGGGAGGCCAAGGTGGGTGGCTTACTTGAAGTCAGGAGGTTGAGACCAGGCTGGCCAAGATAGTAAAATCCCGTCTCTACAAACATTCAAAAATTAGCTGGTTGTGTGGTGGCACATGCCTGTAGTCCCAGCTACTTGGAAGATTGAGGTGTGAGAATCACTTGAACCTGGGAGACAGAGGTTGCAGTGAGCCGAGATTGTGCTACTGCACTGCAGCCTGGGTGACAGAATGAGACTTTATCTCACAAAAAAAAGGGATTAGATAAATAAATAAAATAGAAAGTATAGCATTTATTTGATAAAGGAATTGTTAGGATTAACAAGATAATACATGTAAAAACACTTTCTAAAAACTTACAGCACTTTACTAATAGCTGTGTATATGGGATGACATAAGTAAAATACTGAGCACAATTTTGGGCACACAGTAAGTGTTTATTTATCATTACCACTGTTATTATTCAAAGATACCTATCCATAGCTCCTTGAGAAAATCCCTGCCTTGCTAGAGTCACAGTCCTTCAGAAGGCATATTCCTGCCTCATGACTCTTCTCTTCTAGGCATGGCAGATGGAATGAAGAGTCAACTCTTAACCAAGCTGAGCCAGAGTTTCTCTCCCTGGCATTTGAAATAGCCACCCAAACACAGTAGCAGTTTTGTAGGTAAACAGGCATATAACAGGCTAATTCAGGAACTATGAAGTTGTCAGCCATGCTTTACCTCTAGAAAAGAAAAAGATAACAAAGAAAGAGATAGAGAAAGAGAGGGAGGGAGACAGAATACACATGATGGCCTTGAATTTCCAATCCATTTCTGAAGATTAGGTCCCATGTATTCCCAACTTTAGCATAAAATGTCTTCCGCTGATTTCTCATATTGGAAACCAAAGAGTTTTAACTAAATACATTCATTTTAGTGTTGGCATTGAAACATGTTTCAGGTTGGTTATACAAAATCAGAACCTATGGAAGTGTACAAGAAAAGGTGACCCATAGCTGAGAGCGGTGGCTCACGCCTGTAATCCCAGCACTTTTGGAGTCTTAGGCGGGCGGATCACCTGAGGTCAGGAGTTTGAGACCACCCTGGCCAACATGGTGAGACCCCATCTCTACTAAAAATACAAAAATTACCCGGCGTGGTGGCAGGCATCTGTGATTGTAGCTACTCAAGAGGCTGAGGCACGAGAATCGCTTGAACCCTGGAGGCGAAGGTTCCAATGAGCCGAGATCACACCAATGCACTCCAGCCTGGGCGACAGAGCAAAACTCCATCTCAAAGAAAAAAAAGAAAGAAAGAAAAGGCTATCTATATTCCTATATTCCCTTCTTCTTCTATCACTTTACGTTACCTTTATGATTTTATGATAAAATTTCATAAAGCATTTTATGAAATAAAAAGGCATTCACAGTTAATAACCGAGGATAATTTCCTATTTATTTATGATTCCCGGTGTCTGCAATCATTAAAGAAAATTTCAGATTTGTTAAAATCTTAAAGTTACAAAATATTTTCTGGAATGATTAATCTGAGAGTCTTCTTGCAAAACAAAATTTAAAAATCACATTTATGTATAAAATTGTGTACTTTTCTTTTCTGTGAGCAGCAAAGAGCTCCAGGAGGAGAATAGATTTTAGGTGCCAAGGAAACAGAACTGACCAACTTCTAACCCCCAGCCCCCACGAGTGCCTATTGAATGCTAAGATCCTCTGACTGCATTATGGTACCCAGATCCTAGAATCAAATTATGGCTTTTCTGAAGGTGGGCACAGCCAAATTGCTGAATGCGTTTGGATAGAGTCCCAGAATGCAAGGGCTTATGTTTACAGTCTTATTTTGTTTTGTTGACAATGAAGTACAACTTCTGAGTTTCCCTATAATCCTAATTTAACAACAGTCATTTGTCAGATCTAGAACTGGTTCAAATATGGTCATTTTTATGTAGCTAGGGCAAAATTATGAATTCGTTCAAAATAAGAAACACAAATTAAAAACAAGAAATGTGGAGGAATATTTCCATCTGGTGAAAATAAATAGATCAAATAGCACTTATTTCCTGTTTAGAACACTTAGGTAACTTATTTTATCAAGGAAATGTTAGCTCCCAATAGAAATAAGTTTTAGGGTGTGACCTTCCCAGAACTAAGAAGACCTAATCTAGTGTTCACATTTGAAATTGTCACAGCTCAAACATAAACTGCCTGCTTACTCGTGGTGTTCTGTGGTGGGAAAAAAATAGTTACAGAAAGTAAGGTTGCTTATATTTTGCAAAATTTCTTTCATAATAAATCATATAGTGTATATGGTTGTTTTTTTAAAAGACAAATGAAAGACAATCTTGTTTTCCCCTTCAAAATGTGGTTCTTGTGTAACTTCAGTTATAACAAATGGAACACGGTGAAAATTATTTAATGACTTTTTTGTTCAATTTTCCAGTTTTTTAATGGGGAAGTTGCATTTCATTCCTATGTACTTAATAGGAATTTTGGCAGGCTTCCAGCTTATAATCATCTGGAAGCACATATTATAACTTTAATTATAACTTCTAAGCTAGAAGAGTAGTTAGCATGATGTAGGCATTCAGTTACTGTTACTGCAGTGAATGAATCTATAAGGCAGAAATGTACAAGCTATCATCCAGCTAGCACTCAATTCCCACCTGAGTTTCATATTTCTCTTTCCATTTACTTCACCCCAAACAGTTTCCATAACAAACATATTGGGTAATAGGGCCAAGACACTCAAGCTATTTCTTATTGTTTAGAAGCAGGAAGTCATAAACCATTTCAAACCACATTCCCATAACTAAGGAAATCTGCCAAAATACATGAAAGCAATAATGATTTATTCCTTGAAGGAAAAGAAAACCTGATGGACTATTTCATGTGAGGACAACTGGAACTTGGTACGTTAGTAGCACTGGTGGAATCTACTTTTAGAACAGATATTACTTGTTTGAAAATAGAGCATGAAATGATGTTAATCTGCAAGTGGAGAAAGCTGTTCATAGCTCTCTAATCACAGCATGGTGTACCTGAGTCATCTGCCCTTTCATTTTTGAACTCAGGATACCCACCAAGCCTGTTCCAATGGCCATTACGAGTACACCACTCTTAATAAATTCAATGGGTGTTTTTCAAGTACAAAGCCTGCGGGATTGGCCACTTCAGGCTAAATTTTAGCTGCATAATCAAGAATATAGCTGAAAATGCCAATTAATGGTGCAAAGCACAAAGGATCAAGCTCTAGCTATAGAAAAACCATTTATGGACTAAAAGTATCACACCTTGTAATCCATCCCTGACTTTGCAGGATGGCACATCTGAATATTAATAATAAAGCTATCTGAATAAGTTCCTTCTAAAAAGTAAAAACTGATGAACAGTGTAAACTCTTAGCTTAAAGAATTATGTAAGATAAACATAAAGTGAAAAAAGTCCTTATATACTGAAGTAATCTCATTTTCTCTTATTTACACCATAAAGCAAACAAAACTCACAACAGGGTGGATCTTAATGCATTAAGATCCTCAAAATAGTATAGACAACATGTAAACGGATGCTAACATGCATGATAGAGTGTATCTTAAAACAGTAACATCTCAAATTTAAGAATTAAGTATTAACTACAAGCACAATTAAAAGGAAGATACATGCATGGAGAAATTTCATCTTTAGTCTCTACCTGGGAAGGCAAGTCTTAAAGCCAAATTGAGGCTTATCGGATAAATATATGCATGCCAGGCAAGCAGTGAAAAAAGCTAGGAAAGAATACCAACACAGATGGGAACGAGATAGCTGACTTGCAGGAAACCATGCGGAGTGACAGCTCTGCAGTGTCTCCACACCTGATCTGGCAGCAGGGCCTAAGGGGGCTGCGGTGCAGCCAAGTCAGCAGGAGCTGGAGGCAGATGTGGCTCTACACTAGCTGCGTGCAGGAAGTCCTGGTGCCTACAGTCCTGCAACTCTGCAAGTGGTTTCTCAAAATCAGAAAAACTCACGACTCAACTCATCTACACTTAACTAGATCCAAACTCTACTTCTATGTTGGAGAAACTTATCAGAAAGGAAATGTCTGCCAATAATTGCTATGAAAACATTTATTTGACCCTGATCCATGTTCCTCACTAGATTCAATTATTTTAAATAGTGTATGGAAGTGGAAACACAATCATTGCTAATCTATATTAGATTGATTCAGCTGTAAAAATTATACAGTTTTAAAGCCACCTGAAAGTATCATCTCCTCGACTTGATTTCATCCTCAATAACTCCATGAAGAAATTTAGCTTAAAATTATGCTTTATTTCAAATTGTTTTCACTACAAATAGCATCATCTGTTGGTCCTTACTTTTTGTGTAGCTGAACACAATTCTAAGAAAGGTTTCCAGCTGATTTTAAAGATACGTAGGAAATAGCAAGATAATAATTGAAATTTTAAAACCGAGTCATGGATAAGACAGAAAATGTACATGTACACTGTCATCTGGCTAAATAAGTTCACTGGTGATAAAAACAGCAAGATATTGTCTTAAAAGTATCTTCTCTTACTTGAAAATCTCCTGCTCTAAAACTTTCACTAAGTTACAATATTTATTAAGTCCAATTTCCTGCTTTAGCAGGACTGAATCACAGGGGGTTAATCTCAGATTCAGGCCAACTGAGGTCTTCCTGTTCATATCTCCTTTGCAAATGGAGCTTACTAGGGAAGCTGAAAAGGAACCAAATGCTTCACAGCTGAGGCTATCCACTCGACCTTCTTTCTACTGGTGACATAATTTCAGCCGCTCTTAAAAGTTCTGACATTTCCAGTAATAAGCAAGTGAAAGCATACTACTTGGAAGATGTATGCATACTACTTGGAAGATGTATGCATACTACTTGGATTAGCCAATATGCTTAGTAAAGGTACATTTAGTTATTGAATTAAACAATAAATTAAGAGATCAAATAAGATACAACTGCTAGATCTTTAAAGGCTCATCAATTGATTGATGCATGACATTAAATTTATTGTAATGGCAGCTATACATTTACATAGAGTGAGAACATTTTATCTAAAAAAGTAAATTATTAAAATTAATCTGTTGAATTTTTCTGATTCTGAGTATCACATTTTTAAGGTAAAATGACTATTAAAATTATTAAACAATGTTTTCAGACAAAGGAGACATAAATATCATGTTCAACTGATAAAACTGTAATAATGAAGGATAGGAGGTAAGTTACACAAATTGCAAACTGCAATCTTGCCAGCTCCTTTAATGGTTTTAATGGAACAGGGCTTGAATTTTCCTTTCTATTGATGTTTGTTTCAGAAGATAAGCAGTACAAAGAATTTTTTATTATTCTGAAAAGTTTAATTCTCTCAAATTTCTAATTCAGTGTTCTAAATTGCAAGGTAGGCACTACATTCTGCCTTACTAGTAAGATCTGATTTTGCTATTTTACTTAAATTCTAAAACGCTTTTCCACTCAGTACCTCTGGGAGACTAAGAGTTTCCTGACTGTTGGCAGAGCTACTAAAGATTCCTAGCCCAAATGAAAGGAAGATTTTCATCAGAGTCCAGGTTTTTATGAACAAACCGTCACAGTTCTTGTTACCATCTCTGTCCTGTCTTAAAAATGTACCTTGAACTTCTGCTAGCAAAACTCAGATTGGTTGAAATATCCAACAGACATACCCGGGCTGTGAAGTTGCCCCTTCATTAATTTCTCAGAGGCAAGTTTACCACTTGATGAATCGTTAGCATCACTTCCTGTGGCACTGAAATTTTCCCTAGGGGTCCCTACTAACTAAGGTCTAATCACCCGTGTTCTTATTTAGCTCTTGAGTTCCGATTAGATCATAGATTAAAGTGGATGACTGTAGACCGCTAATTCTTACCTGACAACATACTGAACAAAGACTCCATATTCAGGAAATACATTTTATATTTCCTTTTCACAAATCCATACCCTGCTATTGAATCATTAAATGTGCAACCACGCTGAGTTTAGCTATTCAGAGAAAAGATACTAAGACTTCAGTGGCCACAGGTTATTACTATGAGAATTTGTAATGGCTGTTATTTACAGCCCACTAGTGATTTAAGAACTTGATGTGACATTAAGAAAAAAAAAAGTATCAGATATAGGTTTATACCAACGGGTCAAACTCTTTCAACAAATATTTGAGATGAGTAATAATTTTGATATTATACATATCTTTCACAACTGTAAGCCCATCTTTTAAAATTTTTTGATGGATGGTACATTTTATGAATCTGTTTGCAACTTGAAAAAATACAGTGATTAATTCTAAAATATTGCAATTTGAAGAGACTGTGATAAAAATGACAGTAACTATAATACAAATAAATCAGATGTAACATTTAAGAAAATCCTTTTTGGTAATTTTCTATCAAAATAATGTCTAAAGTATAGAAAATACTTTGTTCTTGCTTTTTAAAAATATAAATGGGACACTGTCTTACTGACACATATACACACTATAAACATATATATATATATATATGTTTGAGATTTGATATAATACAGTACTTCTACAAAGAACACATTATTATATGATGCCTATAAATACACCAGTATCTCAGTTGAATGGATTTAAAAATCTGTGTTTCCTTCTACCCCCTAATGCAGTTGTCTTAAGATTAAATTCCAGATTATGTGTCATTGTCATTTAGCACACCACAAGTCTTGTTAGATCAAATCACTTTTCAAGTGAATTCTTACAAAAGAAAAAATAATAGTAATAGAAATTTGAATTTTGGTTGTATGTCTTATTCAAAGAAAATTTTTTTAGATGGAGCCTTCTTGTGTTGCCCAGGTTGGTCTCAAACTCCTGGGCTCAAGGGATCCCCCTGCCTCAGCCTCCCAAATAGATGGATTTCTGGCATGCACCACCCTTCTTGGATGGGTTGCATATCTTAAAACTGTATACAAATATTCTCTTAAATTTAGAATCGTCATAATACTAGATCTCACTTATAACACAGTGACATTTTGCAATTAGAGGGGGCTTTTCATCAGAATCAGTTCCTTTTTTTTTTCCCTACATTTAATGGGAGAGATCTGTCTGGCACAGTGTCCCCAGCCACTTTTCCTGTGACGTCTTATCTAAGCCCACTAGTGTCTCTTACCAGGCGTCACATTTGGTTCCCTTCTCCGTCTTAAGGGAATTTGGCTCTTCCCTGCTCCCTCCCAATTATAAATATGCAGGTTAGATAATTGACCCACCCTTTGACTGATGCATTGCCTAAACAGAACCGACTGCCTTCTAGTAAACCTCTAATGACAGGTGGGGGAGGAAGTACCAGTTAATCAACCTGAATATCCAAAGTCATTATTGCCTCAAATCCTTTGGTGCCTTCTTCAATTCTCTCAGCTATTAAAACAGCTCTCCCTTCTTCCCACCTGCACAGCTCACACTCTCATCAGAGAACACAGTAAATACAGAGGCACATTGCATACTTAAAACTTGCATTTCTTTTTACACCATAGGATTTACAATTAGACACTGAAATGTAAGCCTAGAAAATACCATTTTGAAAATAAATCTTAAAAAGAACTTATTCCCTTGGCCCATAGATTATCTGTCTACTCCAATGTCTCTGCTAAAAGAAGTGCAGTTAGAACCCCATGAAAGTGCAAAATCAGTCAGAGCAGACCTTTGCACAGCAGGTTCTAATGCTACTAAAGGTACCAGGGACTAAACAAACAAACAACACACCAAAATACTAAAACACGCATTCCAGAATGTTAAAGAAAAATCCTTGTGAGGACAATTAACAGCCTCTATTCCAGGCGGCAAGGCCATGAACATTATGCATAAAGTCACCAGATGCCATTGATGTCTTTTTTGCCCTTGGATTTTAGGTGGCAAAGTGGAATTTGAGGGCATTTTTAAGTTAGTTATCTTATATCATAACTTAATCTTTCGAGGTCGTTTTCAGGAACAATGTGCAGGAAATGAGACACCCTAACTCATAAGTGCTACTTTCCTTTCCTTCTTAAAAAAAAAAAAAAAAAAAAAAAAAAGCATCTGAAGTCCTATCTCTCTTTCCCTTAAGTAACCTTGTTAATTGCAAAGGACATTTCCCAAGCAGATCATATGTGCAAGAATACAGATAAAACAAAAAAGACCAGGCAGGGCGCGGTGGCTCACGTCTGTAATCCCAGCACTTTGGGAGGCCAAGGTGGGCAGATCACGACGTCAGGAGATAGAGACCATCCTGACCAACGTGGTGAAACCTCGTCTCTAGTAAAAACACAAAAATTAGCTGGGTGTGGTGGTGTGTGCCTATAATCCAAGCTACTCTGGAGGCTGAGGTAGGAGAATAGCTTGAACCAGGGAGGGGGAGGTTGTAGTGAGCTGAGATCGCGCCACTGTGCTCCAGCCTGGTGACAGAGCAAGTCTCTGTCAAAACAAACAAACAAACAAACAAACAAACAAACACCAAACATATAATCAGGTCAATTGTGTGCATTAGGTAGAATTAGACTTAGGTCTTCATCTCATATACCAATAAAGATCTAGTGAAACCTAAGGCTGGTATTTCAAAGTTAACACAGTGCATTTACAAACTTCGTTTCTTTCAATGTCATATAAAGATTTAACAGTAACATTTATTTTCACATGTTTGGGTAATCTTCAGTCAAGAATTGACTAGGCACTGTTGCATAAATAAATATCTTGGGATAAATGATAAATGATAAACAGTTTATAAAACTATATTCCTGAACCACTACTTAAAGTTAGATACAAGGATGGCTCGTTGATGCTAATGGAAATTAAAACTATATGGTAAAGTACCCATTAAGCATACGTTTAACCATTTGTGTGGTTAAACGCATTGCACCTTGATCTGAATTCTTGCAGAATACATGAAGACTCATTATCATTACAAATACTACATATGCTGGGTCAGGGCCATCTGATGTCAATGAAGTGTGTGTAACTTTACGAATCCAGGTAAGGATTCTCTCCTGGACACATATTTTCCTTACATATGGGTATCATTTACTACTGAAATTGAAATATGTATGTCTTACTAATGCCTGAAAGATTAGGATCTTTCAAATCCTAATTGGCTGCTTTAACAAAGTTAAGAGTAGGAAAGTAAGTATATTTAGTACAGTCATAGATTAAATGAAAAGAAACAAGCTCCGAGTGAGGATTTAGACATCAGTGAATTATGTGAGATTTCCTACATACATTTGGTAGCACCTCTTTCAGTTGCTCAGTGCTCTTTTTAGCTTGTTTCTCAGTTTCATTTTCATTCCAAATAGTAAAGGTTACACAGTGAATTAATGTTCAAAATGTGTAAATATATCAAAATGCAAGTAAGTATTTATAGTAAAGTAAGAAGAAACGGAAGACGATACACAAACGACTAGGATGTGAACAGTGTAATCTTCCTTTTTCTCTTTCCAAATGGTAGCTTAAGATATTGAGACCCTATTTCATCATTAATGAAAAGGGATTTGAGAAATACTGAGATCAAAAACAAAACGGATCCTGAAATCCCAGGCTAACAGAGCACTGTGGGATTATATTTCCTACTTCTGACTAGACAGCTATACCCATGAGGTAACAGCTGAAGCTAGTGAAACACTGATTTACTGACTTGTAATGAATGTACCTCAATGTTGAGAAGTTTCTAAGCCTCCGTGTTTATCTTACATATAAGTAGATGATTTTATATGGCCAATTTAAGAGAGCTGTTGACATTCGAAATAATTTCCCCTGCATTGTTTAGATAAAGATCACTGTGGTGAATCATCTATGAAAAATTGTAACTGTAGTTAGACTTTATAGCAATATGTTTCTGAGAAATCTTACTCATTGACTAATCAATATACAGTCAGAATTAGAAAATAAAGATTTAAAAATAATACAGCCATTTTAGGCTAAATATATTTATTTATGCTTTTATTTTTTTGAGACGGAGTTTCACTCTTGTCCCCAGGCCGGAGTGCAATGTGCAATGGCAGCTCACTGCAACCTCTGCCTCCCAGGTTCAAGCGATTCTCCTGCCTCAGCCTCCTGAGTAGCTGGGATTACAGGCTAATTTTGTATTTTTAGTAGAGACGGGGTTTCACCATGTTGGCCAGGCTGGTCTTGAACTCCTGGCCTCAGGTGATCCGCCCGCCTAGGCCTCCCAAAGTGCTGGTATTGCAGGCATGAGCCACCATGCCTGGCCTAGGCTAAATATATTTATATTTAAATTGCTGTTTGCCATTTACCTCTGCCCATCTCATTGGAGTGAGTAAACAAGTTTGGGATGTTCTGATTGTATGTCCATTCTAATGACAGATAAATAAGCATCCAGTAAACTTATAATTATTGGGAGAAATACCATGTTTGTTTGATTTTGTGTTTGCTTTAATTCCACATTTTACAACTGGCTTTACAGTTATAAAGCACTTGCTGCCTTACTCTGAAGATCTAATGCAATCCAGTCCAAGACAGTAATAATAGAAGACTAATGCTTTCCATTTAAACTAATATTTTCTTTGGTCTTTGAAAATCCTCAAGGGGTAAACTATTTTAATTTAATAGCTTCAATCGATCTTCAAATATTCAGCAATATTAAAAGCAAAGGGAATCCTTTTTTTTAATCAGCCAAGTTAGAACTAAAATAAATGAAGATTTCATATCATGAGTTCAGGAAGCAAGGGAAAAGAAGAGTAAATAACTTCCGACAAATAACCTTCTTTGAACGAATGATAATATGTTAAGAGTCTTGCTCTTGAAAAACTGAAGCTCTTATAGTTTTATTGCATATTGGATCAGTTTAGTTATTTATCTAATCATTCATATATTTAAAACAATGAATAATCATCCTTAAATGATCTTTTATATTATTTGTTATAATGTTTCCTATTGCCTCAGGGGAAAAAATGCGAATTTTAAGAAATACAAAATTGCTAAGAAAAAAACTACTGGTGTAAAGTTTCAGCATTTTAATAACACACAGCTTTTATAGCCGATTCTCCCAAGCATTCCATTCCAAGGGTGCTTATTTCAATTCTAGGAAGTCAAGTGGCATACAGGATTAATATATAAATGCAGTCACATTATCTCTGAATTCTATTTTATTATATATTTATATCAAACATGGCCTTGATCATGTATAAGACTTTAACATTGGAGAAAAGCCTGAATTTCACTCAATTATACAAGAAACAAGCATAGTGTTGAAGAGGGTACTCAAGGGTGGTTGGCAGGTATGCTCTGAGGTCACATCAAACTAATTCTGTCTCTCACTTCTCTGTGAGTTTGAGCAAATCGACATCTAAAGCGAGAATTTTTTTCTCTACCAAATAGATTAAATAGCATATCTAATTCATATTACTGTTGTAAGATTTTATATTATTCATTTTAAGAACTTAGCACATGACAACACAAAATAAAGCATATTCTTATTTAGACAGTCAAGTGATTGAATTTGGACCTTTCCACTTTGCAGGTTTATTTACTGGATTTGAATGTAATTATCCCAAGTTATGCTGTCTCATATGGCAGTCCCTAGCTTTATATGATTATTGAGTACTTACAACAAGGCTAGTAAGAATTGATATGAGGTGCTGTAATTATAAAATATATATCAGATTTTGAAGATTAAATTTTTAAAAGGATATAAAATATCTCATTAATAATTTTACATTGATTAAATATTGAATGATAGTATACTGGATATATGAGGTTAAATGATATGTATAATTAAAATTAATTTCATCTTTTAAAAATAATCATAAATAAGGCAACTAGAAAATTAAAAATTACATATGTGACTTGCATTATATTTTCACTGGACACTGCTACTCTAGAGTATTTTCATAAGAAGAGCCCAGTGTACTTTGTAAAAGTGAAAGCTCCTGGCCCATGACTGAGATAAGCAGAGGAGAGCTGCGCTTCCTAAAAGCTCTGTTAGTGAATCTTTTGCAGGTAAGAATTTAAAAACTATTTCCCTAAGGCTGCATACATTAGGTACTGCCAAGAACCCATCCTCATCTGGATGTTCCAGCTAAAAGTCCTGAGAGATTTGGCTATTCCTACTTAGTGCCTAATGAGACTAGAATACAATACAAGAAAGGGGTGCCTATTAAACAGAGAGCAGTTCCTTTAGGCAAGCACTCAACCAAATGGTGAACATCAAGATTAAGGAGAATTTACAGACGTCTCATTTTTCAAGTTGAATGGAAGCTTGTGGGTCTTTCTTAATGCAGGGTGTAAACAGAACTCCAAAGAGAATGATTGGGAAGAAGGCACCCCACTCTGTAAGACCCTTTCTGATTCACTCTTGGAGATGTGTCTGTGTAAGGCACACAGCTGAGCTGTCAAAGGAGGGGAGAGAAGTCAAAACTCAAGGAAATCTCACTGTATAGCCATGCTCAGATGCCCTTGGTTGGGAGACCTTATCAGTGTCTTGGTGCCCTTTAGGAAATGACATGGCATAATGAAATATTTGGTTTCCTTGAGCAGTGGTTTGTAGTTCCCCTTGAAGAGTTCCTTCACTTCCCTAGTTAGCTGTATTCCTAGGTATTTTATTCTCTTTGTGGCAATTGTGAATGGGAGTTCACTCATGATTTGGGTTTCTGCTTGTCTGTTGTTGGTGTATAGGAATGCATGTGATTTCTGCACATTGATTTTGTATCTTGAGACTTTGCTAAAGTTGCTTATCAGCTTAAGAAGCTTTGGAGCTGAAATCATGGGGTTTTCTAGATATAGGATCATGTCATCAGTAAACAAAGACAATTTGGCTCCCTCTCTTCCTATTGGAATACCTTTATTTCTTTCTCTTGCCTAAGTGCCCTGTGCCGGAAGAGTGACCTCTTGAAGGGCTAGGGATAGTGGGTAGGAAGTGGACCTTGATAAGTGTTTTGAGCAGCACAAGACTGCCTTCCCCTGCTCCTCTCTACTTCTTCCTCCTTAATGTTCCATTCCTTCAGCAAGAGCTGTGACAAGGCATTGTAGGAGAAATTTTTGTGATAGAAGGCTGAGAAACATGTAGAAACACTGGGGGATACTAACCTTGAGAAGCAGAGGAACAATGGCACTTGAAGCTTAACTACCGTACTTCTTAAGTTTTTTTTTTTCTTATCAGTAGCTTTCATATGTGTTTATGTTTCATGCCCACCTATTTCCAATGTAGAGAGGAGGTGCCACTATTTTGAAAGGAGGGTTTCATGAAAAGATTGTCCTGGGTTTCATTATGAGGGAATTGGGGAGTAGAGCCCAAACCAAGAGAAACATCACCCTAGGGTTTTGAGCCACATGAGTTATGATCAAAAAGTAATATGTAAGATGTATCTAATCTTACAAAACAGATTCCGGTATTACAAATACAATGGTGGCACTTTCTTAAATAATCTAGCACTTAACCACTGTTAATTCATTTAATAAAGATTTCATTTATATGAATCTTTCATTTAATGAAAGATTTTGTTATATATGTATGTGTATATATATGCTGTATTTTATACATTTCAATATATTTATTTATAATGTAATGAAATTGTGGCTAAGATGAAGAAAAATTCTAAACAGATTTTTTTCTTTTCACACAAAGATAAACCCCTGACATCCAATAACTTAATATTCAACTTCTATCTTTTCACTCTTCCTAGAAAATATGAACTTTATCTTTCTCTTGAGAGCACAGATTGGAATAAAGTTGACTGCTTAATTGAGTTTCTTCGTCTTTCAAAGATCCTTTACTCCCAGAATTTCCTGAAAGCCGATTCACCGAATTCTAAGAAACTCATTCTATTTCACCAGAAAAGTGTAGAGCTCAAAGTAACTATGAAATTGCAACAAGAAATTCGGACAGAGGATGAACAGAATGATTTCTGTTCTTATCCATAAAGAAGAATGCTGACATCTTTGACATGACCACTTAAAAAGCTTCCCCAAAGAGGCCAGGCGCAGTGGCTCACACCTGTAATCCCAGCACTTTGGGAGGCCAGGGCGGGCGGATGGCCTGAGGTCAGGAGTTCAAGACCAGCCTGGCCAACATGGTGAAACCCCATCTTTACTAAAAGGACAAAAATTAGCTGGGCGTCATGGCGGGCACCTGTAATCCCAACTACTCGGGAGGCTGAGGCAGAAGAATCACTTGAACCTGGGAGGCGGAGGTTGCAGTGAGCCGCGATCACGTCACTGCACTCCAGCCTGGGTGACAGAGTGAGACTGTATCACAAAAAAAAAAAAAAAAAAACACTTCTTCAAATAAATACAAAAAATTAAAACAGGTAAGCCACATATCAACAAAAAAATTATCTATCTTAATGTGCTAGAGTTTCTAAGAAATACCCTACTCAATTAGAATAACTGCATCAATAATTTATTATATGAAATACTCTCTTCCTTCCAAATTAAGCAGTATATAAAAAAGCAATGAGCAATCCACAGTTATGTAGTTAATTTAGTGCAATACTTAGTGCAATACCTGCATTCCCAGCCATGCTTTTCTCCCTTCCTGTCCACCGATGCAGGCAGGGTCATTTGTCCTATCTGCCCTTTAGTGCTCACACAACTGTCATGCTATTGCAGATGGAGATGTGGTTTTTATCTTTGTGAATGTTGGCTGTCCTCAAATATATATGTATGGCAAAATGAACCACAATATCAAGAGCCTTCGATGCTCTTTTCAAAGCTATTGTTACAAACTTACGGGCAGTAACTGCTCATACTGGAACTGTAAGATAAATGTTTTAAATTCTATGAAGTATTCCATTTGTCTGCCAGTCTTCCAATGGCATCTCATGACACTTAGGGTAAAACCATGCACAACATAACCTCTTCTCTGAACTTTCTTCCTAACACTTCCTTTCTAATACTCCCATACTCCCCAACCCCTCTCCCACCATGCTGGTCTCCAGGACCAGGCTTCAAGTATCCCATACAGGTTTCTACCTGGATCTTCCTGTTCTCTCTGTGTGGTGAGATGCTCAATATTCACATGGTTTCCTCCCTCCTACAGTTTAGGTCTTTCTCAAACATCACCTTCTTATCAAGGCCTTTCTTGATAGCTAATTGCAGCCCTCACGGTCCTCAGAACTCCCTACATTGTCTCTGCATTTTTTTTCATAACATTTGCCACCATCTAAGTGTACACTTTGCTTATCAATGTCTTATTAATCATGCACATTTCTCTACTAGAATGTAAGCTCCCCGTGATAGCAGTGATTTTTAGCAAGGCTGTTCTTTCCCGTCCTAACACCTTGAGCACTGCCTGGCACAGAGCATGTACATATGCATTATATGAATGTTTGTTGCTTTCAGTCACTAATCTGATCACTCCAATCATTCTACAAGCTTTTATTGAGAGCCTACTATGTATGCAACGTTGGGTATTCAGTGATAAATTAGACAGTCCTTTTTCTTGAAAAGGTCACATAATTGCGGGAATAGGCATATAAAAATTTAATTGGAATGCAAAGTGATTAGTGTATGTCGAATGAAGACTAAAGGAAGGAGAACAACTCATTTGGCGTGGGAGGCAGGGAAAGCATTGCATAGGAAGTGACATTTGAGCTGAGTCATGAAATATGAGTGTGTTTCTGAGAAATGGAGAAGGATCAAAGGATGTTTCATACAGGCAAAAAGGAATGTACAAAGGCACACAGCTGATACAGGGGAAATCCTGTTGGGCAAATAGTAAATAGGCTAGGTATGGCTAGCATACCTGAGCAGGGCTAGGCAGAGTGCCTGCGAGGAAAGTCAGAAAATGCAGATTGATAATCATTTGCTAAGGGCCTTTCTGCCCTGCTCACGGTGTTCGCTTTATCCTATTGGTGCTACTGAAGGCTTTTACACACAGGAGCAACTTGGACAATCCAGAAAGCAAGATCTATTTTTTTGGAATAACTCTTAGGGCATCATGAAAGGTAGAACATTTGAGGATGAAGCCTAGAAAAAGGAGCAGAATGGGTGTGCAGCTACAGGGAGATAGTGAGTTTGACTTTGCACACATTACACATTGAGTCTTGTGCACAAATACAGAAACCAACTGTCATTTGAAAATAGAAGCTCTTTTGATAGGTGGTGACTGCTATAATAAGGAGTGTAACTCAATGGAAGCTTTGGGAATGTGACATTGAAAGGATGAAAAAGATGTAGAACTGTTTGGAGGTAGAAGTACCCCCTGGATATAGTGACAGCTGTTACTGTAAGCTCTGGGAGCAGAGCTTCCTACAAACAGTGGCACAGTAAGGCTGAAAGATCCAAGCCTCTCAGTCAGAGGAGACTTAGCAAAAAACAGTTGGAAAAGGAGATTAAGGCGTAGGCCAGAGAGTAGTGAGCTCACAGCCAAAAGGGAGATGAAGAAATAAATACGTACAAAGGAAGACTCCATTTTATGGTGGGAGAGAGCTGTGAAGAAGTTGGTACATGTTTAAGATGTTAGACATCTAAGCAAGAACTAATGGGGAGAGAGACTGAACAAAAGACAGGAAGAGAATGAGTAATGAAACAATGTTTTAGGAGAAATATAGGTAGTGGCGTAACATACAGGGATAACAAACAGCCTGAGCATTTTTTAAGTTGACACAAGCAAAATTTTCTTAACATGCACAGAAACATGAAAGATAAGAAGAGGTTGTACCGTATTCGGGGTGTCAGCACAATGTAATGGTTGAGACCAAGGTCTCTAGCATCAGACATTAAGGATTCAAGTTCCATTATTACCGTTTACTAAGTATATGACCTGAAGTTACTGAATCTGTATTTGTCTCAGTTTCCTCATCTTCCGGGTGGGTGCTATCATTTGGACATAGTTGGTTTGTCCCCACCAAATCTCATGTTGAAATTTGATCCCCCGTGTGGTGCTGTTGGGAGGTAAGGACTAGTGGGAGGTGTCTGGGTCATGAGGGAAGATCCCTCATGAACAGCGGGGTGCCATTCTTGAGGTAGTGAGTTCTTACACTCCCAAAACCAGACTGGTTCCCAAGGGAATGAATTAATTCCATCTAGAGTGGGTTGTTATAAAGCTTTCTTAGGTTTAGTCCCTCCTCACAGGTGCATGTTTCCACTTTGACCTCCGCCATATATTTTGTTTGTTGGTTGGTTGGTTGGTTTTTGAGACTGAGTCTCACTCTGTCACCAGGCTGGAGTGCAGTGGTGCGATATCGGCTCACTGCAACCTCCACCTCCTGGGTTCAAGTGATTCTCCTGCCTCAGCCTCCTGAGTAGATGGGACTACAGGTGCACGCCACCACACCCAGCTAATTTTTGTATTGGTAGTAGAAACGGGGTTTCACCATCTTGTTCAGGATGGTCTTGATCTCTTGACCTCCTGATCCTCCTTCCTCAGCCTCCCAAAGTGCTGGGATTACAGGTGTGAGCCACCGCACCTGGCCTCCACCATGTTTTAATGCAGTACAAAAGCCCTCATGAGAAGCCAAGGAGATAACAGTTCCATGCTTCCTGTACAGACTGTGGAACTGTGAGCCAAATACACCTCTTTTCTTCATCAATTACCCAGCCTCAGGTATTCCTGAGCAACAAAAAACAGACTAAGACAGTGGGGGATGGTAACCATTTTTTCTGCACAGGCTTGTTATGATAACTACAGGAGTCAATCTCCCCCTTGTAAAGCTCTCAGGACAGTGTCTGGGACTACTTTGTGGCTATAGAAGTATTTGTTGAGAAAACAGGAAGACAAAAATGTTTTGTGGACTCAGGCCTCAAGGCTAGAGGCCTCTCTTTTTTTTCTGTCAAGAGCAGATAGGAAGGACTACAAGGAGTTGAAATCTATGCAACTTTCAGGATCCAAAAAGAAGTTTGTTTATAACAGGGTTTTCCCTGTAAATTTCTCTCAATAAAAGCAATTATAAGGCAAGTCAAAATTGTGAGGAAGAAAGGGAGAGCACCATACTTATTCATAAACAGAGAAACATCTGTAATTTTTCAAACACTTGAGTTGTTTAAATTTCTAAGATCAAGCACATGTAAGTTTTATGCCCCTATTAATATTATAGGATGGCACGCATATGATGAGATACTCGGTGAGGTCTGTGACTAATCTTAAACGGACATAAGAAGCTCTGGAGTCAGCTAGCCCTAGGTTCCAACCCAGCTCTACATCTTAGCCACTGTATGATCTTTGAAAAGTTGTTAAACCCCAAACCTCAGTTTCTCCATCTGTGAATACAACCATAAAAATATTATCCATCAGCAGCATAAGGATGAAATGGCATAATCAGCCTACACACACCTTGCCTGGAGTCTGGCGTATAATAGATTCCCCATCAATGTGGACTTCCTTAAGCTCTATTATAAATAAAATTGTTTAAGCCATCTGAATATTGCCAAACAATTAGGTACACCCATCAAAAATCTTCACTGCCCATCTACTTGTTAAGCTATGTAATTAGATAATGTCAAAAAAAAAGTACATATAAGTTTCTAAAGGATTGACTTAAAATATTTAAATACCAAACTGAATTGAAGATAAAATATTGAAATCCTTTAGAAGGGTATCTGTGTGTCATATAGAAAATGATGAATCTCTTTGAATGTCTTACCTATTTCCCTGAATAGTATTATTGTGTGACCTTCATTTTTTTTACAGCAATAAAAGTACCTTGAGCCTGACAAGATTTATTGTTTCCAACTAATATTTCCTGTATTGGGTGTGAATTTAATTCACATTAAGGACTTACAATTTAGGACCTTTAATTCATAACTTTTGTAAGCATAGAAAACCTTGGACCCTAAACAATCTAAAATAAATTAATATATCATGCTTTCGGTAGAAGGGAAAATAATAAAGTGATACACTTCTGCTCATGTCCCTGGAGCTGCTTGATTATAACAACCTCTTTTCTTTTTCACTTGACAAATGACTTGGGAATTATCTGTATATTGTCTGATACAGAGCTAAACTTTTTTCAGGACATTTTCTAATGAGTCATGGTGGAGGCTAATAGTAACCTCTTCTACTACTTCCTCCTCCCTCCAGAAAAAACACACACACACACACACACACACACACCTAGTGTTTGCAGCAAATCTTGACAGTTTTGAATAGATAAGAAGAAGCTACCTGCTTCATAAAAATTTAGTTATCACATACCGCCCAACCTGACTACAATTGGAGAAGCGTGTGTATAGGGTTTCAATGTAACTTATAAAAATATATTTTAAAAGTATACAGTGCTGTTATGTCTGGTAGTTTCTATGATCAGTAACACTTATCTATAAAATCAAGGTTTTGTTGGTAAATTTCATAATATTCAAATCTAATTCATGCTTTATTTGAAGTTACAAATGTAATGTTTTTCTCTTCCAATATCATTCCATATTTATATGTGCAATGAAATCAGAAAGTACTGGTAATTATTTTTTTGGGAGGAATTCTTAAAAAAAGGCTCTATCACAATTCTTAAAATGCACTGCATATGTAATAAATGTTTATGTCTTCTTCATTCAAAATTAGAAGGTAAGCTTCACAAGAATAAGAACAGAGCTAAAAACAGTCAAGGGGTTTAATAAATATTTACTGAATGACAACCAGAGCCAAAAACATGTCTTTGCCATGGAAGCTTAGCCCAAATCTACCTTGAGCCCTGTGTCAAAAATCCAAAGGGTGTATAGCCCCTGAAATGCTACCTTATATGGCGTGCTACTGCTAGCCTTTGCACGTACTAAGTGCCTGCCTAAGAAATGACTCATTTTTGCCTATAATGCACCTTCATACATCAACTAAGCAATATGTGCAAGTTATGTGAAAATACACTTCTATGTTTCTTGCTAATTTAACCATATTGTCACTCAAGAAAATATGCTGTTCCCAGCTTACCACGACCATGTATATAAACTGAGGCATTTTCATTCTGGTTCCTTATCAAGAACAGAGAAAGTAGTAAAGGTTATCTCTCTTTTTACAGTTAGAGATACTTGAAGGGAAATGAGATATGTACCAGAAATAAAAAGACTCTGTATGGAGAAGTTAAGAGAAATACTCTGACCTTGTCTTTCATAGGCCCATTATTGTTTATAACGACTTAAAGGGTCTCCCAGGCATGATGCTGACATTTATGGTATTTTATCTCCCATACCAGCCACTGAGAACTCTTTCACTTTCATTAATATATTTTAATCAAAGATTCCTGGAATCTCAACACTTCTTATTCCTTTCAGGTCTTCCCAAAATCCATGACACCAAGTTCAAATGCTTCCGTGTTGAAGTCTAATATTTTTAACTGGGTTACAGTAATATGCCATTTACTTATTCCTTGCAGAATGAATTACCACTTATTTAAATATCTACAGTATATGTGGGGCTGATCTTTAGTTATAAAATCTGTCCCATTTTCCAGAGTTCTTTTTTTCTTTTTTTTCTTTTTCTTTCTTTTTTTTTTTTTTTTTTTGCCCCTACAGGTAAGAGGAAGATAGGACTGGATGTGTGAGTATCTGGGTTAAATTTCTGTCACAAACTTCTTTAGTCACCATTAATCACTGAGATTCTGACCTTCAGCAATGAAAGAAAACAATTTATAAAGTTTGCAAAAAAAAAAAAAAGTAAGAGTCCATATCTTCTAATACATACGTGCACTGTTAACATTCCTCACATTTAGATCAAAAGATAGCTTTGAAATTTTATTATTTTGAGAAGTAGAAATATTAAGGCTAAACTACTGAATTATAATGAAATTCTTTCAAGTTTCAGGTTCAGGGATAAAAAGAGGAGACACCAGGTAGCTGTCACTACTTCCTCACTCCTGGTATCACCTACTTGGGTGTGAGATGTGTTGGAAAAATCATCCATGAACCTGCTCCATCATGCCAAAGAAGCCAAGAAGGACCAGCCTGACCAACATGGTGAAACCCCGTCTCTACTAAAAATACGAAAAATTAGCTGGGCATGGTGGCAGGCACCTGTAATCTCAGCTACTCCGGAGGCTGAGGCAGGAGAATCGCTTGAACCCGCAGGCGGAAGTTGCAGTGAGCCGGGATCACGCCACTGCACTCCAGCCTGGGTGCGACAGAGTGAGACTCCATCTTGAAGGAAAAAAAAAGGGAAAGAAAGAAAAAAAGTAATAAAGAAAAGCAAAGTAAAGAAGCGTGGAAGAGTGGAAAGATAGGAACTACCTAGACATATTCTTTTTCAATGACAATCATGCTCTTTTAGTTTTTTATGTCTAAGATTATTTAGAGAAAAAATCTTATTCTACCCTAAAAACCATCATGGCAACAAGTTTACTATTTTGAAACAGGAGAAAATTCCATTTTAAAAATGACAGCGAATAGGAAGGACATTCCATGGTGAAAATATTTTCCTTACTTTCATTCTCAAAATATTTGTTAGGACTAAGGGGAAATATACAAGTAAATATTACTGGAAAAAATGTATAGCCCTATTAAAATATATTTATTAAGTTGAAATTCCTTCAAAATAAAATTGTCTAGCCAAAGGTGAAATCTACAATATCAGTTCCAAAGCATTATTAAGCACCTACAAAGCACAGTACCTAGCTCTGTGGAGGTCACAAAGATTAATAAACTTTTCAGAGACCATGCAAAATATATATATATACTCATATTTTAATACTGTCAAATTTAGGAACATCCACATAATATAATATTTGGATCCAATTATATAACCTATAAACTTTCCTTAAATCTATTCCCCAACTATGGCTATTTCACAGTTTTCTAAAAGATAATGATATAAGAAATATTTTCCAATGTGTTTTAGGATTTAAGGAATGCTTATACTTGGGAAACAGAAGAACTCTTTTGCTCGAAATATTTCTGAGATCTTTGATCCTATATCACTCCAATCAAAATAGCCTAGCAAAGGATATGTATTAAGTGTAATCACTTTTAAACATCAAAATGCCTCAGTAAAATTTTCACTGAGTTAAGCTCACTCAAATAAATATGCACAGCATTAATTTTACCACGTTACTTTGAAAGATTTTAATTTAAAGACAAAATTCCAAAAAGCTCATATCATACAAGGTTATAGAAGTTGGAAGTAGTTTTTAATTAAATGAGTTTGCACAGGTACAAAATCACCTGTGCACGATTCTCCAGCACTTTGAGGTAACAGTTTCAATATCTTAACATGGCCACAAAAAGTCTTTGAAATAAAAACCTAACTCATTTTATGGCCTCATTGTCCACTGCTTCTGCACCATAACACAGGACAATTTTTAGTCTTGCGTTTTTTTCCTTCCCTGCACCAAAAAGTACCTGCCTTTCCTTAACAACTCTGTAAATATCACCTATTCTGCAAGAACTTTCTACATCCTGGAAAAAAAAATAGTATTTCCATTCTCTATCATAGTACTTTATATATAAATGCTCCAAGTGTTATAATAGTTTGTTCATATGACTGTCTTTCGCGTTACACTTAAAGCTGCTTCGGGGTGGGCACCATTCATAACCATTTTTTGTATTCTCGGTACATGGGCCAGTACCTAGAATGCAGCATGTTCTCAGTAACTTGGTAAGTTAATGAATGCACATAATGGATAAGGGCATACAGTAGAAAGTGGCAAAAACAAATGCACTGTTTTATTATGGTGAGCAAACACAAAATATCTCTAGGAACTAATTTTCCTCCTCTCCAAATTTGCACCCAGGGTTAACTTTTCCCTCTGCGTATAGATGAACCTCGCCACAGACATCATTTCCTCACAGATTCACAGAGTTGAATGTTAGTTTGAGAGAGGGATTAATGGTTGAGTCTAGGTATCTAGACTCATATACACCTATTCTTTCCACTCTCACTCTCATTTATTGTGATCATGTTCTATGCCCAGGAGGTTGACCAATATGAACTGCAATCACAAGGTCCCTTGACCTCTGACTTATAGCAAGGTTAAGCCAATGAGAAATTGCTAGCCCATACTAAAAAGAGAGAAAAGAAACAGGATTTCCAGCCTTCAGGGCCACTTTGGACAGCCTTCTCCAAATTTCTCTGTTTTCATAATCTATTAACTTCTCCCTCTCTCTAGTGCTTTAGCCTAAAGGTGGAAGAGAGTGGGTACTACTCATTATAGATCAGAAATTCCCTAACATGGCATTATCTACATTCTATGCAGAATAAGTATATGTTGCAAGGAGCTGCCCAGTGCCTTATAGGAGGTTTAGCAACATCCCTGCCATCTACCCACTAGATATAAATACCTTTTGTATAGAAACTTGCAGATTACTTTCAGTTATTTACTCCCATTTAAGCTCCAGAACTGTGTAAATAGATGTTATTATAATCATTTTTACAGATTAGAAAATGAAACAGTTACAGCACCTAATAATCCTGCACCTAAAAATTCTACAAAGAAATGGTACATATGGAATTTTTAAAACCAAAATCATAATCTAATTTTCATTGTACTGCACTGGCCTTATAAACATTATTAAACTAAACTTCCTTTTATTACTATTTTCCTAAATGCCCGTGTTTTATCATCAGGATTCACTGGTTTCGGATAAAATACAAAAGTCATAGTGGAGTTCTCTGGGCATAACATGAAATGTAAGTGATACAGTCAATCATCTATTATCTCTTTTTCTTCCCCTTAGAAGAGCAGTGTTGCAGGCATATTGTATTGACAATTGGAATCCTTTTCAAAGATTATGTATTCTGAACCTCTTCTACAGAAAAAAGACCACCAGGCAATAGAAAAAAATAGAATAACTCCAGGCATACTCATGTATTTGATGATTTTATGTTAAATCAAGAAGGATGCTTAATGCGTTTCAGAGTTCCAGAGACTGTTCTATCTTTCCTCCTCTCTTCCCACTACCATGACGAAGAAAAAAACTTGCACCGATTGAAATTTTCTCATTCATACAAGACACAGACTGCTATCGGACTTTAAGAAATGATGTCAGCCATGTGTGCCATGAAAAAAGTTATGAATTCAAAGCAGTAACAGGTAATATTTCCATTAGTATCTGAGGGGGCATTAATTGATGAGAGTGGTGAAACCACACCTTTTCTTCATAGTCAATATTTCTCTTTTACTTTTTCTTTCTTTTGTTTTAGAAGGAGACATTATCTTGGATTCATTATCTCCAAAGAAAATGCATATAGGAATAAATCGAATGCATTTGAGGAAGCTACGACTAAATGCCCTTCTCCAATTCATAACATATCCCTTCCCCTGTTGATAAGTACTAGTATAATAATGGTTAATATGGACTCTTGCAAGAAAAAAGGTCATATGACATAGTTGTAAGAGAGGAAAGAATTATGACTAGTGCCAGATATAACTACATCTTATTTCCTTTAAGTTGTCCCAGAGAACACCCATCAGGCTGTCCATTCAGTGGCATCATTGTCAGGCCACTCCTTAGAGAGTAAAGACATTATCTTCTGTTGAGTTCCTGTACATCCCAAGACGGGTGCATCATTATCAAATTTAACCCTCACAACACCCCTGAATGGCCAATATCACATAGGATGTCAATTAATGATATTGCTATTCCCAGTGTTCAGATGGTACTGCTATGGTTTGAATGTGTCGCCCCAAAATTCGTATATCAAAAACTTAATTGCCATTGTAATAGTATTAGGTAGTAGGGCCTTTTAGAAGTGATTAGGTGATAAGGATATTCATCTCACAAAGAGATTAATGCTGTGTTTCAAGTGGATTAGTTATCTCAGGAGTGAGACCCTGATAAAAAGAATGAGGCTGGCCCCATTTGTTCTCTGTCTAATGTGCTCACTCACGATGTGTTGCCTTCCAACATGAGAGGACTCTCTCTAAATGCCTGTATCATGCTCTTGGACTTCTCGGCCACCAGAACTGTGAGCCAAATAAATCTTTTTTCTTTATAAATTGCCCAGTCTGTGGCATTCTGTTACAGCACAGAAAACAAACTCAGATGGATACTGAAGCTCAAAGAAGTAGGATGAGACCTACTGTATCTCAAGCCTGGCCTCACCACCCCTTCTCGGCCTCTGATTGTAGCAGGTCAGTTAGATCACATCCAACAAGCAGAGTATTTGTATGTAACAAGCACTTGATAAGTTGAATAAATAGTTTGTAAAAGTTTCTCCAGTCTTGTGCTCCTATTAAAGTGTGAAACATTTTTTCACATTTCAAAATATTTGACAGCCTTGTATATGAGAATAAACCTTTCATTTTACAGAAAAATAACTGATTGCTTAAACTTTTGCTATCTCTGAATTTGTTTAAAACACTAATAAATTATTCTGAGGGAAAAGCAAGATACAGTGCAAGTAATAATAAAGTATCTATTCAGTAATAAAATGTTGAGATTGCACAGAAAAAAAGAAAGCCTGACTGGAGTCTACCCAAATAATATTTTGTGGCTTATAACAGGTGGTTATCAAATTTTGGGAATGTCTGCCAATCAGACCTGTAGTATGCAAAACAATCGATCCCTAAGATGTCCACATCCTAATCCAGGAAACCTGTGAATATGTTACCTTACATGGCAAAGGAGAATTAAGATTGCAAATGGAATTAAAGTTTCTAAACAAATAAACTGAAAATAAAATTGTCTTGGATTATCCAGATGGACCCAATGTAACCACAGTGTCCTTAAATGTGAGAGAGGCAGAAGAGAGTCAGAATGAAGAGATAGGAGAAAAATTCTACTAGCCATTCCTGGCTTTGAAGATGGAAGGGGATCAAGAGTCAAAGAATGCAGGCAGCCCTAGAAGCTAGAGAAGACAAGAAAACAGATTCTCCTCTTGACACTACAGAAAGAAACATGACCTTGCCTCCACATTGATTTTAACCTAGTGAGACCCATTTCTGACTTTTGACCGTAAGAGCCATTTAAAATAAAAAAGTTTGTTGTTTTCGGACACTGCATTCATTATAATTTGTTACAGGGGCAATGGGAAGCTAATAAATGAATAAAATTAAGATTTGGAAGGCACTTGGAAAATTATAATTAGACGCATTAGCCAACATCATGTAGGACATGAATTAGAGGATCCTGGTTGTCTAGTACAAACATGCTTCTATTTTCTTAGATCCAGTTCAGTATTAACTATATAAACCATACTAAAACATTTTAACAACATACAGGTTGTTTCAGCTAATGCCTTTAGAAAATCATAATATAAATTGCCATGATGGAAAAAATAATTCAAAAAATGCATTGAAATACTTAAAGTATTAAGAGACTTCATATATCTTGTTCAAATGATTCATTATACTGCTGTATTCTGATTCACTAAAGAATTCACTACTATACCAGTGGTATAAATGACCCAGTGACACAAATGACCTATATTTCGAAATCCTCACATGGGGATAGGCCAGTGCAAGGAAAACCTATTTATGGTTTTCTAGATTCTACACAAACAGAAAGAAAGGAGAGGAATAAAAGAAGTGAAATGATTGAAAAGGAAAAAAATCTTCTTTCCATCAAGCAGACTTAGTTAAAATAACCATTGTGAGAGGAAATTTTTTTGGCATCAAGTCAATTTTCAATTTTGTCATTAGTAATGTTAACATATTAGACCACTAATATTTACCAGTGGAAATATCCTCTCAATAGGCTATGCCAACCAATGCATTAGCTCAAACTATGGCCCTGAGAGAATTACACAGAGATTCTGCAAGACTTTGTGGAAAGCAAATGGGGCAAATTTCAGGAATAGCCACCAAAAATAAAGACTCAAGAAAATGGAAAAGTTGGCAGCATAAAACACTAGGAAGATTAGATGCCAAAATATTAAGGCAAGGACTGTAACTAAGGCGAATTGCACTGTGGTGCCCATTCCAGAACATCTACCCCCTGCTCTCCCTTCACGCTGCAGGGCCTTACAACCAAAGCTAATTCCCAGAAAATCAATCTGGTTCTTGCAAAAACCAGATTGAATTAGGATTTTTGTTTACTATCTTTTACACTGAGGGTGGGCCAGGACACTTTTTAAATGTTGTGGTCTTTCTGCCTGTGGCTTCTTTTTAATCATTTTCATAAAAGATAGAAATATAATTTTAAAGTATTCAGCCACTATTATTTCCTCGAGGTGAGAGTCTTTCAAACCTTGAATTGCTTCAGGATTTGTAAAAATAATATCTCTTTAGCCAGGCACAGTGGATCACACCTGTAATCCCAGCACTTTTGGAGGCTGAGGCAGGCGGATCACTTGAGGTCAGGAGTTCAAGACCAGCCTGGCCAACATGCTGAAACCCCGTCTACAAAAATTAGCCAGATGTGGTGGTGCATGCCTGTAATCCCAGCTACTGGGGAGGCTGAGGCAGGAGAATCACTTGAACCTGGGAGGCAGAGGTTGCAGTGAGCTGAGATCACGCCACTGCACTCCAGCCTAGGTGACAGAGTGAGAATCTGTATCAAAAAAAATTAACAGTAATAATAATAATATCTCTTTAGAAGAAAAATTATATGTGCATGCACGCACACACACACACATACACACACACAAATAAACTGAGTAATTTGATCCTGGATGATATCAGCACTAAATAAGAAGTACCTAATTTCCACCAAGACACAAAACCAGGGATCTGTTGTTAGTTACAGCTTTAAAAGACTTCATGCAGGGACCAAGAGTGACAGGAGAAAAGTCGACCAGGATTGTTTTGCCTCCACTGTTTTCCATACTGCATGATGCCCCACATGAGTGCCTTTATTAGAAAGCCTCATGTCAAGGCTTTTTGTTCTTCTAGAATCCTCCATGAATAGAAATATAACTTGGAGAGGCAGTATCTTAAAAGCTGTCATCAACCAGTCACTTAAGCAGGATTATCTGAAAGCCAGCTGATAACAAGTACCAGTGTTAATAGGACACATGATAAGTGCTCCAGTGAAAAGGAGAGCACTAGATAAATGAAAGCCACCTAAAAATAATTAGAAATTGTAAAAGAAAAAAAGTCATTATAATTGTTCTCCAGATATCCCAGGGCTAGAACACCCTCTACAACCAATTCATAAAAAAAAAAAACAAGATGTAAAAATATGAGATTACGTGACTGTTTTTAGGAAAATATAATTTATGACTCAGATGAATTGTACTCTTCAAAGAAGTTGCCATGGGAGGGTGTAAACATTCCAGAAATGTTTCCATGATTAAAAGTGTCTATATATCTTCTTTATATAAACTCCTTGTTTTTTTGGAAATCGCTTCACAGCATCTGTCCCTCTATTTTCAATCTCCTCGATGATGGCAAAAGTTCCATCTGAAGGTGATTTGACATCTAAAAATAACTAAAAGTCATTTAGAGCCAAGAGTGAAGAATTCAGGGTGAACAGTTACAGTGAATAAGTTCAGTTTTGGTCAAAATCATAGAATGACTAAAATACAGTGAAGCTAATGGGAATTGCTCATTAACTGGTTCTAGGATTGACAATTAAAGAATTAATCCATTAGCAATCTGTTAAAAGCAAAAACTTGTTGAAATGTAAAGGAGGAATGTGAAGAAAAATACATCCCAACTCAGCTCCAGTGAGAATAGTTGATGCCCTATGGCCAAGGTTGCAAGACTGATGCAGGACTGATAAAGGAGAAGGAAATCAAAGCCATATTCTAACTCTTGTGAGCCAAGTGCCAAGTGTCATCCTTTCTAGGAATCAGTCAGTCCTTCCTCAGGGTACATATGGTTCCCATTATAACCCTTATCATACTACATTATAATTATTCCTGAACAAGTCTGTCTCCCCTACAAGACTGTCAGCTCCTGCTTCATACTACTAGTGTAATGGAACATTAATAATTGGGAGTTAAATAAATGAATGAACAACACCCATTGGACATGTAAATCATGGTTACATTATTATTACAGTCTTACTTATGGTCCCACCTTATTTCGAATCATATAGGTTAATGGAGACACAGCCTAAGGAAACTCTTTTGCTTTTACTGACCTTTAGTTATATGAATCAAGGAATGTTGGAAACTTGCTGATTTTTTTAAAAATGTAAATTTGTTAGTCTGTTAGTCCTTTATGGTTTTTTCAATGCAGCTGGGACACTGAAGTTGAAAAAACATTCAGTGTTTAAAATCCTACCACTTGGCTGCTTGGTAGATACTGACTTCTGACTTCCTCTGAGACAGTGAGAAAACAGCTTGGCGGGAAAAATGAAGATAGCAAAAGCTTACAGGATGCCACTGAGGAAAGAAAAGAGCAACACCTCAGACTATCATAAACTGACTGTTGTAGAGCATTCTAAAGAATCAACGGAGATAGATTGCCTACAATCCCATGTCTTTCAGGAAGATTGCCAAGTACAGAATTTCTACTTTGCCCACGTCATTATTCTAGTAATTTTCCTCCACAACTTGAAATCTAGTGAGATAGTTAATAATACTTATTCTGAAAGCAGCTTTCAAAAACGCCAATATTCCCCCAAAGTTTCAATGTTCACCAAACTGATTTTTTTTAGTTTGCAAAGATAAATTATGACTGATTTAAAACATAAAGTAGTTTGAGCTTGTTGAGGTATACGTGTGTGTGTGTGTGTGTGTATGTATGAGAGAGAAAGATTGAGAAGAAGGATTGAAGGAGCAGAGAATGCTATGTTTTATTCTGTAGGATTTTCCTCAGAGGCCGATATTTTTTCAGGTTTTTTCAACTATAAGTTTAGGAGAAAATGTAGTCAATCATAAAAGTACAGAAAGATACAACTTCCTATCTATATTCCCTTAGTACCTTTATTTCTATCTTTTTCCTTTGATGAAAAAGTCCCTCCCCCACCCAGTTTTTTTTTCAATTATTCAGTAAAAAGGCCCAGCAAGAAACCAGCTTAAGTGATAAAAAAGAAATAAGCCATTTTTTGAACCCCTGAGCAAAATCCTTGATTTTTTTCCTTTTGTAAATTAAGACTTTCCTCTCTAGCTCTGAAGCATATTTTCTCTCCTTTCTTCAATAAGACATTTCAGCTTTTGCGCAGAGTGATAAAATAATATGTCTTCAATTCTCCTCCACAGATGAATGCTAGGAATAAAATGTGACAATGTAACTCTGCTATTTTTGGTTACAAGATATTCTTTTCGAAAAATCTATTTTTTTCCTTAGGAAAATACTTAGCTTCAGTTTTTGGCATCATTATTTTATTTTTGTTTATATTTCCCACCATCTTCCCCAAAGCTAGTTTATTTACAATAACATGTAATCGATATTATATTAATCAATAACCAAAGTGTCACTTGGATTTTTATAGTGTCTTACATTTCCCAGAGAGTATTAGATGAATTAATTAAAGAACAGAGATAAAGAGAAGTTGAGTGATTTGCTCAACATCAGAGATCAAGACTAAAATAAATCTTGTAAAATCTGTATCTGCGTCCTAGCCAGGATTGTAACCACTAATATGATGGCATATTGTATGGTAAGTTATGTGGCTTTTAGATGTGAGGATCTTTCTGCATTTCAATTTCTTTTGATATGAAGCAGTATGTGATGAATATTCTTTTTCTTTCTCATATGAAGCCGAATTAAAACAAAATTCACAGCTCAAGTGGCAGCACTCTTTTAGTATACTAATGACAAAGATCAAAAGGGCATCACACCTGTCAACTCTGAACTCCAGGCAAGTTTCACAAATATGCATGATATAATAATTAGGACTAGAAATGTTTCTGAATTTCCTTTGTTTAGGCTTCACACAAATCACTCTCATTTTCTTTGCACAGCATCTCTGTAGCTTAAAATGTAGAACCCAGCATTTCTAAAGAGAAATGCATATAGCCATATATACATGTAGGTTGTAAAAGTACTATATTATATGGATCAATTTGTTTTTTCGAAGCCATGTCTGTTCTTCCTTCACGATGTGCATATGCTATCCTATTAACAGCAATACGACACAGTGGAGACATCAGACACTTCATATCCCTCCAGGGTGTGCCTTCATCTAATGATTAGCAAGCAATATTCTAGATAATATTTGAAATGGTAAGCATAAATTCTTCATTAAACTATTTGTCTGGCTAAGCAGTGCAGTTACATGATTATTTGCCACTAGGAAGCCCTGACTTGTGCTCTGACAATAACTGTTCTAATTTTACAAAAAAAAATCAAAAATCAAAATTAATAGCCATGAATTCTCAAGAACTGATAAACATACAATTTTATTATTAACTGTGTGAGGTGAGTGTTTACACTATTTTTTACTGAGGACTGAAAACAACTGCCACTTGTCTGAATGAATACAAAGACTCACAAGCGTATTCCTGGTGTATCCAGGAAACATCTTGCAAGAATGATAATAATAGACACAGAGCAAATCATAAATTTCATGAAGTTCTTACAATGAGATCATGCAAAACACGCTGCATCCTCAATCTTTTCTTCTTCTCTTGAACCCTCCTTGAAAGCATACAAATATTTTCATTGACGTTTATAGATTCAAAATTAATTGTCCACTTTCAGACACTAAATTTGAAACAGCTTTCCAAATCGAGCCAGATTGTTCCATCCCCTAATTTGCTTATACTCTACTCATATAGTAATTGCAGATTATATTTGTGGTGCCCACAGTCAGTCAGCAAATAACAAACACTATTCAACTTCCAGAGTTACTTGCCTCTAAGTTGGTTGTTTCCAACTGGGAGTTAAACTTTCAAAAGAATGATAAGGAGGTTATATGTTGGGCATTGGGACCTGCAGGGGATTGACTGGGTTCCTTACAATTTTAGCATACTTTATTTCCATTCCTAGGAAAAAATGCAATGGTGGCAATGTTTTAATATTTATTGTTGGCCAGGTGAAGTGGCTCACGCCTGTAACACCAGCACTATGGGAGGCCAAGGCGGGCAGATGGCTTAACATCAGGAGTTCCAGACCAACCTGGGTAACGTGGCGAAACCCTGTCTCTATAATTTTTTTTTTTTTAACTAGCCATATATGGTGGCACACACTTGTAGCACCAGTTATTTGGGAGGCTGAGGTGGGAGAATCACCTGAGCCCGAGTGACACACTCGGCTCTAAAAAAAAAACCATCTACTGTTGAGTAAACAAAACTCTATAAATGCATAAGTGGACTAAGGAAACAGCCTCGCATAGTTAATTCACTAGTTTTTGAAGTCTAAAATTTTAAATCATTCTAATGATATATCAACTCAGATCATATGTATTAAAAACATTATATAACCGATATCAAAGTTATATTACAAAGATCATATTTTGAGATATCTCAGTTGAAAAAAAATCCTACAATGAAAAGCATCATCCACACATGAAGAACACAATGTCACAGCAAAAAAATCACTGCACCATTGCTTTCATAAAGAATTAACTTCAGATGGGCTTTGGTATTGCTTATGTACACTTTAGCTGATTAAAAATGTTTCATATTCTTTGAAAAAAAAGCATGTATCATAAAAATTTATATAAATGCTTTTAATAAGAAGTAAAATGATATTTTTTAAAAAACTGTTAGATGACATAGGTCATATTTTAATTGACTATTTAATAACGAACAACTAATTTAGGTAAAACTAGAATCTTGTATAAGTAATTCACTTTCACTTTATTTTCTTTCAAACATTGTGAAAGATTAAAAAAAAACCTCAAGAGAAAAACATGTATCTTTTTTTTGTAAAAGGTAAACAAAATGTACTTTTAAAAAAATCCTAGTCAAAATGTTATTCTCTATGAAAAGGCATTTTCCTATCCTGAATCAATTGGCAATCAACAAAAATAATGAAATTATTTTTTCCTACCTGTACTAATGATATAAATAACAAACTATATACATAATGAGTGAATTGAAGAATATTGAAATAAAATAATGAAAAAGAAAAAATATTTTATGAAGTGTTTCCCAAAAGCACAGGATAAAACTGGTCTAATATGCATCTTCCCATCTTTTGTTTTGCATAAGGTAAGATTTAAGGTGAAACTATTTTTTAAAAAATTGGACAGAGTGACCTAATTTCAAGAACATAGTACAAGATACTAAAATAGCAAGGTTGAAATATCACTGAAGGGAAGAGAAGCAAGGGAATCCAATTCCATTCTCACAGAACTAGTTGGCTGTAAAATAGATGTGTTCCCTCTACTTCATATATGCACAGTGGCAGAGAGAGTGGCCTCTGCAGCCCAACTGTCCTTACCTAAACTTCAGTTCTATCACTTTACAAATTGTGTGACCATGAGCAAGTTACTTAACGCTGCTGCACATTGCTTCGAAAACTAAAAATGAAGATAATTATAGGTGTTGCTTTATCATTATTATCACTATTTAATGAGTTAATATATGTGAAATATGTTGACCAGTGCCTAAAATATAGTGTGCAATGCAAGTTTAGCTATTTATGTATTTACATATTATCATTGATATACTATTTACATATTACAACACTAAAACTGAAACTCCACGAAGGAAGAAACTTTTTTCTGTTTCATTTACTACTTTTTCTCTGGTGCCTGGAATAGACCTTAAGCATAATTGGCATATAGTAGTGATTCACTATTTTCTTTCTGAAATGTCAACCGCATTACCTCTTTCTGTGTGTTTCATGTATGTATATGTATATATGCATATGAATACGTCCACTACACATAAATACATACACACATACATTTCTTATTAAAGGTAAAACATTAAAGAAAACATCAAGTTTTAGTAACAGAGTAAATTTTAATATCCTTGACCTAACAGTATAAGCATTAGTTTGGGAAAAATCCAGACATTACCATCTATTGTTCCTAAATCCAACAGAAATACCATCTCTGTATATGAAATTGATCCTTGTGTTCAACAGTTAAATACACTGAAAAACAGATTTAGATGCAATTTAAAAAATATATATTTGTTTATACCATCATTATTGCCATTTCCCTCAACAAGGGAACTGTTAAAGTTTATAATATTAATTGTAGAGGGTCAAATGTAAAATTAGCTCTAGAAGCTTAGAAAGGTACTTCTTAGAAAAAGTCTATTCGCTGTTACATTTTGTTGCCTAGAAATGCTGACCAAAGGAAAAGAAGGAGGAATTTCCCCTTCTGGACTTTGATGAGTTTATCCTGTATTACCCTCACAAAGTCATCACTCCTACAGCACACTGGAACACAGATATATATATATAATATATATATAAAATATATATATTTTTATATATAAAATATATATATATAGTTCCAGGTTGCTCATTATTAATTTTATCATGGGAAATTTTTATTTTATTTTAAACATTGAAAAGCACAAAGGGAACAAAAGCATAATTTTTAATTTGTCCATGGATTGGTCTCATGATAAAACGTGTATTGCATGCGTACATAATAATCGTGAAGAGTCACTCAGAGCGTGGTACCAGCCTTGGTTACATGCCTGGCAGTTTCCATATGCCATGAGAAATCAGACCCACTGGATCTATGTCAGACCAATTATGCCACTGTGCATGAAAATCCACTGAGACTGTGCTTTCATAAGAAGAATATTAAGACTACATTTCTGTTTCAACTGACTCCCTCTCCACTTAACTCCTATTGCTTTTCATTTTAATGCTGAAAATGCACTAAAATTTTAAGACTAAATATGAATATTGCCATTAAAAAGAACTGTTAAATTTGTGAAACAGTTTTTAGACTGTTTCATGTAAATGTTGATTTTACATTAATTAATATACCCTCATGCACTTATTGGTTAGCAGAATTAAGAAAAAACTAAGATGTTATTTAATGTCAGAAATCTCCATGAAAGCTTAACATTGCAGACAGCAGTCAGTGATGTGCCTAATAAGTTAGATATAGTAAGCTAAACAATGTATTTTAAATTTGATGCCCATGCAAACGTAGTATAGATTCATATATTTTTCACAAAAACGATAGTAATTGTACCTTTTTTTTTTTTCAATTTAAGAACAGATCCATAAGGTTGGTTTTTTGGAGCTCATCAAGGGAAGGAAAGTTTCCTTTAAAATGGGAAGCGTACTTTCCCAGGAATGGACGGGCTGTGTGTAATAAAGACAAGCTCATGAAGAAACAATGGTCCAGTCCAATGTGTTTTTGCTCAGAAAATAATAGATTCTGTCATGGACTAAATCATGCCCTGTATTCTCCAATGTGACTGTACTTGGAGATAGGGCCTTTATGGAGAAAATTAAGGTTAAATGGGGTACTAAAGTTAGGGCTCTAATCTGATAGGACCAGTGTTCTTATAAAAAGAGGAAGAGACACCAGAGCTTTCTCTCTCCACTCAGGCACAGAGGAAGAGTCACCTGAGGATGCAAAGAGAAGGCAGAGACCTACAGCCAGTAAGAGAGACCTCATCAGAAACTGAATTTGCCAGCACCTTGACATGAGACTTCTAACCTCCCAAACCAAGAGAAAATTAACTTCTGTTGTTTAAGACACCCGGTCTGGGGTATTTTGTCATAACATCCTGAGTAGACTCACATAGATTCTCTCTACTAACCTGGATTTTTTCAAATGTAAAAAAGAATGTTATCAAACTATTGTGAGTTTTTCCTATACTACCTAGTTTATGACAACAAGCTTTACCTCTCCACCTTTACCAGGGACATGTCAACAGCACTGAAAGTCATTCTCACAATACCCAGTGCCTACTGGTATATGTGGAAGGCCACACTCGGTTGATGCACCTTGATCTGAAATTATTGTAACTTTGAAGACAGTGACTAGGATAAGAAGCTATCACAAGATCAAACAAGTGATAAGTGTAACAAATACATACACACACACACACACACATATGTATACATACGTATTTTTTGAGACAGGATCTCCCTCTGTCACCCAGGCTGGAGTGCAGCGTGAACACAGGTGACTGCAGCCTCAACCTCCTGGGCTCAAGCGATCCTCCCACATTTGCCTCTCAAAGTGTTGACATTACAGGTGTGAGCCACTGCACCCAGCCTATATTTTAAATATAATATATTGAAAACGCCCCCAAAAGTGTAAATGCAACTGAAAAAGAGGTTAGAGAAATTCATAGATAATTAGAAATATTCTCTTCAGTTGCTTTAGTGCTTCAAAAAGTTGCAAATGTTTTATATGACTCCCATAAACCCTGTCATGTAATCAGAGCAGGAGTTATAATCTAAAGTGACAGAAGAGGAGTTTCCAGAGACTTCAAGACTTGAACGGGACTTCACAAGGTCACACCAGCCAATCAGTGACAGAGCTGGGGCTAGAAGGCAGATTTAGATTCCCTCATCCAGCTTTAGTTTTCTATTTTTCCAGAGACCTTTGAGGAGTAAACCAGTAAGAAGGTGGTAAGAATTTCAAAAGCTGTAACTCCCAATTTCACTAGCGTAGCTTACATTTTGCAATCAGAATGGAGAATAGGGGTTAGTGTTAAAAACTCAGGTTTCTAGGCGATAGAACAGACTTCCTAGAACTGATTTTCTGAGAATGCGGCATGCAAAACCTGCATTTAAAATGACATTTGTGGCCGGGCGCGGTGGCTCACGCCTGTAATCCCAGCACTTTGGGAGGCCGAGGCGGGCGGATCACGAGGTCAAGATATCGAGACCATCCTGGCTGACACGGTGATACCCCGTCTCTACTAAAAACTCAAAAAAATTAGCCGGGAGCAATGGCGGGCCCCTGTAGTCCCAGCTACTCGGGAGGCTGAGGCAGGAGAATGGCGCGAATCCGGGAGGCGGAGCTTGCAGTGAGCCGAGATCGCGGAACTACACTCCAGCCCCGGCGGCAGAGCGAGACCCCGTCTCAAAAAAAAAAAAAAAAAATAAATGAAAATAAATAAATAAAATAAATTAAAAAAACTAAAATGACATTTGTGCCAGATAAAAATCACAGGCCTATTACACTTGGTTAACACAGTCGCACACCACATTATGAGATCACCCCGATTTTTTAAATTAAAAACAGTTTTAATTCCATTTAATCTTTATTGTTTTGCTAAAAGATTACAGGTAAATAAATGAAATATATTATCTCTCAAATTATTGAAATATTTAGTCCATCCAACCAGTATGGGGTAGGAGAGCTCTTTACATTTGGTCTGCTCTAAATATTCCACAGATTTTTGTTATTTGTATTTTTTCAAGTTTCTTCCAACAGTGAAAAACAGGCCTTTGTTATCCTCTTTAAGTCTCAGCTTCCTCCAGTTAAGTTAGGGTAAGAAACCACTGTGTGGCAATAATGTGTCAAAAGTGGCAACTATTTTTACTATACTTGTCTAACAGCAGTAGAGAGGAGTCGGGTATGGTGCCACGCAGTTTTTCTGCTTTCTTTTTCCCCTTTTTCTTCTTTGTACTCCTCTATCTCCCATAAGTATGAGAGCAGAAAATGAATGGAGATGAAGCAGTTAGACTGAATTTTCTAGCCTGAAAACAAAAACCAAACCCAAACAAGCCACTTGGTCTAAATAGGAAGAAGTGGTTTCCTACTTTTTCACACGAATCTTGCAATCATATAGCATGATGTTTACTGGCATCCTTATGGTCACCAAGGCCCTGGCCCAAAATTCCAGGCCACAAACATTTGCTTTTGTCAGGCTTGAACATCCTTCGCTGATAGAATCTCACCCTACCTCCCCAACTCCTCGCTAGAATTCAAGATACGTTAACACAAGTCTCAGTCTTCTAAGCTACCCAAGGTTACCCCATCTTTCCTCAAGGCCCTAATCAAAATTCCCGTTTCTTAAGGACTATTGATCTCTGTGAGTTGCTGACCTAGTTATCCACTTAGAGCAGTTTACACCCTGGCGAGCTAAAGTCTGAACCAAACTGCTTCAGGGGTCACTTACGGTCAGTTACACTTTAAAGGAGGAGTCCTTCGAAAATTCTGGGCTGCTCAGAAGTGACTTTCAGTTGCAAGGCATCGCTCTGCTCTCAAATCACTGCCCGTTGCTCTCAAGATACGGCATATACGTCCTTGCTTAGTAAACCAAGATATGCCCCGCCTCACCTTTAAACATGGCTGCTTGACATTTGACTGAACAAAGATGGAAAGTTTATCGGTGAGCATGGATTAGCACAACGAAGGAATAATATCTGCAGGAATATATCAGTTGACGAAAACAGAGGTTTGTGGGTGTGTTTGTGTGCACATGTATCTACATCTTCTCCAGATAATGATATTCAGAAAAATGCTAAAAACCTGTACGTTTTTGTGATTGTTCTTCATACCCCCTCAAAATGTCAAAGTGTACTGTACGACCAGTGCGTCTCTTACTTGCCTCAAACATTTGCTTGAGTTTAGCTTGTCTAAGGCTTCCGTGCTTACACCACCAAGGAGAAGAAGGGAAGCGGGGAGATCAGAGAATTGCCCATGTGCTACCGAAACAAGGGTCACACACCACACAAGGAAGGCAGGGACTCCGGCCAACACAGCAGGTAGACTTTCATCTTGGAGACACCCACCCAGCAGGGGCAGAAAATAGCAACTATGAGATTCTCAGAGCCTAATATAAAATAGCCACCCCATATTCCAACAATCCAATGTGGATGGATCTGCAGGCTACCTAGCAACAAAGCCTAGGCCCTTTGTTTATTTGTTCAACAAGCATTTATGAGTGCCTCCTCTAAGCCCAGCACTCTACTGGGCACTGGAAATACTGTGATGGCAAAAAAAACTTGACAGCAGTCCCTCTGAGCTTCATGTCTCCCTTGCCTCATATATATTATTTTTCATTGTCCTATGTATGAAGACAGGGAACTTATTCTAGTTGTTGTTGTATCTTCACTCCAAAGCCTTTCAGTGTGTATTAAAGATACAGAAAATTATGGCCAGGCGCAGTGGCACAAGCCTGTAATCCCAGCACTTTGGGAGGCCAAGGTGAGTGGATCACTTGAGGTCAGGAGTTCAAGACCAGCCTGACCGAAATGGTGAAACTGCATTTCTACTAAAAATACAAAAAATTAGCCAGGCATGGTGGCAGGCACCTGTAATCACAGCTACTTGGGAGGCTGAGGCAGAAGAATCGCTTGAACGTGGGAGGCAGAGGTTGCAGTGAGCCGTGACTGTGCTGCTGCACTCCAGCCTGGGCAATGGAGCCAGACTATGTCTCAAAAAAAAAAAAAAGATAGAAAATTAATACATTTTCTAAAAAATGAATGGATTAAAAAAGTCACGCACATCAAAGAAAGTGTTTTGCAAAGTTGCAGATAGAAAATTATTCCCAGAGAGATATTTCCAACTGTGGAATTGCTCCCAAAAGACTTTGGTAGGTTTTTTGTGTGTTTTTTTTTAAGATAACCTAAAAAATAAAGTTAGGGTTATAAAGTGATTTGCCTAATTCTTGAGGGTTTTGTTTTTTAATCACATATGTGGCTGTAGTTCATAAGTCCAGTCGAATAATTGGATCTCCAAATTAATCCCACAAGCATGATTTTTTAGTAGTATGAAGTGCAGTTTGTGACTCAAAATGTTTGAAAAACTGGACCTGTTTTAAGGAATTCTTCTATATTCCAAAACATACATTTCAAAACTTCCCTCAAATGTTTTCAGTACTCTTGAATTATGACTGAATATTTTTTTTCACAGACGTTATAAGGTTTTTAAGTTAGTTACATTAGAGTCGTGAAAAACCTGTTCATTATTTCAGTATCCTCACCTTGGTAAACTGGTGCTTTTCCTCACAGTTTGTTCTGTGGTACAAATAAGCAAACATGTATTCAATGCTTTGAAGTTTAAGAAGCATGATACAAATATAAACTATCATTTTTCTGTCCAATGTGGTGGTGGACACCTGTAATCCCAGCTACTCAGAGGCTGAGGGAGAAGGATCCCCTGAGGTCAGGGGTTCGAATCCAACCTGGGCAACATAATGAGACACTTGTCTCTTAAAAAAATAAAATAAAATTTTTAAATGAAACGAAGTAACATTTTTCTGCCCTGTTATCATCTTTATAATATATTAATTCCATGAGGGCAAAGACTCTATCTTATTATTCTTTTAGTACCAGGACCGGTACTGATAGATAAAGGAAAAAACTTTATCCAAAGGATGAACTACTCTAAAATAGACCAGTCTCTAGCATCTCATATTCCTTCTCAGATTTTGAAATGGAGAATTAATTATTGTCTTCTAGTTTAAAATAAAATATCCACATGCTAAACTATACAGGGTAATATGTGGTTTGCTCTGTCTAAACCTGTCCGTTGTCCACAGGCACCTCCATAAATGGTAAGTTCCAGTAATTACAAAGGAGACTCACTGACCTAGAGACCTGAGTTTGATAGCAACAGCTGGGTGAGGAATAGCTGGGGAGGCGCTGGGCATGGTAAGGGACTGGGGAAGGGGGACTGGGAATCTGTATCTGGTCAATAAACCAATGGCACGTGTTCAAAGATTTTTTGTTTTTAATCACAAGAATAGTAGAGGAATGGTAATAGACTTCTCAAAAGCTTTTTACTGTTGATAAATGTTGCTGTAATCAGTATGCTGTTGATCATTCTGATTCAGCTTAATAGTACACTAAAATCCTTGAGAGTGTCAGCATTTTTTTTTCTTGCTTTGATTTACTATGTTTTTCCAGTCATAATAGTAAATAGCCATAACTTCCTACCCCAGTCTAGAGTGCTGGTTCTCAAACCTTTTCAACTGCTTCCACAATAAGATATATTTTTAACATAGCAACCGAGAACAGAAACACACACCTCCACACAAACACAACTGAAACAAAAATTGCACAAGTCAATATTTACTCTTACTATGGGTGATGTACTCTGAATTTTTCTATTTTATTTTGTACTTTTCTAATTGTGGTAGAGACTCAATAAATTGATTCATACCTCAAGAGTGTGTTGCAACCTGTTTAGAAAATGCTAACTTACAATGTTCTTCTTTGTGAAGGTATTCATAAATATCACTTCTATGTGATTGCACATTAAATTAACCCAAAATTCTAGACTTTGATTTTTCTGTAATTTGTTTTTGAGTTGATATGACTTGTTACGGGATTTACATTTGAAGAATATCTAGTGACGTTTACTATTTGGAATGAGGAAAACAGCATTTTCAAGAAGCAGAGATTGGTAAGGTTCCTTTCACCAGTTTCTTACACTAGTCCTTGTGTTCAAAACAAAATGAGAGGTTGAGGATAATTAAGTTTTATACAGAAATCTTACTGTACTTGCAGTGATGTTTCTGAAAATTTCCCTTTTGCAAGATTAAATACACAGCTTATAAAATGAAAATCCTCAGGTATACATTAGAGATTCACAGGGGTTACAGTGCATTTCCTATCACTTCCAATGGCCTTCCAATATTTATTTATTTATTTTTCTTAAGTGGCTATTATATTGAGAGTGATTCACCAAAAAATCTTGAGAATTTGGCATTCTTAGTTCCCAAATTTGTGGAAAATTTTAATAGGGCAGACAGCGTGGTAAATGTATTACAAAATTATTAAACTTTACATATGGAACACTTATTTTCTAGGCTATTTTCTAGGCTCATAAACACATACGACATAACAAATAAAGACATAAACATACAAACATAAAGAGGTAGAGGGGCCATCCAGAGGACTCCCTGACCTACCTATAATATTGCTTATACAACTAAAATTCAGTCACTTGCTCTCTCAATAATATGTAACATGCTGAACTCTTTGAAGCTGCTTGAGTTTACGTTATCTGACATCAAATAGGATGTTTAATAAATATGGACTTCTGATAAACGTAGTCCATAAAGAACAGAAAGCCACATATTCCTTCCGAATGTGACTACAGTGACTTTAGCAAATGAAAGTGAAAAGTTCTAAATTTTCTTAAAGAATTAAAAAATAAATTCAAAAATGATATAAATATCTTGGTCACTATTTCAAGATTAAGAAAAAAATCAATCCATTACAGTGCCCATTATAAATATAAAAAATTAATTTCTCAAACTTGTTTTACAGACAATATTTTTATAAATATTGCTCAAAGTTCCAGCATATATATATATATACACACACACACACACACATATATGGAAACACACACAAACACACAAAACAGCATTTAAAAATACACACACAGAATGAGCAAAAGATATTATCCTTCACTCTAACAAAACTATCTGACAGGCCTGTGATTACATGGCACTTAAAAATATTGATCAATTTAGATTTTTATTCAAAATCAGTATTTAATGTATTAAAGACAAAGACATAAGAGGCTGAATTTCCCTTTGTTCACACAAAGTCTCAAACTTATTGTTGCAATATGCTTTTGGATTTTTTAAAAGACATCACTGTTACGTCTAATAGGTGCTAACCGCCTCTTTAAGAATGGAATTTCTGGTGACTCAGACATCCATTAGTAGCACATTTCTGCATTAATACTGTTTCATACATTTATTTTATTTTCATACTATTTTTCTGTATATGAGAAAGAAAAAGACTCAAAAATAAAATGTACAACAAGTGGAACAAGCAGTGATTGGCTGACACCCCACGGCCAAGGGCAGGCTCCAGCAGGTTTCGGAGTAGAAAGGTCATCACAGTATGGTGCATAATGGAGCATCATATTAGAGTGGAATTCAGCCAAACACAGTAATGTATGGATGTAGACGCATCTGAAAGAAGGAAAATAAAGATTTATGCAGGTAAAAAAAAATCGATAAAGAAATTTTCCCCAGTGTCTTATGCCCAATTGGAAAGCTTTAGTAGAGATTTCGGAGCTAAGAAAAATTTTAATGCCAACTTTGTGTTTGTAAATAATAAATACACTTGGGGGGTGGGGGAAGTTAACTTGTCAGAGGAATCCTACCTGGGAGCTTTAATAGCTTTTTGTTTGTACACAGCATTAGAGTTCAATACAAACATCACTACATTCCTGAAAATAAACCTTGATTCCGCCTTTAAAACATTAATTCACCAGAAGTGATAATTAAGATTAGTTTTAGTGGTTTCAGCTCAATTCTTCTTAGAATGTGATTTTTCCCACAACACTAATGCTAAATAAAGCACAGTGTAATGTACCGCAAAAGAGTCACTGCTTTAGAAAAGATTCTATGGGTTTTTTTAAAAAAACTAAGAAAAGCAAAGCTTACTCTAGATATATGGGAACAGCTCTTACTATTTCTATAGAGTCATAGTAAATAAATGAATGGGAAACCTTGCCATAGTCTAGAAATCGATTATACACTCTTTATACATGACTATTCTAAACAAAGTCATGTTATATATTTAAAGTTATATATATATTTAAAATACTGTATATAATTATACTAAATCTCCTACATAATCTCCACCACCACATCCTCCCAGGAAAGAAAAGATGTTAAAATGTTTAATAGAGTAGATTGCTGTGTTGAAGTAATGGCTTTGTCACACTATATTTAGTTTTTAAAATAGTTCAGATTTTATTTTTAAAATTAATAGATTCAATAATTTATATTTTATCACTGTGCAAATTTAGAATCTAGTACACTAGATTGGTTAACTGCCTAACAAGGAAGCAATCCAATTGAAAGTTAACAAAATGTCATATTCTTCTAAAAACTTGCTAGAAAACAAATTAAGAGAAAACATTCGTGCATGACTGTGTGTTAAGGATGCTACTAAAATAAAATGTATGTGCAAAGTTGATAAAATGCACACAAGCCCAGAAGTCAAAAGTAATTATCAATATTGATGAAAAAGGTAAAAGATTATCACAATTAGAATGCATAAAAAGTTTCATACATAATGTGTAGAATGTTTTAATTCTTTTCTATTTAAATGAATTTTTATTGAAATATACTAATTGCTAGGAAGGAACTTATGTCTGTTATCATTGTTCTGCTAATATTAAAAATTCTGTCAACAGAATATATGTTCTTAACCATGTTAAGATGCTTTACTCTATGTTATCAATTACAATCCTACATGAGGGAAAAGAATTATTAACTTCTTTAAAATTCTGTAAATTTTGAATTATATTTTCCCAGATAATTTTACACAGAAGAACTGGAGCCTAAAGCAGAATTATAGTCTATTGTAAAGATGTCAATCTTCATAGCCAAATATATAGTCATAAATAAGTAAGTAAATTTCAACAGATTTCTACTGCAATTGAAATACACACACAGAAAGTTACAGAAATTCAGTTTTTTTCCCCCAAAGGTAGTATGATCAGATAAATAAGAATACTGGACACTACATTCCATAACTTGGACTCTAGTCCACATTATATCCCTGACAATTTTGTAATCCCAATCAAGTCACTGTTTCATGCTGGGCCTCAGTCTCCTCTTCTATTAAAATGAGGGGACTGTTTGACACCTTGTAATTCTAAAATGTGATGATGCTAGTGATTTCATGTACAGTCATTAAGCTGTTGATTATAGTATATTTTATTTCAACATTGTGTATGTTTAAGCTTAGATATTTTTCACATATTAATCTATAAACATCATGACTAAATAAAAGACTAATACAGCTATAAATGGTATACACTAATATGTGTGTATATGTCTCTGTGTGTACAGAGTTTGTGATATAAACCATGTTCACACTTTTTCACATACGAGATATGTAATTACTCAAAGATAGAAGGATAAGAAAAAATGATTTTGCCATATTTATTGTACTAGATGGCTCATTAAAATATTTAAACTGACTTTGTGGTCTTACATCTAAGTCATTAATTGGTTTAGGATAAGTTTTGGATAAGATTCAAATAATCATGTGGACTTCCATATAAATTTGCAAATTCATTGCGGATCAAATCAATGGATGACCTTTTCCTTATTTCATAGACATCCAGAGATCCAGATAGTGTTGCTTTACTAGATGACTAAAGACACAGCCTAACTTCCATCAGCTATTAGTGTTTTGCCTATGGTATCAGGCCAAATGTAACGGAAATTACAACATATGCAGATTCATTGTGCCTTATGAAAACATCCTTGGTTATAGACAGGAGAAAAACATTGTAAAAATTATGCTTACAGAATGAGCACTGGAAGCTATGGTTGGCATCACTATGTAGATGCATTTCCACTAAAGAATATATATATATGCTCTCTCTCTCTCTCTCTCTCTCTCTATATATATATATATATATACATATGTATGTATACACACACACACACACACAAATGAATTGACATTTAGTTTTCTTATTGCTTAATAGATGACAGCAAGTCAACCATTTGCTTCCAAAATTGAAGCAATTAAAAAATTCTCCCAAATTTTTTCACTAGGTATACAATGAATATATTGAACATAATTCGATCACTAAAGAGAACATTATGAAGACAAACTGAAACTGTCACTGAAGTTAATGTAAATTTTTTGTATTTCAGGATCAGCTGCAAGTGGATTTTAAAATGGATGTTTATTCAAACTAAGCTCTTGCCAAAAATAAATTACCTTACTTTCCATTTACTAAATACAATAAAATTTTTACTTGTAAGTGCATTATCTAAATAACAGCCTATCAAGGATAAGCTCAATAGAATTCAAGAATAATAAGCAAAATAGTAACTGTACTTTTCATACTATCACTCTTTGGGGGGATTACATTATTTTAAAAGAAAATTGAAAAATGCTTAGCACATAGTAAAATACCAGAGACTTAAAAATAAACAGAAAAATAGAATGCGTATGCCTTTATGTTATGAATGAAAAACACAGTTGTACTTCTAGTTCACAAAAGTTTAACAACTACCAAGACCAGGTTTACCAAGGAAGAATGAAACAGAAAGGTGGATACTTAATCTCAATCATGCTGTCAATGATCCACATTTTGCTCAGCTAAACACATTATTTAGCTGAGAGCAAAGGCTTTTGTTTGAAATGCAAAGGTATGAACTATGAAAATTTGGGCTACATCATCAGTGAGTTTTTCTAAAGTGTGAATTTCGGAAATAATTCCAGCAACTCTACCACACACATTTCCTAGAGTCTGCCATAGAAGCTTGATTTGAATGGCTCTCAAGTCTATGTAAACAAAACAAAAAGTAAGCAGTTAAGGGAGAGTATTATTTACAAACTTTCATTTCTACAAAGCTGTTTAACCTATTATAATGAAAACAACAGGACTTAGGTTCAACACTTTAAAATGTCTAATTTTCATGAAGATAAGAACACTCTTAAGAAACATCACTTTAATTTTTTCACAAATAAATAACTGCAATAAGGCAATTCAGGAAAACTATAAATAAAATGAATGTAAAATGAAATCTCAATTTTTAAATTAGACCCTGCTGTATGGAATTGAAAGAATACAACAGTCTAGTTTTACCTTAGATAAATCCATTTATCAAAAGAAGGAAATTCCCGCGAAACCCTGAATTCTCTTTTTTTCTTTTATAACATCAGGTTTAATCAAAGAAAATATATTTTGGCAGTTCTGTAAAAATTAAAGGTCATATATTTTAAAAATAAAAATAGGAAATTGTCTACTTATGGCACAAACAAAAAGCAGAACAAAAAGGATCCCATTTATGTCAGATGTCAAAACGGAATGTAACTTTGTAAATGGATCCCTTGTCCCCTGACAGCAATATTGAGGAGATGAAACATATCAATTACTATTACTAATTACATTAAGGGGAATGTGTTTCATCTGCCTTTATTTCATTTTAGGTCAGCTATTTACTTGGGGTTAAAAGTGTATACTTCTTTTGAATATGTAATGACAGAAAAGTTTTCCAAAGTCACTTTTGGCAAACTGTGTGATTCATTCCAATTGCTTTGAGGGTTTTCTCTTTTGGAATGTGGACTTCTTTACTCAGTTAAAAGGCTAACACCATATATTAGTTTATTTATAAGCATATCACTTTGCCTTTTAAACAGGATGCCAACAGTCTTGATATTAGCTGTTTTAAATATTCAAGCATATAGAGCTAACCTCATCTGATGAGCCAAATGAAGCTTAAGTAACAGCACAGAACATATGAAGTGTTTGCATAAAATATCCATAAAAGTGTCACTTGATATGTCCATTCAAAAGCATAAGATTACACAATTTAGAACGCAAATGCTATCCAGACACAGGACAGAAGTACCATTAGGATAAGAACCGAGGTGTAAATATTCTGCAGACAGATCTCTTCACACTCCTTTGCATTAGGTGTTACTATTTTCTAGAGAAATGTCTACAAATCTCAATTTATTTTTGAGTGTTTAATCTGTAAAAAGTGCTACCATTTTAGCTAGAATCTTCCTTGTTTACAACACCAATAAAAGCACCAAAACAACACAAAAATCAGCTTCTCACTCCATGTAACACAATAATACAACAGATATAAACACTCCACTATGTCAAATGTTGGTTTAAAATAAATAAATAATTCAAATTCACATACACCAAAGGACATATTTTCAAAAGCCATTTAATGCAAATGTAGTTTGAACTGGTGTTTTCTTGGATTGCATTTGTTATTAGATATAAAAGTATATTCAGACTGTTTCTCCTTATCTGAATAGCTACAGTAAAGTACTATATACAGAAAATATTTATTTAAAATACTAATTTCAATAATCATGAAAGCAATTAAGAATTCATATCTCTTTCTATAACTATAATCTTCAATGAGGCTATAAAATAACTTTTTCCTTTGCCTCAATTCTTCTCGGATTCCACATTCCACATGCAAAGCATGTTTAATAGAAATTAGATTGACAATCATAACTGTGTTTCTTGAGATGGGTTCTGACAGTAAGAAATACGTAATGTTTTATTAGCTGAGGTTGCTGTACCATGAGACACAGTCCTTTCCAAAAGGTCTTGTTTGCTGTGTGGCAAACTTTGGTAGATATACAAAGTAAACTTTCTGAGGATGCTATATTACACGAGGAAAACTTTCAAAAATAAATTTCAGATTTGCTTAAGTTCCGCCTCAGAATATATGTATTTTTTACTGTTTCCACATTTCACTGAGAAACTATTATGTCAAATATTCCACATAATCTTTACATTCTCAATATATCATAATGCATACCAAAATAGTCTTGCACACAGTACATCAATCATGAATATTTTCATTACTTGGCTTAAATAATAAATGGCTCATGCAATGTATTTTTGTTTGCAAACTTTTAATACCAAACAGAAAGAATGCAAATGGTAATTGCATATCATTATAGAACACTAATTGTTATAGGTATCGATTATTATAGATATAAAAGATTGAAAGTGGAGTTTTGCATGACATTTGCATATCAGTAAATATTTTTAAACCAGCAGTTTCATCAAAGTAGTCAGTATTTCAATATCTCAGACTTAGTACTACATCTGCATGAATCAGCATCTATTTATCTGTAAAATCCTGCATTGTAAATAACATAGCTAAAACTTCTATGGAATCCAATTTGCATAGACACCAGTAGTAACTTTAGAAACTTTTTCTCTGGATGTAATTATCCACTTAGTTGCCACAGAAGAAAATAATTTCAGGTGAAAACTAACCATCTAAGTAATACACACATATTTATTCTGGAAACAAAAAAATGTAGTATGAATTAGGGATGTCAAGTGCAAAGAGAACTGCCAAACACTGCCTACTCTGAATACTTCTTTCAGTAGTTTAGTGAACCTTAATTCTAATTTGCAAAATACAGTGGTATACCTCTTGTAGATGGCCTTTGCTAAATTAATGGTGCAAAAATTAACATTAAATTCCTACTGTTAAAATTTTAATAACTTTAAAAACGAGAAGACAAAACTTTACAGAAGATAATCTGTCTCAGAGTTATTAGCCCTCCCTGGGATATTTAAATATATTTGGGATACATCTTACCTGTTTGCTGTACTTGTTATTGGTTTGACAGCTGTACTCAGAGCAGTGATCTGATCCAATTGAAATGTTGTCTCCTGCTCCCACAAATGTGTTGGCTGGTGGTAGATCTTGTACGGCCTGGTGTTTTTTTCCTGCAGTTGGTGACTGGGGATGAAGCTGAACAGTAGGCAATGGGGAACTAGATTTGTAATGCCTTGCCAGGTCAGGACTGCCGGGCCCACCATTAACGGACCTGTATCGCCCCATGCTTGGGCTGTCTGACAGCTTCTCATTGACACTATCATACCTCTGTCCATTTGGCTTAGAAGCCTCCACAGTGACAATGCTGCTGTAGAGAGGCTGCTTAGATTTTTTGTTTTTCTTGTCCTTTTTAGGCTTTTTAGATTTGTCATGCTGTTGGGGTGTAAAAAAGTCTTCGTGATCTTTTTTGCCGGCTTCATAGCCATTTTTATTTTTGGACCTGCAGTACCTTGCCATCACTACAATTAAGATGATTAGAATCACCGTCATAATGCCAGCAACCACGCCAATGACAATACTGAGTCTCTGTTTGCTAATTTCATAGCTTGGGTCACCAGCTATATCCTGGGTGAGTGGGATGTGCAAACTTCTAGCTATCTGGGAGTCAATCGCAGTTGCATTAGAAACACTTTCATTGACAAACACGTGCACCAGAGTCGTGGTGGACTGGGAAGGCTGCCCACTGTCATTCACTTGCACCACCAACCTGTGCAAGCCATAATGCTTTTGGGTGAGTTTTCCCACTAAGGAAACCACACCACTAGTGGGATCAATTTCAAACAGCTTGAAGGGATTTCCTCCCACAATGCTGTAGTTCAGGTCTGCATTGATGCCATCATCACTGTCTGTTGCCAACACTGTAGCTACTACTGTCCTGACATTACTCGAAGGTGGCAGTAAAGTGTAGGAAATGTTTTTGGGAAGGGTAACTGTGGGAGCATTGTCATTTTCATCCATCACAAAAAGCGAGACTGTAGCTGTGGCAGATCTGGGAGGATCTCCCCCATCCACAGCCTTGACTCTGAAAGTGTATGTGGTCTGATGTTCCCGGTCAAAAGACATTGTGGAGTAAATGGTCCCCGTGTCATTTTCAATAGAAAAAATGTTATTGTTCTCCTCTATGTACAGGCTCATCTCTGCATTCCGCCCCTTGTCAGCATCCATCACGGTGACCATCCCCACAGGGCTGTTGGGCTGCAAGTTTTCTTTCACATAAAAGGTGAAGACGTCCTGCATAAACTTAGGGTCATTGTCATTTTTATCAGCCACCTGCACAATCACCGTAGTGCTGCCCTGCAGCACGGGGATGCCTTTGTCTTTGGCGTTAACTTTAAACTCATACCTGTCAGTCTGCTCGCGGTCCAGCACGGTATTGACCAGGATGTCCCCAGAATCGGGATCGATGGCAAAGATCCCCATCACAGAGGAGTCCAGCGAGTAGGCGATCTCGGCGTTCTTACCGCTGTCTGCGTCTGTCGCCAGCACCGTGGCCACCCTCTCGCCCGGGATGTTGTTCTCAGGGAAGTAAACCTCCACCACCGACTGGCCGAACATGGGCGGGTTGTCGTTGGTGTCTCCCACCTTGACAATCAGGGAGTTGTTGCTCGAGAGGCTGGGGCTGCCTGAGTCCACCGCCACGATGACCACGTTGAACTCCCGGGTGGCCTCATAGTCCAGAGGGGTCGAGGTGTGCAAGAAGTACTTTTTCTTGTTCTGGTCGCCCTCGGTGTCGCTGGCTGGCTTGAGCTGGAAGGGCACGTCGCCCACCACGGTGCAGGTGACCACCCCGTTCTCGCCTTGGTCTCGGTCGGACACCTGCACCAGAGCGATGGGGGTGTCGACCAGAACGTCCTCGGCCACGTTGGCCACCCCGTCCTTGAGGGGGATGCGCCCAATCTTGCGGATTTCAATGGACGGCACGTTGTCGTTCTCGTCTTTGATGTTAAGGACCACGGTGGCCTTGTCGGTCTTGGGGGGCTGCCCGCGGTCGCGGGCCATGACCGTGAAGCGCAGCTGGTTCACCTCCTCGCGGTCGATCCGGTGCAGGACGCTGAGCCAGCCGGACGTCTCGTCAAGGCGCAGCAGCCGCCTCACCGACTCGGTGGCCGCCCCGAACACGTATTCGATCTGCCCGTTGACCCCCACGTCCAAGTCGGCTGCGCGCAGTTGCAGGATGGGGGTCCCCGGGGCGCTGTTCTCAGCCAAGTCGGCCTCGTACACGCTCTTCTCGAAGCGGGGGCTGTTGTCGTTCACGTCGGTGATGAGGACCCGTAGGATGGCCTGCGAGGAGCGAGGCGGGTCGCCGCCGTCGCGCACTCGCAGGGTCAGCTCGTAGGAGTCGCGCTGCTCGCGGTCCAGCGCCCCCTTCACGATCAGCTGCGGCTGCTTCTCGCCGTCCGGGGTGTCCGCCACCTGCAGCTCGAACACGCTGCTGCGGCCGCCGGGGTTGGTGCCGCCGCCGCCCTCTGATGCGTCCAGCCGCCGCTTGGAGCCTCCCGAGCCGCCGCCGCTCGCGCCGTTCCCGCCGCCCCCGGGGTAGGGGGCGCTGTCGGCCGCCCCGGCGCGCCGGCTCTCGCCGCCGCTGCCGCCGCCTCCGGGCTCCTGGAGCAGCTCGTAGCGCTCGATGCCGTTGCGGCCGAAGTCGCGGTCGGTGGCTGTGGGCAGCAGGTAAAGTGTGCCCACCGGCCGATTCTCCTCCACCGTGAGCGTGAGCACGGGCGACGGGAAGGTGGGCGTGTTGTCGTTGATGTCAAGCACGATGACCTGACCCTCAAACAGGTCCACCCAGCTCTGCGAGGGCCCGATCACCGACACCTCGAAGTCCAGGAAGCACTCGTTCTCGTCGAAGATCATCTGACACTGGGGCAGCTTCTCGCGGTCGATGCGCCGCTCGCTCGTGCTCAGCTCGCCAGTGAGGTTGTCGATCTTCAGGTACTCGGAACCGGACTCCAGGCTGAAAGTCACCTCACCCGATCCGGTCACGATGCCCAGGTCTGAAGCCACGTTGCCGATGCGGACGTCGGCGGGGCCCTCCTCGGCCAGCCGGTACCGGAGGAGCTGCTTGGCGGCCGCCAGGCTGAGCGAGAGCGGCAGGAGGAGGCAGCAGCCCAAGCACCAGCCGCGCGCCCATCCCGCGGTCCGCATCCTCAGCATCTTCTCCTGCTGCTGCTGCTACTGCTCCTTCTAACCACAGCCCCCTCGGCGCCCCCCTCCTCCGGGGCCGGCCGCCTGCCCTCCCCCGAGTCCTCTCCCCTCTCCCGGAAAGGAAGGAGCGAGAGGGAGGGGAGGGAGGGGGCAAAAGCGGCGTGGAGAGTTGGCCGGGAATGGGGGTGGGAGGGCAGCGATAGATGCTTCTTTTTTTCCTCCTGCTTCTTCCGAAAGTTATTGTTTCATAATTCATGCAATGGGTGCTAATCGCCCGCTCGCCTGCCGCCGTTCAGTCGCAGTACTCACAGTTCACGGGACACTGCGCGCCGCGGGTTCGGCGCTCCCCCAACCCAGAGTCATCCCCTCAGCGGGCGGAGAATCCCCGGCTCTAGTCCCCGCTCTGTCGGAAGGGGCCAGAACCGCTCCGGCAGACGGGCAGTGGGGCTGGGAAGAGGTGGGGAATGAGCCTGCAGCCTCCCCCGCCTGCCAGCCCGCTGGTCTTTGCTGCTACTCGAGTTGAGTCCAATTCACGTTCCAGGCACTCACTCCAAACCCAGGCTCTGCTCCGGCTCCGGCCACCCAGACAAACGTGAGTCGCTTCCTGCACCAGGCGCTGGGGCCAGCAACAAGCCAGTCTCAACTCCGACTCTGCTCATGCAGCGGGGGAGCCAGTCAACAGATCGAGAATGAAAAATCCCCCGGCACGTCGCTTCGGGCACGGTGCAGGGGAGACTACTCGCGTCACAGAGCGGTCAGTGTCAGGGTCCCCCCGGCGCGCCAAAGAGAAGCCCGAGCCATCTTCAGAGACGCCCAGAGTCAGTCCCTTCTCACCCCGGAGAGCGCGGGTTTCTCTTTTTTCTTAACAACTCTGCGCAAGGTCATTAGTCACGAAGCAGCCGCCTGAAACCGCAGCAGCCTTTCGCCCACGGGGGCGAAGGCTGAGCAGTGCGCACCGTGCGGTGCCCAAGTTTGGGTTCGCAGCCGCAGAGTCCGTGCCTTTTCTCACCTGCATTCGGCCCGCATGTCGGAGCAGTGGGATCTGCAGCGCTGTGCGCGATTCAGGGAGGAGATTGCAGCCTCTCTCTCCCCGCTCTCTCTCGATCCCTCCCCTCCCTCCCTCCCTTTCTCTCTCCTCCCTCCTCTCTCTCCTCCCTCCTCTCCTTTCCCCTTTCCCCCTCTCCCACTCGCTCTCTTGCACGCTCTCTCTCCTTCCCAATGCAGGGAACTCAAGCTGAACTTGATCCCTTTGCAGTTCAAAGGTGAGCAAACCAGGCTCGGAGCACAGGCGACGTTAGCCGGCGAAAGCGCACGGCCGGGCGTCCCCAACGGCAATTAACAAAGATGCCCAATTCTGTCTGGATTTCCGAAGAAAAGCCAAAGGCTTTCGGGCGGGGGTGGAGGGGGAGGTGGAGTCAGAGACAGCTGCCAAGTAGCTTAAAAAAAAAAATCCAGTTTGCCAAGGGGAGAAAAAGTGTCAGTCGGTTGTGGCCTCGGAAGTGCCCTGGCACGGCTGGTGAATTCCGCAGTTGTCTCGTCCCTTTTCGCGTCTGGGAGAGTCTGGTGCGGGCGCTCCCGCCGCCCCTCGGGCTGCAGCGGCTCGGAGACACTGAACCGCTAGTGGGAATCTCCCGTTCGCTACCCGCGAGCAGGAAACCCGCAAGTTGCCCAAAGTGGTGGTTGCTGCTGGGTGCTCGCTCGCTCACGGATCAGGCTTGTCCCTGACGCTGCTGCTGCAGCGGCGGCGGCAGTAGCAGCCGAGCCGCCGAAACTACACACTAGGAGAGAGCGAGGGAGGAGGGCCCGGGATAAGGAGGCGGGAGGGAGCGTCAGCCAGCCGCCGCGCTCGGGAAAGCCCAGCCTCAGCTCCAGGGGCCGCTCAAAGTGTGCCCAATCCCAGCCAGTCCTCTTTAAGCCAAAGCCCAGTCCCCCTCCCTAGCGAGTACCGCCGTCTTCTCTGGGGGACTTGTTTTCCCTCCCTCGGGCTGGTAAATTTCCTCCTCCCTTGACTAATGCCCAGTTCACGCGTGAGAGCTTTCGGAGCTGGTGTCAGGATAGGTTTCTCCTTCTCCCTCCCTCTCAGACGACGTCCTCCTCCCCCCGGAAAGTGTCTCCGGTTCGCGATTTAGGATCTTGGTTAGGACATGGTTATCGGGGTCCTGGGGAACCTACGAGCGCCCAGAAAGCCACTCTGTTCTGAAAAACCATGACGGGCTGCAGTAGTGAAGAGAGAACATCAAACTCCAGAGAGCTGGAGAAAGATCCTTTTTTGGGAGCTCAGACTTTGGATGGTTGCGGGGGGCAGGGGCGGCGGTGGGTGGAGGGTGAAGGATGTCTGTCTTTGTTTAAATGCTTGACATTCCTGTCGTCGTGCTTGCTTGCGGGGGTAGACCGTGTGTGCGCGCCTGGGGAATAAACACATGTTGGAAACCTCGATATTATTTTCTGAGCAGAAACCTGCAGCCTTTAGTAACTGGCAAAGTGTAGCGTCACCTATCTGGATAAAAGGGAAATAAACTTTAATGGCAACTTTGTGTACCAAAGTGTCCCCAGCTTTCCCATCTCTCCTTTTGACTTTGTGTCCCTTGACTGTCCCTATTTCCTGAAGCAAGGCTTCTCCAATTTTCATTCACGACCACCGCAGCCGGCCTCATCAGATCTCAGGTCTGGTTGTGTTTTTGAACTGAGCCATTTACTCATTTATTTCAGTGGCTGTAAACGAAGAGGCCCGGCTAGGATTAAGACGACTGAGACGGACTGTAGGTATTTGGGGAGAATTTTTACCATCTCGAAAGAGAGAAAGGGCCGCTGCTGGGATTTGCTTAGTCTTCAGCTCGCCTGACGTATCCATACACATTTAAGGGCCTCCCCTCAAAGAAAAATTTAAAGCCGAAAAAATAAAATCTGTCCAGTGTGGGTATTCTTTACGAGACCTGGGTGACGAGGCAGAATGATTTAAACAAGACAAACACCAATAAAGTCAACGAGCAGATGTAGCGCGCGGTTGTTTGGGCGGGCGCAGGAACAGGAATGAGGAGGGAGAGGCGGCAGAGATTTCCAAGCTCTCCCTACAGGGGATCGTAGATGCCCGTTGGATGGAAGTGTGTCTAAGTGTGTGTCAGGGAGCTGGCGAGTATTTTCCAGTCTGTGAAAGTAGCATCACCCCAGGGGTGGTGGCTCCTCCTCCGAGGCCAGGGCAGGGAACCCGGCCTTCCCGCTAACCCTCCCGCTGCTGGCACCCGAACCTCTCAGCTCTGTATCTGCAGCATCAGCGAGAAAAGCCCCGCGCGCAGGCTCAGTGCGCACCGCCGCAGTCTCGAGCCGGGGGCGGGGGTGGGCTCCGCAGCGCCTTCGCGGCCGGCTAAGTGGCAGTAAAGCCAAATCCCTCTTACATTTGGCAAGAACCCGGGTTTATCGGAACGCCTGCCTCTCTCCAAACCTCCGACCCTGGTTCCCCTTTTTCCCAGGTTGGAGGCAAATGGGAGAAGCCGTCTCCACTCCGCGGCCTTGCGCCGTGCATTCCGATGCGCGGCAATATGGTGCAGTGCACTCACTCCCCTCATCGCCTTACTAAGATTTTGCAAACTTCAGGCAGCCGCTTGGGCAGAAACGTTGTGCACTCCCTCTTCCCTCTCCAGACCATAAACTTGAATAAGCCTCTCCGCATCTTCAAAGCATTTGCTCGCGGCTCTGGCGCGCACTCTCCAGGCGCACACTTGAGCGGGGCGCGAAGGAGTGGGCGGCTTTTCCTCAGCGCGCTGCACATTTCTTCCCGGATGACTAGGGAGTTGCAGCGCGTCCTTCACAGTGGAGTGGTTTCCTCTTTGCGAGCGGGAGGAAGTCTCCAGCCCGCCCTCCTCACTCTCATTCCTACCAACTTCGCGGCGGAGCCAAGCCAGCGTGGGAAATGGGTCCGACGTGTGCTGCATGGAGAACAGCGAGGACAGACTGCGGGGGCCAAGAAGCCTGCTGGCTTTGCTCCCACCCCCATCAGTCCCAGGCTCCGACCTTTCTGCCAGAGCAGCAAAGAAGTGGCGGCGGCTTTGCCCTGCAGCGCCGTTCTGGGCAAGCAAAGGAAATGGGCGGGGTAGGGGTACGGGGGAGGTGAGAGGAGCCCTCGGGGCGCCCTTGCGGCGGCTGGAGCTCCCAGTCCTCTTCCGCCCCCTCTCTAGGGGCTGACACTCTCTCCTCTCGCCGGCGCAGAGGATGAATGAAGAGAGAAGCAGTTTCTCCCACCCCCGCCCCATTTCCGCAGTCTTAGAGCCAGTGTCACAAGTGCTCAGCAATTTCATTAAATGGAACCGGGAGACTTAATCCCCCCCGGTACCAGACCTCACCGAGGGAATGTGATATCCGGCTTCGCTCCCACCCACCAACCCCCCCCCCCCCCCCCCCCCGGCTTCTCAGACCCGAGGCTGCATTTATCTACTCAACCTGAGAGGAAAGGGTTCAGAAGGAAATGGGATCGAAAGTGTAACCGCCTGCAATAAATTAAAGAGCCTGCTGCTGCTGCTGCTGCTGCTGCTGCTGCTGCTGCTTTGGCGGCCAGAACTGGAGAGAGAAAATGAGATCAGTGCCCTAAAGCTTGCATCGATCAGAGTGATTAGACGTCATCGCATGTAGGAAGCAAAATGTTTGAGGGAATGTTGAAATGGAGATTTCTGTTTTTTCTTTAGTGGCTTTTTAAAAAAGAACAATAAAAGGAAATACCCCTTTGAAATCAAGATGTAAAAAATGAAATTGATTAAAATATAAATATCATCCCGTGCTAATATGCATTTAATAAAACCTTGACAAACGATTCATTTTCTGTGCCAGAAATCTTACCCTAAACTTAAAATATTCAGTAGATTTTTTTTTTTTAATTTACCTACTAACCTCGCTTGCTTAAACCTGTTTTGCCGTTAAGAAATTTCAGTGGCTGAACTGAAAAATAGCATTCAGGGTCCCTGATGTAGTTCAAGCCTCAAGAAAAGACAGTAAGAGAAGTAACTACAACAAAAGTTTATGGTTAAGAATACAAAGTAGATGCTGGAGATGTGATCTCAGGGGGCCTTTCATTTATAATAGACGCTGTATTCACAATAATATGAGAAAAAGGTTAAATACAGTAAACACGATAGCCAGTTCTGGAAAGATAAAAACAGTTTGACAGAAAAGGAGAAAGTAACTCAAGAACTCCACCAAGGGACAAACAGAGGAAATGACACTCGGATATCTCTAAATCCATTGACCTTTCATCTTTTTAAAAAGGGTCTTCTATCTGTAGACGTGTTTTCTAGGCCTTTATGATCAACCATTTCTCTAACCCCTTTCGCTAAATTTGATACTTCAGTCTTCCTTTTCTAAATAATTACTACAAACGATTGTCCTTTAAACATATATTACTTGAAAGAGTAAACATATCTGTGCATAACTATTCCAAGTATGATTCTGATCCTTGAGACTCTGAGAAACTTTAGATATATTTTACAGCCTTAAATCCATGCTTGTAGTATTAACATGTTTAGTAGACTGAAATGACTAAATTATTCATTGCAATAACAGCCTTTTTGATAGACATTAAAACTCATCAGTTTAAATAAGGAAACCACAGATTTCCTTTTAAGCAGGTAATAACTGCTTGCATCAGTGGTTATTTAATTGGTTTCTAGCCAAGACATAGAATAAGTTGTGCTGTTTAAATCAAGAAATCATATGCAAAGCTATATTTTACAGTGTATCTATAAAAGAAGCACACAGAAACTAAACTAAGTTGATTCATACTATCTACTGGATAACTATAAACATTTCCACAAGGCCGATATGAAAATCTCATTTACAAAAAAAAAAAAAAAAAGAAGAAGCTTTGAAAAATAAAATTTTAAGTGTTTATTAGCTCACACGCTGTCTGGTTTTCAGATTTCAATAGAGTGTTTTAGGTTTTAAAATAACACAGAATAAATGATTTTTACCTTAAGTTTAGCACATATTGACAGTTGATTTTTTATTCATTTTCTAAAGGTTTACATGCCAAAATATGTGCAATATAGCAGAGATTTACAAGTCATGACACACATAAAAAGATCCAGTCAGTGACTATAACTGGCATTTGTCTTTTACTTACAAGATCATTAGTTTATGAATTTTTTCAACTTTACATTAATTTTCATACATTTACAAAAATGTAAGTTGGGGGCACACAGTATTTTATAAAATCTGGATTACTTCTGGGAAAAAGACCCTTGATAGGTTAAAAGCAGTACATCCTATTATTTAGGGTCATCTGAAGCTATCTCCTTTCACTATTGATGGTAAAATTAGACCTACCAATGCCCTTTGCAGTACGAACTTGGGAGATTTGCATATTTTTACTATCGTGGCAGGATATATCAAATACTGCTGTGGATAATGACCTCTAAGCTAGATAACATGTTAAGGATTTGGGGGAGAAATTTCATTATAATTGCTTGGACAAATTTAATTCCCAAACAAATGACCTTGCTTATAACAAGAATGGTTGAAAATTATGTATTAGCTTTAGAAGTTTTAGCACCTGGCTGTGTCGACCTAGCTAGGCCACTTCTTATGTTCATTCTGAATAACAGGCGGTAGAAAACTTTATTCAAACAAATTTGATTGATTGTAATTAGGAAATACATAATGTGGGATGTTTCTAGAATGAGAAATATAAGAAATTTGACTATTTCAGCAGCAATGAATTTTCTAACGACAGATGCTGATACTTATAGGGCAGTCATTGAGAACTTTCCCCAAGTATTTCTGACTGTGGCTTCTGGGCCTAACATGGAATTGTACCTCTTGGCCCCCTTGTGGCTAGATGAGGCCATTAACCAGTTCCGGGCAGCCCTAAGTGGAAGAGGAATTTCACTTCCCTGGGAAATACGGGTGCTGGTATGTAGTCATTGTTCAACTCTGTATAAGTCAGACTGGTTGTGAATTTGACTTAGGACCAATACTTGAAGAATTCAGTAAACTTCAGGCTGACATTGATTTGGGAAAGTGGTAGTACCTTTTCGATACCCATTTCAGTGCTTTTAAAATAAATCATCCATGTAAAGCTGAATTAAGAAGCATATCAAAGTAGATAATATGGGTTCAACAATACATCCCTATAAATCAGCAGGTGTGGTGTGCTATCCAGTCACAGAGAGAAATACAATTCCATTCACAAGACAAGTTCTTCATAAAGCTACACACATTTGTATCTGGTGATTTTTAACACTATCAAACTGTTTAGTTAATATTTTTTCTAGTAACTGGTACAGAATTTGACACTCTGAACAGGACTCTTTATAAAGTATTGTTGACTCACAGTGGGATGGAAAGATAAGCATGATTCTTTGTATGTATGTTTTTTTTTTTCTTTCAGTTCTTTTTATTTCTTGGTTTGGTTGTGTAACTGATTCTCAATATTGTCTGCAAATGATTGGATAAAAAAATTGCAAAAATATAAATACAAGCTTGGAATTTGAGTAACATAGGTATAAAATAGTAAGTGTTTTGACACATTATTAAACTAACAGCACTGATTACTAACAGTATATGTTATCCAGATCTTTCTGTTCCTTAGTGATTCTTTACCTCTCTTTCCAGATGTTAGATTATGTCTGCCTGATCATGTCTGCCAATTTGGAAGGAAGGAATAGTCCTTAACCCTGCCTTTTCAGTGATATCTAATATAAAGCTTCTCTTTTTCATCTAATACCTAGGCAGCATTGTGCTTTTTTTTTTTTTTTTAGATGGAGTCTTTTTCTGTCACCCTAGCTGGGATACAGTGGCTCACTGCAACTTCTGCCTCCTGGGTTCAAGCGATTCTCCTGCCTCAGCCTTCTGAGTAGCTGGGACTACAGGGGCGCACCACCACACCCAGCTAATTTTTGTATTTTTAGTAGAGATGGGGTTTCACCATGTTGGACAGGATGGTCTTGAGCTCTTGACCTCATGATCCACCTGCATCGGCCTCCCAAAGTGCTGGGATTACGGGCGTGAGCCAACACTGCACCTGGCCACATTTTTTTAAATAAAATATATTTAAAATATAAGAGAGAGGTTAAGAGCAAAATATGCCGAACTGAAAAAGGTATCACTGAAACTAAAGCCATGCCCTTGTTTCTATTTTATTTTCTCCTATGAAACGGTATTTTCTAAAGGTCTATAAATGAAAATTGCTTTGAACTAACAAAAGTTCTTCTCTGCAGGCATCCTGGCAATTGTTTCCCAGTTCCAGAATTACCCTCCTGGCCAGACTGATTGTGATGCCAATGAGGCTCGAGCTTTCAGGGTCTCTTACTTGTACCAGCTTCTTCCAAGACCTTGAAGTTGTGGTGCAGTGAGGGAGTGTTTGCACAGTTATGAGTTTGATATTTGCAAGAGTAAGAATTTTAACTACGATAGGTTAAGAGCACGTCTTTATCTCATTCCAGTTTCCTCTTTGCCACACTACTTGTTTAAATTGTGTTAGAGAGATCACAGGCATTTTGAGGATCCAGCTAAGGGAAAGTTGAGATGGGGATACATTTAATTTGGATGTGTTAAAATGTATTTTTATGAATTCACACTCCTGTTCTCTCACAGTTCAGTTGTTGCTAGCCATCATAGTGTAGAATGGCTTCCAAGAATTTTCGCAAAATCCACTTTGCCAGCTCATCAGTATGGTCGTGCAAAGGTGCAGCGTCACAGGTTGTGATGTGATAGGTTCCCAGGCCTATGTGGGTGATAGAGTGCAATCAAGGCTTAAATGTATGGAGCCAGAAACTAGTCTGTAGAAAGCTCTTTCAATTATTAGACATGAAATTCCAAGCTAAGAAGGTGCTTTCTTATTGATGTTGAAGGGTTCAGAATATGCGACAGTGGCATAAAGGACTATTTTGAGTTGAAGACATTTGAGAATCAACAGCTGCAGAAAGAAGCTTTTTCTAAACTCTGTCTTTTTAAAAGCAATGCCTCCTGCAAATAATTCCATTGTTATAAATCCCTTCCCTGTGAGTCTCACAACCACAGAGGAGCAAATCTTAGCATCGACCTGAAGAAGTCAGCACAAGGTAGCACCTGGAAAGAGAAACAGATACTGGCATAAAACTATTATATCTAACATTTATTCTCTTAAGGGTCCATTGATCTTCCCTAAAAGTCATTTGTTTCCAGAAGTGCCCTCTGCCCTCCCCTGTACTCTATTAAGATGATATATAAGTGCCCAATTCTAACTACCTCCTTGAATCACATTTCTTTGTCAACGCCCATGTACACATACATAATTAAATCTGTTTTTCTCTTTTAATAATCTGACTTTTGCAAGCTTAATGTGCATACCCCTCAAGAACATAACCTAAACTGGTAGAGAAAAAGCTTTTCCTCTCTGACAATGTCTAATCAAAGCAAAAATCCTCTTTTGTCAGGAATTACTCAATAAGACAGCAGATATACTAAAAACATGCTATTCTTTTGAGTGTGTATGTCTTTTAAACACAAATACAAAATTTATTGGAATCCATGTTTGATGGTACAATTATGTAGTAGCAGTATTGCAAACAGCATTTGCATGAGTGGGCATAGGTCATCAAGACGGCTTACTAGAGGCACTCAGCACATCATGTTCCCTCCACACACACACACACAAAAACCAAAAAAGAACAAAAACAGTGAGTAGATAACCACATGTCAAAATAGAGCATCTAAGGGAGAACACTAGATTTTAACAAGGAAGTAACAGGGACCCTCTGAGGCAGGGAAATTCAAGATGGCAGCACAAACAGGGAAGCGAAGCAGCTGACTGAAATCAGCTCAGAGCCAGGAAAGACTTCCCATTGCAGGATAAAGGTAAGTGAAAGATCCCCAACAATCCACATTCCCTCTATAGACACCTGCAATCCTAGCTACAGAAGACCTTCTCGGGACCCAGAGTCCCTGAGCATAGTATAGGGAACTGCCTGGAATAAACACAACTACATTGCTTCAGAGAGGGAAATCATGCCAGGTCCCACCCATGCCCTGAGACCCAAGCTGTTGCAGCATGCCACTATTTTGAGAATGGGGCTGATCTCAGGCTACATCCTGTTTAATAAGCGATGCATTTTTACATTTCTGATGCACTTCCAACATCCCTTCACATTCACTCAGAATGCTGCAGTGTTGTCACACCATCTGGACCCAGCAGTGCAGCCATAACCCTGGCACACAAACCCATGAAGTACCCTACACCCTGGGCAATAAAAGGTCCAGCACATCAGGGGGACTGCCTCCAGGACACAGAGAGGCAAAACATGCATTCCCCAAAGGCTGAGAACTGCATGCCCAGGGCAACTGCCACTGACAGCAACCCCACACATACCATCTAGGGGCTTGAAGATGGGCTTGTCCAGCCCACTGTTATCGCTACTAGTACCTGCACATACCACAAAAAGCCTGAGAACCAGCCCATGCAGAGCCCCAGTCCCCAGTGAAGCCTCACCACAGCCTCCACAAATAACCACAGCCCAATCCACTGAAGAATTCACAGGCAACTCTGTTATTGAAGCCTGAAGAACTCATAGGCTGAAGAAATCAAACGAAGAGTATACCAGAGAACCCACCCAGAACAAAAGCCAAAGTACCCTACCAAAGTAATACTATAGACAGATCTATAGAAAAATGTCTTTCCCTTCAAAAGCTACTCCACAAAGTTGAAAGAAATGATTTTTACACTAAATGCGCAGATAGCAGCATGAGGACACAAGACACTAAAAAAGCAAGGAAGCACTACACCACCGAAGGAATGCATTAATTCTACAGCAAAAGACCCCATAAAAATCTATGAAGTGTCTTGACAAGGAATTCAAAATAATGATCTAAAGGTAATTCAGTGTGATAAGAGATAACACAAATAGACAATACAAAGAAATCAAGAAAACAGTGATCTGAATGAGAAATTCAGCAAAGAAAGATAGATATTGTAAAAAAAAAAAAAAAAGAGCCAAATAGAAATACTAGAACTGAAGAATGTAATTAATGAAATAAAAATACAATCAAGAGCTTCCACAACAGACTATATCAGGCAGGAAAAAGAATTTCTGAACTTGAAAACAAGTCTTTTCAAATAACTCAGTCATGTAAAGAGAGAGAGAGTAAAAAAAAAAAGTATAAAGATGAATGAAGAAAGTCTACATGACATATGGGACACTAAAAACAAATAAATATTTAAATTTTGGGAATTCCAGAAGGAGAAGAGATTTAAAAAGGCATAGAAAACCTATTCCATGAAATACATTGAATAGATTTTCCTTCTAATATGTGGAAAGCTGAAAAGTTCCCATGTATTGGGAGATACGTAGACAAACAGATACAAGGAGCTCAAACATTCCTAAATAGATTCAACTTAAAAAGTCCTCACCTAGACACATTATAGTCAAACTGTCAAAAGTAAAAGACAAAGTGAGCATTTTTAAAACAGCAAAAGAGGAGCATCTAGTTACATATAAGGGCATCTAACATATAAGCGAAGACTAATAGAAGACTTTTTTTTTTTTTAAGATGAAGTCTCTCTCTGTAGCCCAGGCTGGAGTGCAGTGGCATGATCTTGGCTCACCACAACCTTCAACTCTTGGGTTCAAGCAGTTCTCCTGCCTCAGGCTCCTGAGTAGCTGGGATCACAGGCACACACCACTGTACCTGGCAAATTTTTTTGTGTTTTTAGTACAGATGGGGTTTCACCTTGTTGGCCAGGCTCGTCTTAAACTCCTGACCTCAGGTAATCCATCCACCTTGGCCTCCCAAAGTGCTAGAATTACAGGGATGAACCACCGCTCCCAGTGGAGATTTTTAACAGAAACCTTACTTGCTGGGAGAGAATTGAAAGATATATTCATAACGCTGAAAGAAAAAGAAAACTGCAAGCCAAGAATACTATACCCATTAATACTATCCTTCACAAATGATGGAGAAAGAATTTCCTAGAGAAGGAAAAACAGAATTCATCACCACTAGACCAGTTCTACAATAAATGCATAAGGAAGTTGTACATCTGGAAGTAAAAGGATAATAAGAACCATCATGAAAATACATGAAGGCATCAAACTCACTGATAGAACAGATACATAAATGAGAAAGGGATCAGATGTTATCACTGCAAATAAAACACAACAAAAAAACCCCACTGAAACAGAGAGATAATAAGAAAGGAAGACAGAAACAAAGGATACATAAAGTAATCAGGAACCAACTAATCAGGAACAAAATGATGGGAGTCATTTTTCACCCATTAATAACAACCTTTAATGTAAATAGTTTAAATTCTATAATTAAAAAAAATAGACTGGCTAATTGGATTTAAAAAAAGACCCAACTATATAGTTACAAATGAAATCACAGAAATACAAAGGATCATTAGAGACTGTTATTAACACTATAGGCCAAAAAACTAGGAAACTTAGTGGAAATGATAAATTCCTGTACACATATAACCTACCAAGATTGAATGAGAAAAAAAATTAAAAATCTGAATAGACCAATAACAAATGAGATTGAATCAGTAAGAAAAAGCCTCCAAGAAAGGAAATCTCAGAACAGGTTGTATTTACTGCTAATTCTACCAAAATTTAAGGAAAAGCCATCATACTTTTTTAAACGATTTCAAATAATTAGAGAGGAGGAATTTCTTCCGTACTCATTCTATAAGGCCCACATTACCCTGATATCAAAAGCAGACAAGGATACAACAAGAAGAGAAAACTATAGGCCTGGTAAACATAGATGTAAAAATTCTCAACAAAATATTAGCAAACCAAATCCAACAACATATCAAAAAGACAACACATTATGGTCAAGTGGAATTTGTACCAGGAATTTAAAGATTGTTTAATATATGCAAATCAATAAATGTGACACATTACCTAAACAAGATGAAGGGCAAAATCCATATAATCATCTTAATAGATGTAGAAAAAGCATTCAATGAAATTCGTTATCTTTTTATGACAAAAACTCTCAGTAAGTTAGGTGTAAAAGGTTTGTACCTCAACACAATAAAGGCAACATATGACAAATCAATAGCTAACACCATACTGAATGAGGAAAAGTTGAAAGCCTTTCCTCTAAAAACTGGAAGAAGACAGGGATGCTCACTTTTACCACTTTTAATCAACATAGCACTGGAATTCCTAGCCAGAGCAATTAAGCAAGAGAAAGAAATAAAGGACACCTAAACTGAAAAAAAAGGAAGTCAAATTATTGCTCTTTGCAGGGAACATGATTATATTCATAGAAAAACCTAAAAACTCCACCAAAAAACTCTCAGAACTGATAAATAGGTTCAGTGAAGTCATAGGATACAAAATCAGCAGTAAAAAATTATGGTTTCTGTATATGAATAATAAACTAGCTGAAAAAGAAATCAAGAAAACAATCCTACTTAAAATAGCTATAAAAATACCTCAGAATAAATTAAACCAATAAGATGAAGGATTTCTGCAATAAAAATTACAAACCACTGATGAAAAAAACTGAAGAAGACTCCCCCAAAATGGAAAGATATCCCATGCTCATGGATTGAATAAGTTAATATTGTTTAAAGTGACCACACTACCCAAAGCAATCTACAGATTCAAAGCAATCCCTATCAAAGCATCAGTGATATTCTTCACAGAAATAGAAACAATTCCAAATTCATATGGAACCACAAAAGACTGCAAATAGCCAAAGCAATACTGAGCAGAAAGAACAAACTGGAGACATCACGTTACCAGACTTTAAAATATGCTACAAAACTATTGTAACCCAAACAGCCTGACCTTTATGTAAAAATAGACACATAGACCAATAGAGAATAGAGAACAGGAATAGGAACAGAATAAAGAAACCAGAAATAAATCCATTCATTTACAACAGTTGACTTTGGACAAAGTTGCCAAGAACAAAACTCTTCAATAGATGCTGCTGGGAAAACTATATATCCATATGCAGAGAAATGAAACTAGATCCCTCTCACAATATACAAAAATAAACAAAAAATGGATTAAAGATTTAAACACAAGCCCCAAAGCTACATAATTACTAGATGAAAACATAGATAAAATACATCAGGGCATTGGTCTAGGCAAGGATTTTATAGGCAAAACTTCAAACCACAAGCAACAAGAAACAAAAATAGACAAATGGGACTATATCAAACTAAAAAGCTCTGCACAGCAAAAGAAACAACAAACGGGAGAGACAACATGTGGAATAGGAGAAAATATTTGCAAACTATTCATCTGAAAATGGACTAGTATCCAGAATATAAAAGGAATTCAAATAAGCCAACAGCAAAACAAACAAACACACAAACAAAGAAAACTGCAAATAATCCATTTAAAAGTGGGCAAAGGACCTGAATAGACATTTCTGCAAACATGACATACAAATGGCCAAGAAATATATGAAAGAATGCTTAACATCATGAATCACCAGGGAAATGCAAATAAAAAATCAATGAGCTATCTTCTTATCCCAATTAGAATGGCTATTATCAAAAAGACAAAAAACCGCAATACCAGCTAGGATGCAGAGACAAAGGAACTCTTATACACTGTCGGTGGGAATGTAAGCTAGTACAGCTATTATGGATAATAGTATGGAGGTTTCTCAAAAAACTAAAAATAGAAAATCCATGCAGTCTCAGCAATCCCACTCGTAGGTATTTATTCAAAGGAAAGTAAATCAGTATATTGAAGAGATAACAGCATCTTCATGTTTATTACTGCTCTATTTATGATATCCAAGATATGGAGTCAAGCTAATTGTTATCAAATATGATGCAACTTTTCCTGAGAAGTCTGGTACTTTGGATGAAATGACACACCCTGTGTTAGGCTATTCTTGTGTTACTATAAAAAAATACCTGAGGCTGGGTAATTTATAAATAAAAGATGTTTAATTGGCTCATAGTTTGGCAGGTTATACAGAAAGCATGGTGATGGTATCTGTTTGGCTTCCAGACCTCAAAACGTTTACCATCATGATGGAAGGTGAGGGAGGAGCACATGTCTCACATAGTGAGAGAAGGAGCAAGAGAGAGAGAGAGATAGGGAGAAAGAGAGAGAGACAGAGAGTATGTGAGTGGGAGATGTTATGGTGCTACATGCTTTTAAACAACCAGATATCACTCATCACAAAGGGGACAGGGCTAAGCCATTCATGAGGGATATGCCCGCATGATCCAACGACCTCCCACCAGGCTCCATCTCTAACACTGGGGATTTTAACATGAGATTTGGCAGGGACAGAGGTCCAAATTATTATCACACCCAACATCCAACAATGCAATAAAGAGAGCCCAAAGGAACAAATGTTTCAGCGACAAAACTTTTACAACTATTAATCAATAAGTTAAGTATGCTTTATCTGTACAATTATGAATCTCAACATGGTGCAATAACATTTTAAAAATCTTTTTCAATTGTTCCTCTTTGTGTCTTAATTTCAAATTAATTCTCTCTCTATATTTTCTTATTTTGGAAGTGTTGATCATACTAAAATGCAAAAAAAGAAGTATTATAGAAGTGTGTCAGTCCTTTAATTAACTGACTAATTTAAAATAGTATAGAATATAGACAATGATTATAAGCAAAGTGTGGACATAAACATTTCCTCAAACCACAAATTCAATTCTGAAAACTAAAATGTTTATGCTTTACATAACCTAATTTATAAGTAAATAAGGCATAATGATATTTTCCTAAAAACAATAATCATATTGATATAACAAATAATTATTGGACCAGATTGTTGGTGTTAGTTGTTGCTTTGGTGAGGAAAATTTGGAATAAAAGGCACTGGCTTTGAATTCCAGGACTTCCACTGTGTTTCTCTGGGATGTTGATTAATCTTCCTGAGTCTTGGTTTTTACCATTTAATTCAATTCATCCACCATGTATTTAAATTCTATATTGTATCAGGTCGTATGTGAAATTTTGGGTATGAATAAAACTAAAATCCTTGCTGTCATAAAGCTCATATTTTAATTCTACCTAATAACATGGAAATAATAAGCCGCCTTTTAGGTTGTTGCAAGCAGTAAATAAGATAATTCTATAAAAACAATTAACGATGCCTTGAAAAGTTAAGCTCTTTCTAAAAGTTATTTTTCTCCTACTCATTCTAATGCTCTTCTAAGGATTTGGGGTTAAATGTTATAGACTTTGCAGGGATTTTCATTTCTTTTTTAATTTATTTTCGGAGTTTAGAATTGGAGTCATTTACATGCGTATTACTCTTAATTTGTTCAAAGGTAGGCAAATTACAGCCTTCAGGCCAGATCTGGTTCTTGGCTTGCTTTGTATGGCCCCTTAGCCAGAAATGTTTTTCTACACTTTAAAAGGGTTGTAAAAAACAAACAAAAAAGAATATGGTCCAGATACGGTATGTGGCCAAAAAGCCTAAAATATTTACTATCTGGCTCTTAACAGGAAGTTTTCTGACATCTTGTTAGAATATTGACTTGGTGAATATGGTGATAATACTGAAAAGTATACTATTTCAAGGTACGTGATACAGGAATTTCTGCAACAAGTAAACATATAGATGGAACATATATTGATTAGGTCCATATGTAAATCTCCATATCCATAAAGCTGTGCCTCAAGTATATCCCATGTCACATTACATAATCCTTATACATAGTGATATGTTGCTTTCATTGTAACAAAGAGTACCTATAGTATTTCGGTGATGTATTAAAAATGATCATTTCTCCCATTGAGAGGCTGATTCTCTGTCCCCTCCCCTTGAAACAGGAAAGACTCTGTGATTGATTGGTTTTACCAGTAGAACACAGTGGATGTAACACTGTACCAGTTTCTGTACCTTAGAGCACTCTTTCTGGAAGCCCTGAACTGACACATAGGGAATACAATTACCTGGTGCTTGCTATGCTGGAGAGACCTCATGTTATGTAGGAACTGCAAGTGACAGTCTCAGCTGAACCCTGCCTTTCAGTCATTCCTTCCAAGGCACCAGATGCAGGAATCAAGCCATTTTGGACCCTCTAGATCAGTCCATCTGATAACTGAATATCACTGAGTTATCTCAGTTGACACCATATGAAGCCAATGAATCACCACCTGATCCCTGCCCAAATTCTTGACCCACATAATATGGGTGAGAATATATTCATTATTATAGACACTATGTACTACATTTCAGAGTGGTTTGCTACTCAGCAATAAATAGCTGGAACATGGGTATTCTGATTGGTAACTTAATGGATGCTGAATGTCAGTACTAGATTTAATAATGATAATGGTTGCCATATTGTGGCTCATTTATGTGCCAGACACCATTCTCTACACCATTCATTTGGAAGATTATCATTTAATATAATAACCCCATGAAGTTACTAGGTTATGAAGATTATTTTCTACATAGTACAGATAAGGACACTGAGATTTAAGGAGCTTAAGGAATAAAGAGGTGTCACAGCTACTAAGTGACTAGGGCTAGGGGATATAACTCAGTTTTTTCATATTGGAATACCTTGCTCTGACCTATTAGAAATACCGCCTCATATTATAATGGGAAACTGATCTAATTAGTGTATAAAGCTTCACCCATAAGTAGGTAGATACACTAAACATCTTTCTTGTTTATACTACTTTATTTAATTAATCTTATGTGGTTTTTCATTGTAAAAAATCTGTCTTCAGTGCAGCTCTTTTTAACTGACAGTCTGTGTTCAGAATTGTCTAGACTAAAACAGAGTAGAGCTATATTTAAATGTACCTATCTCCTTTATGTCAGATAAAAGCAAGCATGCCATTTGTTTCTAACTTTTAAGGGCACTACATATAATTCAAAATGTTTTGAAGGACACATTCAATTAAAGGAGCTTTATTTCCAAAGGTGACACACAGTCAGTATTTATGAAAAAATCCCATTCATTGATATTTCATTTTAGCTTCATTATGTTTCATCTTTGTGATCTATGCCATAGCTATAGTGTTACAATGAGTTCTCTCGGTATTTTCAGAAAAAGGCTCTTTTTAACAGGGTCATTGATTCTAATTTTTGTCTATAGAGCACCATTTTGTAATAATAGCAATTGCACATAAAATAATAATGATAATAATAAATAATAAGGTTAATAGAAATTGCAATTCCAATAGCAAATATTTTTATTAGGCACTTATAAACATCAGGAGACATTCTAAGCTCTTCACATATATTAAATTATTCAATAAAGAGTCCTGTGGATTAATATTCATAAGATCTCGGATTGGTATATACCTTTGTACTTTTTGGCATCCTTTTGATCCTACATCATCCACTATGGCTTTGACCTATATTATATGCCTAAGAGATAAACAAGTAATATGACAAGAACTACCCTCTGCTGGAAACTAGGAGTATCTTATTCATAAGGGGCCTGAATTTCTGTGTAACTCAATATTCATTATTCACTAAAGTGCACTGACTATAGTCAAGCATAGGAAGAAATGTACTTCCATGAAATGTAGAAGTCAGGGTGGCCATATGAATTGCTCAGGCCAAAGACATATGAGCAGAAATGATGCAAGTCGCTTCCTAGTGGAGGCATTTAAGGGCCAGCACATAATTTGCCATCTTTTCTTCCTAATATCTGTATTAGTTAGGGTTCTGCAGAGAAACTGAACCTACGTAATTTATATTTATCATAGATAAATAGATATAATATACATTTAATATATATTTATAGTATATACAAGTATATATACATTTATGTATATATACATATATGTACAAAACACATATATAGAGACAAAGAGAGAGAGGGAGAGAGTTTATAAAGAATTGGCCCACGTGCTTTTGGAGGTTAAGAAGTCCCAAAGTCTGCAGTTGGCAAGCTGGATACCTTGGAGGACCAATGCATAGTACCAGCCCAACTCTAAAGGCTTGAGGCTTGAGAACCAGGAGCTGATAGTATAAGTTTCAGTTCAAAAGTTTTTGGGCTCGAGACTCAAGAAAAGTTGAGGTTTTAGTCTGAATCTGAAGGCCAGGCAAAACCAATGTTTCAGCTCAAGCAGTTAGGTTGGAGGAGTTCCCATTCCCATTTACAAAAAGATTCCCTTTTGTTCTCTTCAGACCTTCAACTAAGTGTTTGAGGGCCACCAACATTAGGGAGGACAATCTGCTTGACTCAGTTTACTGATTTAAAATGTTAATCTCATGCCCAAACACCCTCAGGACACACTCAGAATAATGTTGGACCAAATATCAGGCATCTTGTGGCTCAGTCATTTTGACACAAAAAGTTAACCATTATGACATATTAACATACGTATCATAAAATGGAAACAGCCTGGAGTGTTTAGCTTAGATATAGACTACCAGGAAGTTCACTGATGGTCCTCGGTAAGATCTATTTTATGTCATGTTACAGCACTTGCATTGTATGTCTTTGAGGCATGTAGTAAATGTTGAATTCAATAATTGATCATGGGGATTAGGAGTGAAAAGGCTGAAGAAACACATACACCAGTCTCTATTTGGTGGTACCAAACTAGTTGGAGCCCTATTACATTATTTAATATATGTGCCCTGTAAAATGTGGGATTTTAATGAGATGTCTTTCAGGTCCCTTAGAGAACACACGTTCAGTAATTTTAGGTTTCCCAGTTTCAGATAGGGAAACTAGTTCACATGAAAGCAAATCAATGGTACTCAAGGCCACTCAGCCCATTAGATGAAATGATGGGACTGGAATTGTGGTTTTCTATCTACATTGTAATCTGTTTCATTGCACTGGTTCATGCTCTTCTAAACTCAGTAATTGTTCAAAAGAAGCATTAAAAATATATAACTAATTTGGAAGTGGTTTTATTTTTATCTAAATTTATTGTTATGGCAATATTTAGTGTGTGTCATCTGAAAATATCAGAGTAGCTCATCAGCCAGTTTCATGCATAAAATTCAGTTTAAACTCATATTATTTACCTACTTAATACCTAGAAATTAACAAGGAACTATGGGAAATACAGAAGTATATAAAGTGTCCTAAGTAATTCCATTAATTTTATCTTAACCAGCATGGGATATAATCACATATAAACCACACATTTATTTAATATAAAAGTGTTCATGCCTTGTCTTCTCATGGAGAAACACGCTTCTCTAAGGTAGGGCTTACTGTGGTGCAAAATTATTAAAGACTTATTTTTGAAAGCTAGAAAATCAGAGTGCACCATATAATGAGTACAACTACCTCCAAATTTGTCATCTTTAAAAAGCTGTGTAATTATTTCTATGGCACTGCTATTGCTCTGAACTTTCTTGGATTTCCATTTCAGAGTACTTGCAGAATTTTTGTGACAATTCCTTTCATCTCTTGAATGTACTATTGATTACTTGAAATGGCCAATTAGTATTCAGAGACTGTTTATGAGAATTAAATATGTGATAAAGATAGATAGTATCGCATTTATTCAAATAGTAAGTTGATAAATTTTATTTTGAGGCTTTTGTGGTTGGTAAAAGTGACTTCCACTGCAGTTATAAAAACGGTGGCCCACAGCCATTTCAAAATATATCAGAATCATTGGAATTAGCTCACAGCTCCAGAACAGACTATAGTATAATGAGGCCCTTCACCCAATGTTTGATTTAATTGTGTGTAGGCATATGAGTGAATATATTATATATGTTGTGTGCATATATGTGTGTATATGAGAGAGCTTCATTCATTGTTTTATAATTTGCGAAAAGTTATAAAAGGTGTTATTTCCATTTTGGAAGCATTTTGATTTAACTTGAGCCAAGACATAAATATATAGAAAGCAACCTAGAGGTGAGCCTGAGACACTGAGCTGCATTCACTGAACTAATGTACATGTTAAACAAGAAGTTTTCTTTCTCTGGAAATTAGAAAAAAAAGATAGAAGGATATTTACAGGTTTTTTGTTTTGTTTGTTTGTTTGTTTTACTATAGTATTGCCACGAGGTACAAAAATGGACAAGATTAGTAAGAGGTCTTTTATGCATCTCTAAAGTTTTCTGAATGGGGCAAAATGAAAAACACTATTACGGGCTTGCCTTGGAGGGCAAGTGAAGGGAAAAACAGAATTTCTCTGTGATCATTAGCTATACTCTTTCCTTAGGAGTCGGTATGGTACAGAAAGAATAGTGGGGCTACCTGCCAAGGAAGTGATTGTGAGGATTTAATGAACTCAAGTATATGAAGTGCCCAACACAGAAACAAACATATGACTTACGCTGCGTAAATTTTAGTCTTCTTCCCTCTGGCTATTTCATGCTCTTGGTGTTATTTGCATATGTATGGATATAAGATGAGAATGAATAATTTAGCATTGATGTGCAGTATGAGGAAGAAGAAAATGGAGAAGAGATTTGATCTAATCAAAATGAGTTAGTCATAATCCCCAGTCTTTGAAAAATACTAATAGAGTTAAGTCATATTTATATCAAGATCTTAACTTTTCATATCTATGATTTTTCTTTTATCCTTTCAGTAGCCCCAAGATTTGGTTAGGCAGGTTATTATGATGTACTTAATGAGAAAATTAGTGGTTGTGACTTGCTCAATCATATAACTATTTTGTACCAGAGTGTAAATCAAAATAGAGGTTCCATTATTGGTCAGACTCAACGATGGACCTCAGTGATTCTCACCTCTTGTGTAACCTCCTCCTCTTATGTGGGCTGGACCTGGTGACTCACTTCTAATAAACAGATTATGGTAAAAGTGATAAGTGTTACTTCCAACATTAGGTTAAAAGAGACTGTGGCTTCCATCTTGGTCTCCCTTCTTGCTCTCTCATTTCCTCTGTCTAAAGAAACCAGCTACCATGTTGGGAGTAGCCGTATGTGCCCCAGTGGCAAACTATTATCTCTGCTCAGCATCCAAGAAAGACCCCAAGCCTGTCAACAGTAACATGAATGAGCTTGAATCTTCTGAGGCCTGCCAACAGCCATGTGAGGGAGCTTATGAGAGGATTTTCTTCCAGCTGAACCTTTAATAAAGACAACAGACCAAGCAGACACCTGGATTTCAAGGTTGTGATAAATTCTGAGTCAGAGCATCCCTCTAAACCAGGGGTCCCCAACCCCCTCACCATGGACCAATACCAGTTTGTGGCCTGTTAGGAACCGGGCCATACAGCAGGAGGGGAGCAGTGGGTGAGCAAGCATTATCACCTGAGCGCCACCTCTTGCCAGATCAGCATTAGCATCAGATTCTCACAGAAGTGTGAACCCTATTGTGAACTGTGCATGCGAGGGATCTAGGTTGTGCGCTCCTTATGAGAATCTAATGAGGTGAACGGTTTCATTCAGAAACCATATCCCCGCTCCCCATCATGGAAAAATTGTCTTCCATGAAACTGGTTTCTTGTGCCAAAAAGGTTGGGGACCGCAGAGCTAAACCATTCCAACATTCTTGACTCAGAGGTAATAAATTTTGTTGTTTTAAGCCACGACGTTTTGGAGTATCATATTATGCAAAAATAGATAACTAATACACATGATGCCCAATTTTCTACAGTTGAAGCATCTACTCTATACAGTATAGCTTACTTATTAATTGATTGTTGAAGCTTCCAGTTTGGAGTTTTCTGATCCTTAATAATTCTGCAACTTTTGGCTATTTGCTCAACCTCTCTGTGACTCAGATTTATTTATATGACACAGAAATAAAAGAAATAGAAACTATGGGGAGAAAGAAAAGGAAAGTCCATAGAAAGTGCTTAGAATTGTGCTGGCCCATATATAGTGGTCAGTGCATGTTATTATTATCATTTCTTCCTTGAGGTAGGAAGCACAAGTGATATCACAAATAAATGGAGATAAAAAACTTAACTATTCAAAACTGTGATTGTAAATATGAATCTTTGACATTAACAAGATATACAAATATGAGAATAATGGTACAAGATAATGTGGCAAGCAAAATGGCCAATCATAAATGAGAAGTTACAAGGCAGGGAGATTCTGGCATATTTCAGTGTGTGTTGCTTTCTCTTTGAGAGAATGGTATTTTTTCTATTTAATTGTATTATTTGCCAGCTATCTAAATTTAGAAGCCTCTTTGCATGGCAGTTTACAGTACTTTGATGCCATCTAATTATATAAATGTTAACATTTTTGTGAAGGTTTTGTTCAATGTTATTCTTATATATTCATATACATTTATTTATCAATATATTTAAGTATAAATGAAAAAGTTTCCAAAAATCAAACATGATATATTTAGAGAAAAATATGTTTAGAAGTAGTGGTGATTTATTCTTTCCTAAACAAGGAATAAAGTGACAACAGTCGATATGCACCTGGACATCATCTGAAAAATGCCACCATGAGCAGAAATAACCCTTAGTTATAACACCAAAATGCCAAGAAGGACAAATAGAGAATGATAGGAGTAGAAGATTGAGAGACAAGATAGGACATAAAATATATAAGGATGATTGGATTTAGACTCTACATAACATTTAAAAAAATGTAGTGGAACACTAAACTGCAACATTGCTGTTTTTATTTTTCAGGGCATTTTTTAAGGTGAATAGAAGTAGTAAAGACTTTGTACAAATATGTAAAGTAAAACAACGAAGAACCATACAATAAACAAATAGCATTTGCTGAAATTGTTTTTCAGTCTTTCCTAGTCTGCATCAGATCTTTTATTCTAACACAATGTGATAAATTTAAAGATCTTCAATAAGAACAACATGAATTTTGAAAAAATTATTAAGGGACAAATTTCTAGGAAGCTTTTTTGGAAAAGCTAAATACGTAAATTACTTCTATCAAATGTATTAATTAATGTGGTACGTTAATATGTGTAAGGGATGGTATTTGTATTTATAGTAAATAAAATGTATTTTTTCCTGTGTATATTATCTAAAATCACTTTCTCGATAAGACTCTTTTACATCTAAACATTATAATAACACAGCATGGTTAATACCTGAGATGGCTTGGATCTGTGTCCCCATCCAAATCTCGTGTTAAATTGTACCCCTAATGTTAGATGTGGAGCCTGGTGGGAGGTAATTAGATCATTGGGGCGGATCCTTCGTGAACGGTTTAGTGCCGTCCCCTCAGTGGGGTTTTTGTGATGGTGAGTGAATTCTCTTAAGATGTGGTTGTTTAAAAGTGTGCAGCACCTCTGCCCCTCTCTCTCTTCCCCCCGTTCTGGCCATGTAAGATGTGCATGCTTCTCTTTCACCTTCCACCAGGATTGTAAGCTCCCTGAGGCCTCCCTAGAAGCAGATGCTGCCATGCTTTCTGTACAGCCTGTGGAACCATAAGCCAATTAAACCTCTTTTCTTTATAAATTATTTAGTCTCAGGTATTTCTTTATAGCAGTCGAGAACAGACTAATACAATACACAACATCTACAAGAGTATATTTTATAGTTTGTTTCTTCTATGCTTTGTGTGTGTTGCTGTGCAGTTTATCCTTTGATAAATCATATGCCAATTGGTAGAGAAGGGATGCATCACACACAATGAATACATAGTAGGCCTATTTCTCATTTGTTTTTCTTTACCTCCATTGTCTTTTTTTTTTTTTTTTTTTTTTTTTTTTTTTTTTTTTTTCTGTAGAGACATCGTTTCACTGTGTTGCCCAGGATGGTCTCCAACTCCTGGGCTCAAGCCCCTCTTGCCTCTGCCTCCTGCAAACCTGGGATTACAGTCATTTTTAAGTCCAGAAGATAGAATGATCTTTCATGTTTATTAAATATCATCTAGGAATGAACATGTCTAATGGGATGGAGATTTATGACCATCTACCAAATTAGCTTTTGTGATGGTTTACTCTGGTGGCAACCAATTGACCAATTTTTAAACCAAATGCTCAGGTATTTAATTTTCAAGAGTAAGCTTGATTGGAATCTGATGTCTCTGACACTGTTAATGCCTTTCTTCCAGGGCAGTGAAAATGCAGAGTGATACTTGCCATAGAAAAAGTGAATACTATTTGGCACATAAAAGCAGAATAGAAATGAAAGATTACAGACATAGTAAGGTGTCCACAGTTGCAGAAGCATCCTTCCCAAAGGAGACAAGCAATACTGCTGGGTGTTCCTTTTCCTTTATCTGACAAACCTAATGACTCACAGAGAAGACATGCTCTAGTGCTGAATTCTTCTGACTTCATTTCTATTCTCTTTTGAAAATACCCAGGGGTATTTCTCCTACCTTCTTCCATTACTGTTCTATTTGTCCTTTGTCCTTACCAATTTTTTTCTCTTCTTTATCTCCTTTAATAAAAAAATCAGAATTTTAAAATGTCTGCTTCTTATACCAAGTCAAACAATACAGATGTATAAAGTGAAAAAGTAAATAGTGTTCCCTTCACTTTCCAGTGTTATTTCTTGAATTAATTACAAATGCTAACACACTGATGATGTAATTTTCCTTATTTCACTTGTATAAATGGATGGTTTTATTTTTGTCCCTTAACAAAAAAAGGTATTAGTATAGTACCATATACTTTGCTCTATAACCTTCTTGTTCACTTACTAATAAACTTTCTCCAGGTGAACATGAGTAGAATAACTTATGCTTTTTCATAGCTGTGTAATGTAATAGAGTCTGAAAATATTATATTTTATTCAATTAATTTCCCACATGAACAGAATTCAACTTTTGGTAAGATTTCACTACAAACCATGTTGATGTTTTGACTTCTATAGGATAGATTCCTAAAGTAGGACTGTCTAAAATATATTCTCAATTTAAATTTTAATAGATATGCCAGATTAGTTTTCTTTTTTTCTTTTTTTTTTTTTTAGACGAAATTTTGCTCTTGTTGCCCAGGCTGGAGTGCAATGGCATGATCTTGGCTCACTGCAACATCCACCTCCCAGGTTCAAGCGATTCTCCTGCCTCAGCCTCCCAAGTAGCTGGGACTACAGGTGCTTGTCACCATGCCCAGCTAATTTTTTTTGCATTTTTAGTAGAGGCTGGGTTTCACCATGTTGGCCAGGCTGGTCTTGAACTCCTGACCTCAGGTGATCCACCCATTTCGGCCTCCCAAAGTGCTGGGTTTACAGGCATGACCCACTGCACTGGGCCCAGGTTAGTTTTCAAAAAGAATTTAAAAATGTATACTTCACTCCACAGGAGTCTGAGTCTCCATTTTCGTACATTTATTGGATATTATTGATATCTTCAATTGTTTGATGGTCAAATATATGAATATTATTTTTCATTTTTAAAACCAGTGTATTTTCTCATTTACAACATTATTGAATTTTCCTTTCTATAAATTTCTTGCTTATATTTTTCTCCAATTTTCATTTTGTATTTTTTGTATTTTGTTATTGATTTTAGGATTTCTTTTATATTAAGTGTACACTACTAATTTTTACAGAGTGAGGAAATGTGCTAAAAGCCATATTTTCCCCAGAAATTCCTTGTCTTTTAATTTTATTTATATTACTTATGATCCTAGATTAATATATATCTGATTAAATCTTGATGTATTTGCCAATGGGTTGTGAATTTTTTATCTTGATTATATCTTTTTTTAAATTTGAAGTGAATTTAAGTAAATTAGAATTGCTTAACCAGGAAAAGAGACAATTTCAATGACATTAATAGTTATTAAGCTATGATATACAAGTTACCTTGATAATTTATATATCTTACATAGAATATTTCATGTGCTTTTTATAAGAATTTTAAAAAGGAAGATGAGGGAGCTACAGCTCAGAGGGATGAAATCGTCAGTAATTAGAGGGACTGGTATGGTCAGTCAAGTCCATGTGATTCTAAAGCTCATGCATTTCAGCTCCTGTTTTTCCCAAGGGCATTGAATTATCAGATATTTAGGTTCTCACCTAATGATTTAGGGCAAGAGAAAAAGCAGGAACTACTTTAAAAATTAGCATAAGAGTACGTACCAACTTTTTTTTTCTTTTTCTTTTAATTTTTTTTTTTTTTTTTGAGATGGGGTGTGCCTCTGTTGCCCAGGCTGGAATACAATGGTGCGATCTCCACTCACTGCAACCTCCCCCTCCCACTCAAGCAATTCTTCTGCCTCAGCCTCCTCAGTAGCTGGGATTACAGGTGCCTGCCACCACACCCAGCTGATTTTGTTTTGTATTTTTAGTAGAGACGGGGTTTCGCCATGTTGGCCAGGCTGGTCTCGAACTCCTGACCTCAGGTCATCCACCTGCCTCAGCCTCCCAAAGTGCAGGGATTACAGGCGTGAGCCACCATGCCCAGCCCAACTTTAAAGTCTGATAAAGAATTACCTCCCAGGGCCTGTCCCTTACTGGGTGTCCAACACTGGACAAGTAACTAAACCTCTATAGAACAGAATGTTAAAATGAAAGCCATCAAAATATCATATGCCAAAATGAAGTTTCAGACCAGGGTGCACATTTTCAAAGGAGGTACTCAATGAAGAAGGTTGTAGAGTGATAAAAGGATTAATCCATTAAGACAATGTAACACTTAAAAACAGGTATGCAACTAACAGGGCCCAAAGGACTCGAAGCAAAAATGGCAGAACTAAAGAAAGAAATAGACAACTCATAATAGTTCACTATGGAGAAGATCAACAAGCAAATAGAAGACTTGAACAGGACTATAAACCAACTATACTAAACAAACATCTGCAGAACACTATACCCACAAACAGCAAAATGTACTTCTTAAGGGCACATGGAACATTCTTCAGGGTAGATCCATATGTTAGGCCATTAAGAAAAGCCTTAATAAGTGTAAAAAGATCGAAACTATATCAAGTATGCTACAAACTGATAAGAGAAGAAAAGATGGGAGAATTACAAATATGTGTAAATTGCATAACATTGTTCTAAATAACCAATGCAGCAAATAAGACATCACTGGAGAAATCAGAAAATGCTGAGATGAATGAAAATACAAATGCAATATAACAAAACTTGAAATGTGGTGAAAGTACTGCTCAGAGAAAAATTGATAGCTGTAAATATCTATATTAAAAAGAGAAATATCTTAAATCATAACCTATACTTCCACCATATGGCACTGAAAAAAGGAGAACAAATAAATCTAAAGTGGGAAGAATGAAGTAATACAAATTAGAATAGAAATTAATAAAATAGAGAATAAAGAAACAACAGAGAAAATCAATAAGAGCAATAGTTGTTTCTTTGAAAAGATCAACACAATTGACAAACTTTTAGATAGACTGATCAAGAAAAGAGAGAAGACTCAAAATACTAAAATCATACATGAAAGAAGAACATTACCACCAGGTTTATAAAAATAAAAAGCATTATTAACACATAAAAAAACTTCATGCCAACCCATGAGGTAATTTAATCGACAAATTTCTGTAAAGACATTAGCTACCAAAACCAACTCATGAGGAAATAGAAAATGTGAATAGATCTATACCAAGAAAAAAAGATTGAATTAGTAATTTAAACAAAAATTTTAATTAAAAAAATCCCAGGCCCAGATGGCTTTACTAGTGAATTCTACCAAACATTTAAAGAACAATTAATATGAATTTTTAAAAAGAAGAAGAAGGAGGAGGAGGAGGAGAAGGAGGAGGAGGAGGAGGAGGAGGAGGAAGATGAGGAGGAGGAGGAGGAGGGGGGGACACTTTCTATGAGATCAGTATTACCCTGATCCAAACCTAGCAAAAAGGTAATAAAAAAGAAAACCTCCAAGCAGTATTCTTATGAATATACATGCCAGAATCCTGAACAAAATACAAGCAAACTGAATCCAGCAACATATAAAAATAATTATACCCCATAATGAAGTTGGACTTATCCCAGGAATGCAAGGTTACTTAACATTTGAAAATCAATTAATGTAATTCCATATTAACAGAATAAAGAAAAAGAAATATATCATTATAGAAACAGAAAAAGCGTTTGAAAAAACCCAACATATTTTTATAATTAAAACACTCAACAAACTTGGAATAGAAGGGGACTTTCTCAATCAAAGAAAAGGCTTCTATCACAAACCCACAGCTAACATATTACTGATAAAAGTTTGTACGCTTTCTCCCTAAGATCAGGAACAAAGCAAGGATGTATGTTCTCATCACTTCTATTCAATATTGCGCTGAAGGTTCTAGTTCTAGTCAGGGCAATTAGGCAAAAACTAACTAACTAATTAACTAACTACATAAATAACTAAATAAATAAATAAAAATTAAAATTAAATGCATTCAGATGGGAAAAAAGGAAGGAAAACTCTATTTGCCAATGGCATGATCCTGAATATAGAAAATTCTTAAGAATGCCCCAAACCTATTAGAAACATGAAAGAGTTATGAAAGTTTGAAGAATGTAAGATCAGTACACAAAGATCATTTGTATTTCTGTACACTAGAAATGAAAAACTAGAATATGTAATTAAGAAAACAATTCCCAGGCCAAGCATGGTGGCTCACGCCTGTAACCCAGCACTTTGGGAAGCTGAGGAGGCAGATCACATGAGGTCAGGAGTTTGAAATCAGCCTGGCCAAAATGGTGAAACTCAGTCTCTACTAAAAATACAAAATTAGCTGTGGTGGCGCATGCCTGTAATCCCAGCTACTTCAGTAGGCTGAGGCATGAGAATCGCTCATGCCAGGGAGGCGGAGGTTGCAGAGTGAGCTGAGATCATGCCACTACACTCCAGCCTGGGCAACAGAATGAGACTTCCTCTCAAAAAAACAAAACAAAACACACACACAAAAATTTCCTACACAATAGCATTGAACAATTAAAATACTAAGGAATAAATTTAATCCCAAAAGCACAAAATTTGTACCCTGAAAACTACAAAATATTGCTGACAGGAGTAAGAGAAGACCTAAATAAATGGAAAAACATTCCATATTCCCGGATCAGAAGAATTAACATTATTAAGATGGCAGTATTCCCCAAATTGATCTACATATAGATTCAATGTATTCCTATCATAATTCCACCTTTTCTTCTTGCAGAAATTGGCAAGCCATTCCTAAAATTCATGTGGAAATGAATAGCCAAAACAATCTTTTAAAAAGAACAAAGTTGGAAGACTCATACTTCCTGATTTGAAAACTTACTACAGAGTTATAGCAATCAAGACAGTGTGATATTGGCATGAATACAAACTTATAGATCAATGAAACAGAACTGAGGGGCCCAAAATAGTCTCTTTTATTTATAGTCAAATGTCCTACATCGGTACCACAACAATTCAGTATAGTAAAGAGTGATCTTTTCAACAAATGGTAGCAGAACAACTAGATACCCATATGCAAAAGAATGAAGCTGGACCTTTACCTCAGATCATGCACAAAAGTACCTCAAGGTGAATCATAGACCTAACTATAAGCTAAAAGTATACAATTCTTACAAGTTTCATTATAAGTAAACTTGGATTGTTGGCGAACTTGGGGTAAAAAAAAACCTTATATATGATACCAAAGCACAAATGACAGAAGAAAAAATACGTATATTGGGCTTTAACAAAATTAAAAACTTTAGTGCTGTAAACATTCAATCAAAAATATAATGGAACATATATTTGAATAAAATACTTGCAAATTATGTATCTGATAATGGTTTTTCTTTCTTTCTTTCTTTTTTTTTTTTTTGAGACAGTGTCTCACTTTACTACCCAGGCTGGAGTGCAGTGGCGTGATCATGGCTCGCTGCAGCCTCAACCTCCCAGGCTCAAACTATCCTCCTGCTTCAGCTTCCTGAGTAGCTGGGACTATAGGCATGTGCCACCAGCTAATTCTTTGTAGAGACAGGGTCTCCCTATATTGCCCAGGCTGTTCTCAAATTCCTGATCTCAAGCAATCCTCCTGCCTCAGCCTTCTAAAAATGCTGGGATTACAGGTGTGAGTGAACATGTGGGGCCTGATAATAGATTTTTTTAAAAAATACTGAAGAAACTCTACAAGGAAAGGATAAGAAGATAACCAAATTTTTAAGAAGGCAAAGGATCTGACAAGATAATTCTTCAGTGAAGATACACAGTTGTTCAAAAAGCAAAAGAAAAGGTGCTCAATATCATTAGCCAATAGGGAAATTCAAATCAAAACCACCATGGGATACCACTACATACCTACTAGGACTAGGGTAAATATTTTATTATAGCCCTTTTTATTAAAGGCGGATAGTAACAAGTGTTGACAAGAACAGAGAGAAATTGAAATCTTTATGCATGGCTGTTTGGGATAGAAAATGATATCTTCTTTTTTAGAAAATAATTTGGCAGCTCTTCAAAACATTAAACACAGAGTTACCATAAGACCCAGCAATTCTACTTCTATGTATTTTCTCAGAGAAGTGTAAAATAGTTCACACAGGTCGGGCGTGGTGGCTCACGCCTGTAATCCCAGCACTTTGGGAGGCCGAGGCGGGAGGATCACGATGTCAGGAGTTCGAGACCAGCCTGACCAACACAGTGAAACCTCATCTCTACTAAAAATACAAAAATTAGCTGGACGTGCTGGTGCATGCCTGTAATCCCAGCTATTCAGAAGACTGAGGCAGGAGAATCACTTGAACCCAGGAGGCAGAGGGTGAGCCGAGATCGCGCCATTGCACCAGCCTGGTGAGAGAGCGAGACTCCATCTCAAATAAATAAATAAATAAATAGTTCACACAAACACTTCTACATGAATGTTCTTAGTGGCATTAGTACAGACAAAAAGTAGAAACAACCCAATGTCCATTAACTGATGAATAGATAGATAACTGTGGCATATCCAAACAATGTAATATTATTTGACAATAAAAGGAATGAAGTAATAAAATCTAAATACAATTATGTAATATAATGTAATATGACAAAATGGATGAACCTTGAAAATATTACACTAAATGAAAGAATCCAGTTACATAAGACTACATATTGTGTGATTCCATTTATGGGAAACATTTAGAATAAGCAAATAGACAGAGGCAGATATAGATTAGTTGTTGCCTAGGACTGGGGCTATGAGGAGGAGTGGGGAGAGGTTGCTAACATATTATAGGATTTCTTCTGGGGTGAAGACCTATTTTAAAATTGAGTATAGTGATGGTTGCACAACTCTATGTATCTACTAAAACCTATTGAAGTATGTACTTAAAAAAGAGGAGGTACTAAAAACACTCTATTGCGTGGCATATCCACGTGTATAAAAAGTTTCAGAGTTGGAGGTTGGGAAATTATCTTTGCAGAGAATTAGACTATGAGTACCAGCCTGCTCAATTACAAGACAGTAGCTTTAAGGTGACCATTCTGAGGTCTTATTAATATTTATCTCCTGAATTTTGGGAGATACAGTGGGCTGGTACATGCAACAAGTCTGATTGATTTAAAGGATGAATGACTAGCTGGCTATCCACTCCAATGGTGGAAACGAATCTAAATTTTTAGAGTTTGTTCATGGCAAAGGATGTAGGAGTGTTTCCCATGAATCAGAGGTTAATCATGAAGATCCAATATAGAATAATCACTGATCTGTCCTAGTGTCTGTTTGTCCAAGGGGGCAAACAGACCTCAGCTGGGAAAACAGAACCCTAGTCAAATTATTAGGACTGAAAGTGAAAGTAGTCACATCTCAACTCCTCATCCAACAGAATAGACATGTATTGGACCTTGGCAAAGGAAATGCAGGGACATCCTCGGCGACGGGAAATCATTGGAGAACCTACAGAAATGCCTATCAAACTGTTAGTTTAAAACTAGCTGTTGTATTCAAGCTGATGGAGGATGAAAGAAATATTAATACTACTCAGAGATAAAGGGAAGAAGGCAACCAAACCTCCTTTATTCCATGATGTCTTCCTGCCAGCCACAGGCAGAGCTGCAGGGAGAAGCCTCAACTTTAAATCAGCTTCAGAGCTTTGATATTACATGAGGCCAGACATGTTCATTATTGAACTGATATTGTGTTTGATGACTTAAAATTATTGTAGGACTTTATTAAAATGATCACAAAATCAGACTGCCTAAGTTTTCACATAAGTGTAAGGGAACACCACTAACCCCACCAAGTATATTTAAAAGACAATGGGAAAAAATTTAGATTGTTTATAATTATATCCCACTAGACGTATCACTGCAGATTCTAAAACAAGAATAATAATGGCATCCAATCCACAGAATTGCTGTAAGAAATCTCTTCACTGCCTAGCAAATAATAAACATTTTTAATTAATGATATTACTATCACTTTGCTTTTACCGTTTGTTGACATATAATCTAGATCATTGAATGTTCTCTAGACAGGAATGTTCCCTGCATTGTCCAATAAGTAGTCACTGGCCACATGTGTCCATTGAGGACCAAGGAAGTGGCTAGTGCCACTGAGGCATTGAATTTTTCATTTCATTTTAATTAATTTAAATATAAATAGTTACACATGGCTAGTGCCTACCACAATGAATTGTTCAGATATAGACTTTGTATAACAAGGAAAAACAATATGGAATGGAAAAGTTGATGGTAAATTGAAGTTCAAGTTCAGCCAGCAAGGAATACTTTTACAAACCAAATTATTGCTTCATTAGTGTAACTGGTGATGCCAGAAGAACCTAAGAATTAATCAGAAACAATCAAAGGTTAAGGTAGGGAAGTAGAATTGTAATTTGCATGCAGATTTCAATGTGAATAGCAATATATTCACAAAGAAATTTGCCCATACTGAAATATATTCACACTAACTTTTTGACATCCAGTATGGTTCATTAGCATTGATAATAAATTGCCTATGGGATTTAAACTAGCTGTGTCCTAATGATGCAGATTGTTAAACATAGACAGTATCTTAATAAGAGAAGCTGCATCATCTTATTCTCTATGAATCTTATAAAAAAAGAGATGTGTGTCCATCTGATTGGAATCTGTTAGTACAAACCTCTGAAACATTCAGAGCAGTTCCACTCTAATAGTAGGGGGTTTAAAACATGATGAAGAGAAGGTCATCTTGCCTTTGATAAACCTCCTGACCTACTCTTTTCTACAGCCCAAAAGAAAGTTTACTTTAGTGAGGAGGGTAAAAATAAAGCCATAAGGAGTAAGAAGGCAGAGTCATCAGGTCTCTAAATTGAAGTCTGTAGACTGGAAGGAAAAACTAGAGTGCATTTAACATTGTGCTCGAGCTATGTCAGATGTGGGCGGAAATTTTTACTTGAAGTTAGGCAATTCTGGCCTTGTCCTAACTCAACATAGTGCCAAACAGTTGTGTAAAGTAATATTTATTATTGCTCTCACATTAAAGATTTATATCCAACTGTATATCTTCCATATAATGGATCTAAGAGCTTTGAATTTGTTTTTTATGAGAAATGTTTGAAATAGCTTCTGCTCTTTTCCTTCTATCTAAGCCTGCCCCGCTGCCCCAACTCTAGTCTCTGGTACACAGCTGACAGTGCAACCTCTACTTGGAAATAGGGCAGCTGTAAAGAACTTATACTATTCTAGATACATTCTAAAATGGAGACTGTCTATCATATCTAGCCTGAACTTAGCTGGATACTGTGGCAGCAGATCTTAGAATCAGCAGTTTTCTAAAAACAACGTAAGATTAGAACTGCATAAGAAGGTAAATGACTGTTAACAAATATGTATTTGTGCAGCTTATGTAGCATTTTTAAAGTGCTTACTATAATTGTGGGACTTTATATGAATTGTTTCTTATATATAGCTTTATGAGATATATGATGTTTTAACCCCAATATACAAATAAAGAAACCAATGTTTTGGAAAAGACTAAGTGATAGCTTGCTCAACGGAAGATAATTCACTATTTGGTAGAGGTCCTGAGCCATTTGTTAAGCACAATGCAATGTGGCCTTTCTGATACAGAATAGAATTCTCCCTATCAATCAAGATGAAAGGTGGTGCCTTCATCTTTCTGGGGTTATGGAGACCTACTGACATATGAAAACAGTGTGCACTGCAGTTCACTACAAATCTAACTTGTATCTAAGCTAAATGCTCTTCACATTCCCCCTTTTTAAAAATTATTTTTACAGTGAATATAAAGGCAGCTGGAGGAGAAGGGATAAGTTTCCTAATGTTGCAACTTTATGAGGCCCTAATTGGAACTTGACCAAAGGAGCAAGAATCAGCATCCAGGGACATTTGAATCCATTTTCTGATTTCCGTGCCACTGGGCAACCGGACCCCAGAAGGGGACATTCCAAATTGAGCTAGCTGAGACATGATTCTTGCCCTGCCTTGTGTCTGGGCAAAGCCGAGAGCAGAGAACCTACAGGGAACAAAAAAAAAAAAAAAACAACACACTGAACTCAAGTCAGAGAAACTGGATTTTAGTCTGTGCTTTGTATTTTATCAGTGGTATTGCCTCTGGCTAAGTCATTTTTCACCTCTTTGAGTTGCAAGTTTTTTTTTTTTTAATCTATAAAACAAGGATGTAAGAACCAGGATGATTATTTAAGTCTTTAAAACTCTAACTTTCTATGAGTTTAAAATCTTAAGATAAAATGCACCCTCAACATATCCTTAGAAGTAAAATTTTCACTAAACCAGCATCCTTCTTCAATATACCACTACTTCAAAAGCTAGTTCAACAGCACTTCTTTTATGAGGATGTGTTTGGGTGTCAGTCAGGGCCCTTTGTTGTAAACGGCAAAACCTATGCTGGCTAGATCAAGCAGACAAGTATATTAGATTCAAGCAGACAAGTATATCAGGTTAGAATTTCCTGAAGGACTAGAGCCAGACCAGGAAGTTACTCCACCATGCCTGGTGGCAAACCACAGAAGAGAGGCTTGGTGGAAGTAGGTAGGAATAAAGAGGGGCTTGGGGGGATGGGGCAAGGACTTCTTTAGGAAAAATATCTCCAGCTGTTGCTGCTGGGCACTTAAAATTTGAGGTCAGGTGGGACACTGGCACTTCCACCCTGCCACTGCCTTCGCTATGTGGCACTTTCCTCATGTTGCTCACTTCCAAATCCGTGTCTCCATGAGTGCTTCTACTGTCAGAAGCTAGGTCCCCTGTCTGCACCCAGCTGCAAAGGAGACAGAAAATGTGAGCTCTTTGAATTCTATCCTGCAACGTCACAGATTCTTAATATGAAGATAAAATGTGCTAAAAGTGAGCAAGCTATAAGAGATGCTGTTCAGCCACAGTTGAGGACTGGCCTTTATGGCTGCAAATAAAATGATGCCCCTGAGTTTATCTTCCAGACTAAGGTTTATTTTTATAAAGTGTCATTGATATAGGAGTTAAAAAGAAATTACTTAGGCAGATAGGGAGGGTATAGAAGTCCTCGATAAGGTTTTCCTTTTAATGAAAAGCAACCTCAAATCATTTTCCTTTCTAACAAAATCAGCTTGTAAAATCGAGCAGTAGACATAGATGCCAGCAATTGTGCCAATCATGTTCAAAATGGCGGCTTCATCCTCACTTCTCTTTGTCAGCTACCATGTACAGTAGGGAGCAGACAAGATGGCCGTGGCCAAGGGGAATGCCCATTTGCATAAAAGGATTGGGGTGGGGTGGCCAGCCTTCCCCACACCTGTGTAAACATCACATCACACCTGATTGAGCCATTCTGTGGGCCCTATGTAAATCAGACATCACCTCTCAAACCTATCTATAAAATCTGGCAAACTCCACTGCTGGCCAGCCTTTTTCTCTTGGAAGCCCCTCTCCTCTAACTAGAGAGAAGGTGAGCTATTCTCCTTTTTCCTTTTGTGCCTATTAAACCTCTACTTCTAAACTCCTTGTGTGTGTGTCCATGTCCTAGATTTTCTTGATGCAAGAAACAAATCCTGGGTATTTACCCCAGACAATGAAGCCATTTCATCATTATTAAGTATACAGTAATAAATGGAAATCTTTCAAAGACACATTATATAAACCTTCGCCTTTTAAAAAGAAGATGGGATAAATAGTTTAATCTTTTTTTGAGGACATTGATTTTTTTTTTTTTTTTTCGAGATGGAGTCTTGCTCTGTTGCCCAGGCTGGAGTTCAGTGGCGCTATCTTGGCTCACTACAACCTCCACCTCCTGGGTTCAAGTGATTCTCCTGTCTCAGCCTCCCAAGTAGCTGGGATTACAGGTGCCTGGCACCATGCCTGGCTAATTTTTGTATTTTTAGTAGAGACAGTTTCACTATGTTGGCCAGGCTGGTCTCAAACTCCTGACCTCAGGTCATCCGCCTACCTTGGCCTCCCAAAGTGCTGTTATTACAGGCCTGAGCCACTATGCCTAGCCAATGACATAGATTTTTAATACAAACATACAATACCATGAACATGTTACATGGCATGAGGGAACTGATTGCTTGTTGTCTGAATCCTTGAAGTGACCAGTCATAAAAGAACTTACGACTAATGAAACTGATTTTATTTAATAGGCATTCTTCCATTTCCAATTATCACATAAGTTACAATATATCCTGGAATCAGTCTTACCTAGGTTTAAATCCTAGCAGAGGAAACTTGGGGGATTTGGTAATCTTTCTTTCTTCTTTCTTTTTTGAGACAGGGCTGGAGTGCATTGGTGCAATCATGGCTCACTGCAGAATCAATCTCTAGGGCTCACAGGATCCTACTACCTCAGTCTCTCACAGGATCCTCCTACCTCAGTCTCTGGAGTAGCTGGGTGTATTAGTTCATTCTCACACTGCTATAAAGAGCTACCTGAGACTGGGTAGTTTATGAATAAAAGACTTTTAATTGATTCACAGTTCCAGAGGCTGTACAGGAAGCATGGCAGGGAGGCCTCAGGAAACTTACACTCATGGTGGAAGGGTGAAGGGGAAGCATGCACCTTCATATGGTGGAAAGAGAGAAATAGAGAGAGTGAAAGGAGAAGTACTACATGCTTTTAAATAACCAGATCTTGTGAGAATTTTATCATGAGACAGCACTAGGGGGATGGTGCCTGGCCATTAAAAACTCCCTCATGATCCAGTCACCTCCCACCAGACCACACCTCCAACACTCAGGATCACGATTCAACATGAAATGTGGGTGGGGACACAGAGCTAAACTGTTGCAGGAAATCAGGGACCCCGAACAGAGGGACCGGCTGGAGCTGCGGCACAGGAACATAAATTGTGATTTCATGGACATTTATCACTTACCAAATAATACTCTTATAATTTCTTACACCTGTCTTAATCTCTTAATCCTGTTATTTTTGTAAGCTGAGGATGTATGTCACCTCAGGACCCTGTGATAAATGTGTTAACTGTACAAACTGATTGTAAAACATGTGTGTTTGAACAATATGAAATCAGTGCACCTTGAAAAAGAACAGAATAATGCGATTTTAGGGAACAAGGGAAGACAACCATAAGGTCTGACTGCCTGCGGGGTAGGGCAAAAAAAGCCATATTTTTCTTCTTGCAGAGAACCTATAAACAGATGTGCAAGTAGGGAAGATATTGCTGAATTCTTTCCCTAGCAAGGAATATTGATATTAATACTCTGGGAAAAGAATTGCATTCCTGGGGGCAGGTCTATAAATGGCCACTCTGGGAATGTCTGTCCTATGTGGTTGAGATAAGGACTGAGATATGCCCTGGTCTCCTGCAGTACCCTCAGGCTTACTAGGATTGGGAAATTCCAGACTGGTAAATTTTTGTTCAGACTGGTTCTCTGCTCTTGAACCCTGTTTTCTGTTAAGATGTTTATCAAGACAATATATGCACTGCTGAACATAGACCCTTATCAGTAATTCTGCTTTTGCCCTTTGCCTTGTGATCTTTGCTTTTGCCCTTTGCCTTGTGATCTTTGTTCTCGTTTTTGCCCTTTGAAGCGTGTGATCTTTGTGACCTACTCCCTGTTCTTACACCCCCTCCCCTTTTGAAATCCTTAATAAAAACTTGCTGGTTTTGCAGCTTAAGTGGGCATCACAGTCCTGCCGATATGTGATGTCACCCCGGGAGGCCCAGCTGTAAAATTCCTCTCTTTGTACTCTTTCTCTGTATTTCTCAGCCAGCCAACACTTATGGAAAATAGAAAGAACCTACATTGAAATATTGGGGGGGGGTTCCCCCAATCACTGGGACTACAGGCAAGCGCCACCATGCTGGACAAAATTTTTGTATTATTTTGGTAGAGATGGGATTTCACTTTGTTGCCCTGGTGGATCTCAAACTCCTAGGCTCAAGTGATCCACATGCCTCCAAAGGTACTGGGATTACAGGTGTGAGCCACAGTGCCCAGCCTGATTTGATAATATTTCTGATGGTTATATGAGATGATGAATGTCCACAGTTTCTGATGCATTGTAAGTACTTATAAGTACTCACTAAATGAGAGTTGGTGTTGTTATGTCTGCTTTTGTTTCCCTGACTTTTCTCTTGTTGTAAACCTGCTTAATGTTACTTTTTCTGATTACACCTGCCCCTCATTTGGTTAGATAGAGCTCCTTTATTCTGCTGCTTCTACCCCACTTTGAGATTTATTTGTTAAGAACATTACGTTAATAGCCCTTTAGCTTATTGAATACTCAGTTTCAGGTTCTGCATCAGTCCTGTGTGCCTGTTGCCATAAAGGACCCACCCCACCCCACCACAACCCTGACCAGTCAGCCTTTACTTTTCTTGACTTTGTGATTTCAAACCTTTAATTTCTCATCTCTTCTGTTTGGTGTTTCCTGAAAGACTAGCCTGTCTTGCAATACTTTGGAGGTAGATTCTAATGCTTAATCAAATGTCTTGTTGGGCAAAGATTAGAAAGAGAAGAACAACAACAAACATTTTTTTTCTCTCTCTTTGGCATGTACAAAGGGATTTGAAGCCAGAGTAATCTTTGATTCTTAGCCAATTCATTGATTATTGAAGGGTCTTTAGGCAAGATGGTTAACGTCTCTGAAAGATTTTCCTGATCTGTGAAATGGGAGTTTATTTCCTGCCTTGCAGGGTTGCCAAGAGGATTGCAGATGCCCCACTTTCCTATGGTAGTGCCTAGCATGTAGTAGGTGCTTCATAAATACAGGCTGTCCTAGTCACTGCAGTTGAGAGCAAGATAGTGGATAGCAGTAGACTCCTGAGGAACAGATGCTGAGTAGAGAGAGGTGAGAAAAAAATGCCCCAGAGAAAATACTGTCGACTTCTGTTCAAGGTCAACCCTGTCAGCCTGCCAGGAGGCAAAGACCTTTAATTTCATGGTGTCATTTTCTCCCCCTAAAAGTACAGCCTGACATATAGTTGCTTTTTAAATTGAAGTGAACTAAAATTAATCTCATTATGGGAATCTGATGGTCCTTAAGGTACTTGGAGACTCCTGAGTGTCACAAAACTAGGATCAAAAACCCTGGCAAAATGCCAGCGGGAAAAGCAAAGGCAGTCAAGTGGACGCCTGTGGGGCTGGGGGTTAGGGGGCAGGGGATGCTTATGTGTAATTTGACTCCTTTTGACATTTTGTCAAAGTATTGTGGCTCAAACAGACATTTGAAGCCTGATTATTTTTTGAGAAATTAAAGACCTGCCTTGCTGTTTCTTAGCTGACGGTTTACATATTTGAAAGCCATTTAAATATTCTGTAGAGGGTTGTTAATAAGCATTAATTTGGGCAATTATGGATTTTGTAGCTGTTACTGGAGGTTGATGTGTACCTGAGATACATTAGAGGACAAGAGAAAGAATACAGCCCAACCTAGGGTTGCTGTGTTCTCTACACAAGAAAGTTTGCACTTTTCCATAAAAGGAGGAGTTGAGGAGTAGCCCCTGAGGAGGGCTGGTGAATCATAGTCATCTTTATTTTTTCTGTGTTTCTCCAGTCCTAATGTGATGGTTCCCCTTGGTCTGACTTTCTGCCTTCCTTCCTGGATCATTGATTTTAACTTGATAATCTGTCCTCCACTTTGAAATCTTCAATCTCTCTATACCTTAAATCTGTGAATGTAGGGCATTTTCTTTCTCACATCTTGAGGGTTCTGGAGCTTCCTGGACAGAAAGCCTTAAGATTGACACTAGTTAGATACTTTAAAATATTTATAAAATTATTTTGCCTTTAAATCTCCTTTGGCTTTGCTCTTCAAGCCTCTGACTTATGTTTTGTCATTTCCATTTTCTTGATTTTGAGAGCATTATACTATCTTAATCCTACATATAGCTCTCTCCAAAGACAGAAACTAAGTCCTTCTTTTCTATGTTGAACCTAAAAGTTCCCTGTGGGTCTTTTCTGTCTTGCCCCTGATGTATAGTGCTACAAAATTTCCTCAGATGTCATTTACTCATAAGAAATAGCACAATTCACTATATTTTCCATCCTTTATTTTATATGAAGGCAGAGTAGCATAATCATAAAGAGCACATGTCTCCTGGGTTCAGAATACCTAGGCTCGCCCACTTTGTGGTCTTTGACAAGTCACTTTGGGCTTTAATTTCCCCATCTGTAAAATTAGTACATTAACAATTCCTACCCTAGGAATTGAGAAAATGAAATGGGGTAAAGAACATGAAGCAATTTCAATCAAGGGGAAACTTAATTTGGCCAGAGTAAACGGAGAATGAGGTGGAAGAATCACAAGATAATCTGTGCTAACTCTTTCTAGCTTGGGAATTTGCTTCCCTAACAGTGATTACCTAGAGAGTGCTTGAGATACACCAGGTATATGAGGAAGAGTGCTTTGGAGTTAAGAGTTGCACCTCTGTCTGTCTGACATCACGGATGCTCAACCTCTTTGCTAATTACCTATGCACAGGGCAGATACCTAGATAGAGACTTAGAAATAGATATACGAATACATATCTACTGTACTGTTGGTTGCCTGGGAGACTCTCCCTTCTCTGCCACTATCTCCTAGAACTCCATAATTATAATGGTGCTGGCCAACTTCCAGAGGGCTTTCTTTGATCTGAAACTGTTCTGCTTGTGGAGGGCAAGTTGGAAGTGCTGAGAAATCGATAAGCCAGCCATCATCCCTAGGAGCCCCCAGTCCATGGCTGGCTAGGTTGGTATATAAATACTCTAGCTCTCTTGCTCCTTGTGTGGAATAACTCTGCAACACATTAACCTCATGTACTCTCAGAATTGTTCATTGGGATTAAACTGCAGTTACCCATCATGGTAACTAAACTGATAACAAATACTTTCTTCCCTATATTTCCTGGCCTATCTGAATTAGTCCACTTTCACACTGCTGACAATGACATACCTGAGACTGAGCAATTTATGAATGAAAGAGATTTAATGGACTTACAATTTCACATGGCTGGGGAGGTCTCATAATGGTGGAAGGTAAGGAGAAGCAAGTCACGTCTTGCATGGATGGCAGCACACAAAGAGAGAGAGCTTGTGGAGGGAAACTCCCATTTATAATAACCATCAGATCTTGTGAGATGTATTCACTATCATGAGAACAGCATGGGAAAGACCTGTCCCCATGATTCGATTACCTCCCACCAAGTCCCTCCCAGAACACTTGGGAATTAAAGATGAGATTTGGGTGAAGACGCAGCCAAGCCATATCATTCCACCTCAGCCCCCTCCAAAATCTCATGTCCTCACATTTCAAAACAAGTCATTCCTTCCCAACAGTCTCCCAAAGTCTTAACTCATTTCAGCATTAACTAAAAAGCCCACAGTCCTATGTCTCATCCAAGACAAAGCAAGTCCCTTCCACCTATGAGTCTGTAAAATCAAAAGTAAGTTAGTTACTTCCTAGATGCAATGAGGATACAGGCATTGGGTAAATACTGCTGTTCCAAATGAGAGAAACTGGCCAAAACAAAGGGGCCACAGGCCTCATGCAAGTCTGAAATCCAGTGGGGCAGTCAAATCTTAAAGCTCCAAAATGATCTCCTTTGACTCCATGTCTCACATCCAGGTCATCCTGATGCAAGAGGTGGGTTCCCATGGTATTGGGCAGTTCTGGCCCTGTGGCTTTGCAGGGTGAAGCCTCCTTCCCAGCTGCTTTCATGGGCTGGTGTTGAGTGTCTATAGCTTTTCCAGGTGCACAGTGAAAACTGTCAGTGGATCTACCTTTCTGGAGTCTGGAGGATGGTGGCCCTCTTCTCACCACTCCACTAGGCAGTGCCCCAGTAGGGACTCTGCATGGGGCATCTGACTCCACTTTCCCCTTCCACACCTCCCTAGTGGAGTTTTGCATGAGGGCCCTTCCCCTATAGCAAGCTTCTCCCTGGGTATCCAGGTGTTTCCATACATTTTCTGAAATCTAGCTGGAGGTTTCTAAACCTCAATTCTTGACTTCTGTGCACTCGCAGGCTCAACACCATATGGAAGCTGCCAAGGCTTGGGGCTTGCACCTTCTGAAGCCACAGCCCAAGTTCTATGTTGGCCCCTTTCAGCCATGGCTGGAGTGGCTGGGATGCAAGGCACTAATTCCCTAGACTGCACACAGCAGAGGGAGCCTGGGCCCGGACCATGAAACCACTTTTTCCTCCTAAACCTCCAGGCCTGTGATGGGAGGGGTGGCAGTAAAGACCTCTGATATGTTGTAGAGACACTTTTCTCATTGTCTTCGGGATTAACATTTGGCTCCTCCTTACTTATGCAAATTTCTGCAGCTGGCTTGAATTTCTCCTCAGAAAATGGGATTTTCTTTTCTGTAGCATTGTCAGGCTGCAAATTTTCTGAACTTATGTTCTGCTTCCTTCATAAAACTGAATGCCTTTAACAGCACCCAAGTCACCTCTTGAATGCTTTGCTGCTTAGAAATTTCTTCCATCAGATACCCTAAATCATCTCTCTCAAGTTCAAAGTTCCACAAATTCCTAGGGCAGGGGCAAAATGACGCCAGTCTCTTTGTGAAAACATAACAAGAGTCACCTTTGCTCCAGTTCCCAACAAGTTCCTCATTTCCTTCTGAGACCACCTCAGCCTAGATTTCATTGTCCACATCATTATCAGCATTTTGGTGGAAGTCATTCAACAAGTCTCCAGGGAGTTCTAAACTTCCTCGCATTCTCCTGTCTTTTTCTGAGCCCTCCATACTGTTCCAGCCTTGGCCTGTTACCCAGTTCTAAAGTAGCTTTCACAATTTTAGCTATCTTTTCAGTAGCACCCCACTCTACTGGTACCAATTTACTGTATTAGTCCATTTTCATGCTGCTGATAAAGACATACCTGAGACGGGGCACTTTACCAAAGAAAGAGGTTTGAAAGACTTACAGTTTCACATGGCTGGGAAGGCCTCACGATCATGGTGGAATGCAAGGAGCAGCAAGTCACGGGTTACATGGATAGCAGCAGGCAATGGGAGAGAGCTTGTGCAGGGAAACTCCCCCTTATTGAATCATCAGATCTTGTGAGACGTATTCACTATCATGAGAACAGCATGGGCAAGACCTGCCTCCATGATTCGATTACTTCCCACCAGGTCCCTCCCACAGCATGTTGGAATTCAAGATGAGATTTGCGTGGAGACACAGCCAAACCATATCACTATGTCACTAACCCATCTTCCTATTGGTCATTTGTGGGACAATGTTTCAAATAAATTACTTTCATTCAAATCTTTTGTTTCAGGGTCTGTTTCTGGGGGATGCTGAACTAACGTTGAATCTGTGAGACTATGACTTCTTGTGAAAAGCTGGTAGAGTTTCAGGTCTTGACATCTTGCAAATATGTGTACATTTGTTTCCTCTTCCATTCATTGATTCATTTTTTTTTTAAGTAAATGTTCAGTGTATTTCTTCAAGGTCCACACAGTCTCTCAAACAACAGCCCTCCACGTTTAGTGAGAGAAGCAGAACCCTGAGAACTCCAACTGCCTGTAAGTGTAAAATTTTCTTGTGACCTCACTAGCTCTGGCCACCCACTGGCTCAGAATCAGGAAGTGCAAAAGTTTTTATGAAAAAGTTTTCCTTATAAAGATCTTTCTTCTCTCAGCATGTACTGCTTCCTTCTCCACACCCTACTGTTAGTGGCCTCATGAAGTGGTTCTTAACTAGAAATAATTTTATTCCCCAGAGGACATTTTGCAATGTCTGGAGATATTTTTCACTATCACAACTGGGAGGGGATGCTACTGACATCTGGTGAGTAGTGGCCAGGGATGCTGCAGTTTTAGACTATTCAGGCTGCTATAACAAACCACCATATGTGAAGCATGTTTATTAATTACCAATGCCAAGAGAAGACTCCCACTGAGTGGAGAAAAGCAAAGTTCATCACCGCACCAACCACCAGAAACAGAAGTCCATATACCTATGGCCACTGCATCCTGGGCTACTGTTTCGGTTCACCATACACTGGTTACATATTTGTCTGAGTCTGGTGAGATATAATAAATTACACAAAGCAGGTTTATTACTTACAGATAGGCAGTGAGAGACAGAAGTCTTCAATCCTTTGGGAGCCTGTCTCCCAAAGGGCAAGAAAGCTGCCCAGGAAGGATGGAATCTTTTCTGTGCTTGCTCCACTTTGCACCACAACTAAGAGACTCTGAATGGCAGCCTGCCCTAGGTTATATATTTCAGGGACCATGTAACTCACTCGGTGAAGCTTTGAAGAAGCACATTCTATTTCTAAGAGAGAGAAGATCAAAGCCAGGGAGGCCCCAGGCAGTTCCTCCCTAATTCTAGATGTTGCATTTCCTAAGAAGGACAGTAACAAGTCCTGCTCTGTTCTAGGCATCCCTCCCTGTGTCAGGATGTTGCAGTCTCAGCTCATTCCACAGTTATTCCTGAGAAGTACAAGCAATAAAATGGGGGAGGAGTTAGGTTGGTCCAAAGGCACCTGAAGAAATACCCTTCACCATAGACTTGGAGGCTTGTAAACAACACAAATTTATTTCTCACAATACCATAGACTGGGATGTTCAAGATCTAAAGGCCTGCAGATTCAGAGTCGATGAGAGCATCCTCCTCATAGATGGCCTTCTTCTCACTGTAACCTCACTAGAAGGAAGGGTGAGGAACCGTTCTGGGCCCTCTTTTATGAAGGAATTAATCCCATTCATGAGATTTCCACTCTTAGGACCTAATCACCTCATCACCTCCCAAAGGTCCTGCCTAATACCATCACATTAGCATTTGAATACATGATGAACACATGATTTTGGAGGGTGGGGGACATAAACATTCAGTCCATTGCAGCTGCTAAATACTCTCCAATGCACAGGACAGCCCTTCATAAAGATGAATTATTCAGCCCCCCGAATATCAGTAGTGCTGATGTCAGGAAGCCTTGAGTAGGGAAAGATGATATATCAACCTGAACTGACCTCTTGAAGAAAGGTGATAAGTTATTTATTTTTGATACAAGCTTTAGTCCATCACATAAGAATAATAATTTTTGATAAAGCAGTTTGGTCTATTGCAGCTCTCCCATAGCACTTTCTGCAAAGTTGGCAGTCTTTATTTGCCCTGTCCAATATGGTAGCCACAAGACTCATGTGGCTAGTAAGCATTTGACATGCGATTAGTGGGACTGAATAACCAAATTCTAAAGTTTATTGATTTTACTAGTTTAAATTTAAATAGCTATATGTTGCTAATGACTACCATATTTCACAGTGCACTTCTAGTGGTTAGATTTCAGAGGCTAGAATCGGAGCGACCTGAATTCAGATCCTTACTATATTTTTTACTTGTTCACTATATGACCTTGTGATTTTTAAATTTTTTTTGACAGAGCTTGCTTTGTCACCCAGGCTGGAGTGCAGTGGTGTGACCACAGCTTACTGCAGCCTTGACCTCCTGGACTCAAACGATCCTTCTGCCTCAACCACCCAAGTAGCTGGAACTACAGGCACATTCCACCCTGCCTGACTAATTTTTGTATTTTTTTGCAGAGACAAGGATTTGTCATGTTGTTCAGGCTGAGCTTAAACTCCTGGGCTCAAGTGATCCTCCCAAAGTACTGGGATTACAGGTGTGAGCCACTGCACCTGGCCATGTATGTTTTTAAAACTCCCTAAGCTTCTATTTCATCATCTATAAAATGATAAACGTTTTGTGTTCATCACAATACTACTGTAAGGATCAAAGACAAACTATATAGTATAGCACTTGCATATATCTATGTTCAATGAATTATTATTAGTAGTATGTGAGCTGTTATTCATTTAGTGAGACTTTTTTTACACACCTCAGCCAGCCTTAGAAACAGGAAGTGGAAACCAGATAAAATAGCACACTCCCTTCTGGAGTCCTGAACTCTCGACTCTTATTTATATTTACGTCTCCAGGTTTAATTATGAATCTATCTATCTATCTATCTATCTATCTATCTATCTATCTATCATCTATCATCTATCTATCTATCAAATCTATTTGCCATCCATCTATCATTTTTAACTCTGTACTGTCTATTTCTAACCTATCCACATATAGTTCTCCTTTATTTGGACTTTATGGTTGAATCACATTGCCAGGGTTGTTTACATTCCACCTAATTGTGATTCTGCACCCTTACGCAACTGGCATGCGCTTTGAATCCGTGGCATAAATCCTTCCTTTTTTCTCCTCTTGGCACCTGCTTGCTGTGGAACAAAGCCACTGAAAATTTTTTTACCCAAACTGACTACAACATTTATGGATAGGACTCTAGAAAGGCTGTTGGAGAGTTTCATTTAGAGAGAGAAATTAAAAAGAAACTTTTTGAGAGTTTCTCAAAAATACTTAATGTTACTTGAGTAAAAAAGGGTCACCATTATAGTTAATTTGAAATATACCTACTTCATATGAGTTTTATGTAGCTCATATAGTGCTCCCATTACTCAGAAAGCAAAGGGAACAAATGATCATTCGGAAGGCATCATAAAAAAGTATTTAAAAATGTGTAATGGTTTAGCTTTATGTGCACATTTATTAGCTTGTCCGTGAGTTAGTATACGAGAGAGAAAAAAAATAAGAGATGGAGAGTCTTTTTGCTTTTTTCTTTGTTTCTTTTGTGGGAAAGTATGAACCAAAGTCTTGAGTAACAGTACGTCAATTAATTTAATTCAACAAACATCAATAACAACAGGCCTTGTGCAGAATAAGGAATCTTGCAAGAATGACACCCTTAATACCTGAGTTATAATAAAATAGCATGTCTCCATGATACACACTCATGCACAGACACACACAGATATGCACACACTCATACACACAAACAGACATACCAAAGTGTACACATACATGTATTTGAGTACATAGTACAGGAGAAGAAGGAATATAAGATTGAAAGAGACACAGGCATTTTTAAAAGTCAGCACTAGACAAATTTCCATCAAATTTTTACCATCTTGCAAATTTCCACTAGGGTTAATATTTTAGTTTTAATATTTAAGATAAGTTATATGTTGCTTTTTAAGGAGAGAACATTTAGAATTATGTCCTTCTTAGTAAAAGACAACTCAGGGGATGCCTGGCCATGCTGGGACATTGTGGGTGTCACCATGCTTAATAGCTGCTATAGGAAAAGGAAAATGTTTAGCATGTAATGCACACAATCAAAGCTATTCAGTAAAAGGCAGCATTTGCTATTCTTTAGGAAAATTGGCAACATCAAAAACACTGTGCATAATTAAAACCAAGGAAATATGCTATTGGTTCCATTAAATTTGTTCCAGGACCAAAAAAAAAAAAAAAAAACAGAAAAAAGCATAGAATTAACTGCATTTGTAAACACTTTATTTCATAATGAATAACTACAATTTAAAAAGACAGCCCTTTAGCCAATTTTCCTACTTTTGAATCATTGCCATTAGTAATCAATTACCCAAATTGTAATCAAAACAAGACATTTTTACTGAACTTCTATAATGATGTGGGCATGCTACTGGATGTATTCTTTAAGTTTGAAGTTTTTAATAGTCAAAAATTTTAAAAATATTTTTTAATTAAAAAATTTAATTGTGGCAAAATGCACATAACATAAATGTTACCTACCATCTTAACAATTTTTAAATAGATGTTATTTTTAGAGCAATTTTGGGTTTACAGTACTATTGAGCAAAAGGTAGAGATTTCCTGATACTCCCTACCCCTAGGAGGAGTAGGGAGCACAGCCTCCACAACTGTCAACATCCCTCACCACAGTGGTACATTTGTCACAATTGATGAATCTATATTGACACATCATTATCATCCAAGATCCACAGCTGACATTAGGGCTCACTCTTAGTATTATACATTCCATAGCTTTGGACAAGTATACAATGAGATACTACTATTACAGTGTCATACAAAGTTATTTCACTGCCCTAAATATCCTCTGTGCTCCTCCTGTTCATACCTTCTCCCGACTAACCCTTAGCGACAAGTTCTCTCTTTACTGTTCAGTTTTGCTTTTCCCAGAATGTCATATGGTTGGAATTATTCAATATGTAGAATTTTCAGACTGGCTTAGTGAGATGCATTTAATCCTCCTCCATGTCTTTTCATGGCTTAGTAACGCATTTGTTTTTAGCATTGAATAATATTCCACTGTCTGGATTTGACATAATTTATCTATTCATTCACTGAAGGACATCTTGGTTGCTTCCAAGTTTAGCAATTATGAATAGGGCTACTATTAACATCTGTGTGCCATCTTTTGTGCAAACATTAGTCTTCAACTCCTTTGAGTAAATCCAGCATGCTTGCTGGATTATATGGTTAGAGGATGTTTAGTTTTGTAGAAACCACTAAATTGTCTTCCAAAGTGGCTGCACCATTTTGCCTTTCCACCTGAAATGAACAAGAGTTCCTGTTCCACATCCTCACCAGCATTTGGTGTTGTTAGTGTTCTGAATTTCTAATAGGTCTGTAGTGATCTCTCATTGTTTACATTTGCATTTCTCTGATGACATATGATGTGGAGCATATATTAATATGTTTATTTGCCATATATATATATATCTTCTTTGATGAGCTGCCTGTTAAGATCTTTGTGTCATTTTAAGTTTAATTCTTTCTTTCTTTATTGCTGAGTTTTAAGTGTTCTTTGTACATTTTGAAGAAAAATCCCTTATCATATGTTTTTTGCAAATATTTTCCCAGTCTGTGATTCTTCTTTTATTCTCTTAAGAGTAAGTTTTGCAGAGTGGAAATTTTTAATTTTTATAAAATTCAGTATATGAACTCTTTCCTTCATGGTTCATGGTTTAGACATTGTATATAGAGTTTAGATATATTATTTCTATTTTCCTTCTTCTCTTTCCTCATGGTAATCTTTTAATAACAAATATTTATTAGGTATTTATGGTCTACCACTACTATGCTAGACATTAGTTACTAATGTTTTGAAAAAATTTAAAAAATACATATATACTAAGTATATATGTTTGTGTTAAATAGGTTTGAGAAAGTTGAACATATTTTTACTCAAATACCATACATATTATCTACCATATAGTTTCTTTGGGGACTATCCATACATTTCATGTATTTCTATTTACATGTTCTTGCCTGATGAATCCCACCACATAACCAACCTTATTTTTATCACAGTGAAATTTCAAAACTATAAATAGTTTCTGAAATAAGAAGGGGGTATAAACAAACAAATAAATAAATAACACAAAAATCTATACTATTTAAAAACTTAAATCAAAATATGACTTCAGGTAAAATTCTATTTGGTATAGTAACTAGGAATAAGGACAGTGAAATTTAAATATTAATTAAATATTTATTTTAAGAATTTTATAAATTGCTAAAAAACCTTCTAAAGTAATATCAAAATTTTTAGTAGAATTTCTGCTGATGGCGTTATATTTTAGTTAAGCGACTTAACTGGGGAATAGGGCATTTTAATTAAATTTTCATGAGAACTGAGTATTTTTATGTGTATGTATTGAAACTGTCCAGACCAAGGGTGTAGGTGTGAGTTAATTGTTAAGCCATGTGTCTCTGAATCCTCTTATATATGTGGATGTATTCCAGAATTTTAGCATTATAAACACATCTTTAGCTACAATATGAACTGTCTTTAAATAAGCATCATAAACTTCAACTTCTGGCCATAATGGTCTAACTTAACTCCTTGTTGTTAAAAACTAGAAAATAGGAAAAAATACCTAAAACTACTATTTTCAGACATTGGACAATAGATAAGGCAGGTCTATACTTGAGAAAATGGTATAAATAAAGTGTGTTCTATTGTCACCTTGACTTTTTGCTTTGTGGCATTTTAAAAATGCAGAATGAAGGAGAGGAATCTCAAACAAAGTTCAGTGGATTCCGGGTTTTGAGTAGACTGGGATCAGAGCCCAGGGAGGCTGAGGCTACTGCAAGTTGCAAGGCAGAGTTTTGGAAAGTAGGGAGCTGTACAGAAAAAAGATCCAGATGTATGCATGTTCGTCCCTCTAGTATTTACTAAGAACTAGGCCATATATTCATGAAGTGAATCTCCACAAAGTTGAGCAAGAAAGATCAGGGAATCGTAGGCTGAAGAATTCCCAGCACTCATAAAGGACAAGGAGATATTCAAACTTCCGCAAGTTAGAGTGTAGAGTCTTCAGTAATCACCTACATACAATATTCAGTGGACACCCCAAATGGATTATGCCTTAGTTATAGGAATCAGCTATTCTTAGAGTGAACGCTGCATATTCCATAACAAAAATTATAAAGAGGCCTTGATGGTATCAAATTGATTGACAGGTACTTAAATGCCTGTCAAAACAAAGCCAAACCAACATCCCATAAAGCAAACACCAAAATCAGGACACTCAACAGTATAATGTACAAAATGTCCAGAAACTAATAAAAAGGTTATTAGATATGTCAAAAAGCAGAAAAATGAGGCCCATGACTAAAAAAAGACATTCAATAAAAACAGAGATATGAAAGAAATAAGGGACTAGTACACAAAAATATTAAGATAATTACAACAACTATATTCAAATCTTCAAAGGTATATATAAATGTAGTGATGAGGGAAATGAAATATACAAATACAGAACTTCTTAGCGAGTAAAACCACAATATTGGGAATAAGAATTTTGCTGAATGAGATTAAAAGCAGTAAGTGCAGAATATGTCATTTGGGATGAGGACCCACTTCAATCTATTTTAACCCTATTTTAACTTGATTACCTATGTATCATTTCATCTCTAAATAATGTCACACCCTGAGCTAGTGGGGGTCAGGACCTTGACCCATGAATTTTTGGGGAACACAATTCAATCCATAATAGTATGTAAAATAAAGTCTCTGGTTCATAGTAATATCTTTCTTAAATTAGTGACTAAATTATGTCTGTGCTTCATGTCTCTATATAGTTTTTATGATTATTATTTTAATCAGTATGTGGTATACTTCTAGGAAGAGTAAAACAATGTTTATAAATGTTTATTGTTATAGTAAACCATGATCAATACGTTCTTCTTAATTTTTCCAGTTGATATTTTATCATAGGCTAAATTCCCTGCAAGGGATTCAAGTTTATTTTTAAAATAATATGTTTATTTTATAACAAAATGTTTATGCTAAAATTAATATTTTAATATACAATACCAGAATACTTTATGAAAAAAGGATTTGCTCATTAATAATATCACTGGCATTGAATAAGCCTATAATTTTGGCCAAAAATTTATTGCCATCTTCTTTCTGTATTTATAAAATAGTATCCCAAATTTGCTTTAAAATCAACTTTATTACTATTGTAGATGACATTTTCCTATGTATTTGTTCACTCTTCAATTAATACTTAACTCCTTTAGCATGTTAGGAAAGTGGGAAATTTGGACACAAACACACATAAAGAGAAGATGTAAAAGAACAAAAGGAAAAGATGGCCATCTACAAGCTACAGAGAGAGACATGGGACAGATCTTTATCTCACAGCCCTCAGAAGGAACCCACCTTAATAACATCTTGATTTTAGACTTTTATCCTCCAGAATTGTGAGACAATACATTTCTGTTCTTTAAACTACCCAATCTGTAGTACTTGGATATAGCAGTCCTAGTAAACTAGTACACAGTAGCCAGTTGGGACTACTATAACAAATTGCCCTAGACTGCGTGGCTTAAGCTACAAACATTTATTTCTTAACAGTGCTGGAGGCTGGGAAGTTCAACATCACAGTGCTGGCAGATCCAGTATCTGATGAAATCTCATGCCTGATTTGCAGATGGCCACCTTCTCATTGTATACTCACATGGAAAAGAGTACAGAGAGGAGAAAAAAGTTTACTCAGGTCTCTTCTTAGAAGGGCCCTGATTCTATCATGAGGGCTCCATCCTCATAACTTAATTACCTCCCAAAGACCCCATCTCCAAATACCATCCTGTAGGGGGTTATGGTTTCAACATAGGCATTTTGAAGGGACACAAACATGCAGTTCATATCACACTTAAAGAGACTGATAGTGGTTACTGTCTGTCACTAAAGCTGTTCACCAAATATTCAAAACTCTCACCTCTGGCATTCGATAGGCTTGGTCTTCCTTTCCTCTTGAGGGTAGATATGGTCACTTGCTTTTTTTGCAATGAACAGTGAGCAGACCTGACATATGTCACTACAGGGAGATGCTTCATGAGCCATTGTGTATTTCATGGTCTCTCCTTTTCTCTGCCATGGCAGCTGACATTAGAGATAATGACAACTTTGTCAGTGAAAAGAGCAATGAACAGAGCCTTAAGCAGCCCCATGACACACATGTAGTACGAAGATGAAATAAACCTGTGCTGTTTTAAATAACTGATATTTGGGAGTCGTTTGCTAATTACAGCCAAACCTAACCCATCTTAAGAAAAACAACTAGTAGGGAGGGCCACAGGCTTTGCTCAAAAGGACTTCAAAGTATAGGTGGGAACTATAGAAATAATCAAATAATTACAACTGGATAAGAAAAATGCTCTGATAAAAAATACAAGAAGAATTCTATGGGTGCACAAAAGAGAGGCACTTAACCCAGGAGAGGAAAATTTCCTGAAGGGAGGTGACACATTAGATTATGCTTGAAAGGCAAATAAGAATCAGTCACCTGAAGAAAATGAAGTCAGAGGGGCAACATGTGCCCAAAGGTGAGAATGACAAATTTTTCATTATGCTGCAATGTGATAGGTAATGCATGAGAGTCAAATAAGCAGAAGTGATGTTTGGGGAGGATACGTTGACGGCACCCAGGCTTGGAAAGGTGTTTATCCCATGCTTTGAAGGTTGTATATTACTTTCTTCAGTGCCTTCCATAGGCAAAGAAAAGATGATAGAGGAGTGAAATAATCAATTATAATATAGTTTTAAATTTGGAAAAAAGAAAATGTTATACCCACTCTGATTGGAGTTATGTATAATGTAAGCAGGGAGCATTGCAAAGTGATATGTAAAAACAGTTACGTGAGGACAGTGTAAAAGATCGGTAAATAGTGTGGCCTACTTAAAATGTTACTATATAGTTGATTCAATTAAAGGAAAATTTAATATCATGGTCTGGCTAGCTAAGCAAAATAAACTAATTTTTCCCTGAGTCTTAAATACCTATGGGAAATGAAAATATATGTTTACAAAATGCAGTTAAAGAATTGATGGGAAAGAACTTATTAAGACAAGCTGCACAAATGGAGACGAAATAAGTTGTGTTTCGCTCTCTTTCCAGGGTAGTTAACTTATACCAAAGACAGAATAAATATTTTAAAAGGTTGTGTTTACAGATTGGAAACACAGAGTAGAAAATAAAAAAGAATGAAAAAGAAAGGTTTGTAGAGAGAATTCTAAAGATGCACCTCTAAGTTTCCTGTCCTCTGGTTAATCAGACATGAATCTGGCTACGGCTGTGAGGGTACTTTGTAGATGGAATTAAGATTACTAATCAGCTGACCTTAAAATAGGGAGATTATTGTAGAATTTGCAATCCTCAAGCCCTTAAAAGCAGAAGAGGCAGATAGGAGAGAGAGATGGAGGAGTGTTGTGACAAACCCCTATTAACCTCAGTAGGGAAGGCACCAGGTTCAAGAGGCCAAAGAAGAGACCAGAGCCAGCACGCAAGACATGGGGTTTTATTAAGGAGTTATATATGGGGGAGAGAGTCCAGTGGCAGTGGGCTGGACAACATAACTGCAGGGCCTAGTGGTGGTGGGCTGGGCAGAAAAACTGCAACTGCTTGCAAACAGTTTATATGTCATTTTCACTTAACACCCTCCCCTTAATGACCTCTACTTGGCAACTCTCCTCTAAACCAAAACTCAGGGCCTCAGTCTCCTGTATGGCCTGTGTTGCATGGGACAAGCCAGGGCCTCAGATGTTCTTCATAGATGAGGAACGAATCTCCAGGTCGGCCCCTCCTGGTTTCCCTAGCTTGGAACACACATTCGAGTGTGTCTGCCATACAGGGTCCTTCTAAGTGTAGCTTAAATTGTTGTTACAAGGTGCATTTACCCTACAAGAGAAAGAAGGAAGCATAAAAGCAAGCCAAAAAGGGGAATCAGGGAAATCGGAAGCATGAGAAGGACTCAACCATTTATTTTTGGCTTTGTAGATGGAAGAGCTATGAATCAAGGCGTGTTGGAAGCTTCTAGAAGCTAAGAACAACCGCTGGCTGAAAGCCTGCAAGAAAAAGGGGACCTCAGTCCTACAATTGCATGGAACTGAATTTTTCTAACAACCTGAAGGGCTGTAGTAGATGAGGCTTCGTAAGACTGTAGCCCTGTCAACATTTAAATGTCAGCCTTCTAAGATAGGAAGATAATCCAGCTGAGTCCACCAGGCTTCTGTGCTACACAGCTGTGAGATAACACATTTGTGTTGTTTCAAGCCACTAAGTTGTGGCGATTTGTTACAGTAGCAATACAAAGCTAACCACTTGTAAAAGAAAATATGAAATAAGAAAGTAAGAATATAGTGAAACACATGTTCCAGTCTTTCATCAATGCGTAGTAATATATTGCAGTGATCAAAGCTGTGGAATCAAGCCAGACTACCTCAGATCAAATTCCAGCTCCCTCACCTGCCACTTGTGAGGCCCTGGACAAGTTTCTGTCCCTCACTTTCCACATCAGTGGAGTGGGGATAATAGTAGCTCATTATAGAACATTATAGGGTTTTTTGGATTATTACATGAATCATTATATGTACGGTTCTTAGAACAGTGTCTAGCGTGAAGAAACTGCTGTAAATATTAATTACAATCATTTAATTTGAATGAGTTAAACTTTAACTCACAGTCTTTTATGTATGGGCCAAGAGCTAAGAATGATTTTTATAGAAAAAGGTTTCAGATCCATGGGTTAAGTTCGCCTACTGAAAAGTAGACTTCCAAATTAGATAAATAAAAACAAAAATGTAACTGTTTACCCAAAACACATCTAAAACAAAATGATACAGGAATGTTGGAAATAAAGGGTAAGAAAAGAATTACCAGACATATGTTAAAGAAAAGAAAGCAAGAGAGTAATTGAAGCAATGATGCTAAAAATGAAATATTATTTTATGATAACACTACAAATGGCTACAGAAGGATTTAAAATACAATATCAAGTCATACCAATTAAACTAGCAAGGTAATAATAAATCAAAATACCTTTTGATCAATGGATTTGAAGAGAGTCCAGGTACAAATCTGTGGACTTGTCAGGATTTACTTTTATTTTAAAAGCAGAAAAGGGGAAAGAATGGGTTAATCAAAGTTGGAAAACATTTTGAGAAAAGAAACCATATTTTACAATGCAGAAAAATAAATATTAGACCAAATAAAAACTTAAACACAGAAACAAATGGTAAACATGTTAGATGGTGTTTAAAGAAGACTATGTTTAAAATTTTGTGGTAAAATTCATACACGTTACAAAAGAAAAGTCTGATAAAGTAAGGAATGCTGGTTTGCTAAGTAGGCTGTCATATTTATACATGTATTTAATTTGAAATAATTAATTTCAAAGTTTTATTTCTTATTATAAAAGCAATGCGTAATTATTGAATAAAAATTAGAAAATACAAAAAAAACAGTAACTCAACAATAAAAACAGACAAGATAGCACTACCCAGAGTTAACCACAGCTAAAACCTCATTTTGCATTCTTTTAAAAATTTATTCTTTGTAATTTTCTTTGCATGTATACATTCATCTACAAGGTTTATTCCAGTGGATTCAAGTGTGAATAAGAAACATTAAGTACAACAGTATTTTAAAAATATAAAGTATATCTCTGCAACATTTGAGTATTATAAGTTTTATTTTGTTCATATTACAAATTTGTTAAATGAGGCTCAGGTATATAAAACTGAATGACCTCAAATCACGCAAATGGCAAAAATATGAAATACATCTCGTTTCACTAGACATAATGGGAGTTACAAAAAGACATCACAGCATAATTCTAACATTATTCTAACATATTCTAAAATATTCTAACAAGAAGCCCATCCAGCAATGAAATGTGGTACTTATCGGATTGTGTAACTACAGTTCTTGACCAATTTTGGTTGTTTCAGATTGAAATTTTCATTTGAGTAAAAATTGGAGGTGTTGTGCTTTTTTTTTTTTTTTTTTTACTATAAAGGGATGCAATATGGTATACTGAAATAATTATTATTATTGCAACTGTGCATTTTTAGATTTAAATTTGATTTCTAACATTTGTCCATGTGCTCTTGGTCAAATTACTTCAACTCTAGGTACCTCAGTTTAACTTTTAGTAATGCGGGCATAAGGGCATAATAACCTTTTCAAGAAGTTTGTGCTGAGTTGAACAAGAATGTAAGCAAAAGTATCAGTCACATTACAGAAGTCTATTATTTTCCTGTAAAGGAAGGAATCATAAGCTTGATGTTTACACCAAGCATATTTGTCCCTAGGTTACTAGTGTACTGGAAAAAGCAGTCCTTTTCTTTCTCAGATTACCAAATTTTAAGATTAAAACAAAAAAGAGAAGACTCTCAGTACTGCTGCACATACACTCAGGAAATACACAAGTATCGAATGGGTGCATATACTGCTAAAAATGCTTATTAATTTTATAATAGCCTATGTGTATGCACTCAATATGCAAGTTCTTTCTCTGAACATTTATGCCATGTTCTAGCTTGCTCAGCTTTTCAGTCAGGTGGGGCTGTAACTATTTCTGGCCAATGGGCTATAGGAAGTGGTATTATCACTTCTCAGTGGAAACATTTAAAATCCAACAGCCCTCTTCTTTTCCCACTGTAAGGTTTAAGGAGGCCATTTGTTTTAGATGGTGCAGAAACAACACCGCAGTGCCTCTTTCAGCAGCGGTTCCTGAGTGACTGTGAGGACTTATCCTTTGCTGTCTCACAAAATGTTTACTCCGAGTGAAAAATCAACTTTCTTGTGTGAAGGCAAAGAGATTTTGGAGTAAATCTGTTACCACAAAACACCTAGGTTATCCTGACTAATAATAAGTTCCAGAGCATAGATAAGGGGTAAAAAAATAATTTCAAGTCAGCTAATAATTTCAGGTTAACTCCCATCATTTGAAAACCTAGATTGCTTCTTGGAAAGGATTTTTAGGCTCAGCAACAAAGATCAAAATGACCTAATTCTGAGGTCTTCCATTGGTGTAGGAATAGGAAATGTTTGCATGTCTTGAAGCATTTCCCTTATCTGATGTTGAGAGAAGAGAGACAGACCCTCTTATATTGTTTTATACTCAGAAAAAGAAGAAGACGCGAAACTAAAGCAGGTAGCCCGGCGCCTAGGAACCAGACCCGAAACCAGGCCTGGGCCTGCCTGACCTAAGCCTAGTAGTTAAAGATCTACCCCTGACCTAACCGGTTATGTTATCTATAGATTCCAGACATTGTATAGAAAGGCATTGTAAAAATCCCTGTCCTGTTCTGCTTTACTCTGATTACCAGTGCATGCAGCCCCCAGTCACATACCCCCTGCTTGCTCTATTGATCATGACCCTCTCACGCAGACCCCCTTACAGTTGTGAGCCCTTAAAAGGGACAGGAATTGCTCACTTGGGGAGCTCGGCTCTTGAGACAGCAGTCTTGCCGATTCTCCCAGCCGAATAAACTGCTTCCTTCTTTAACTCCGTGTCTGGGGAGTTTTGTCTGTGGCTCATTCTGCTACAATGTAAAGTTTTACTTACTTCTCTCAACAGATTTTTAAAGAAAAAAAATACTTGAGATTAAAAAGTAATATAAGTTCTTTGGGACGAAAAAAATAAAATAATTCCAAACAAGAAAAAGCAACTGCAATTCCATAATCCGGAGATAATCATAGATGTGTCAACGAAGAGTCGAACTCTGTAAAATATTTGAAGAGATTTATTCTGAGCCAAATATGAGTGACCATAGCCCATGACACAGCCCTCAGGAGGTCCTGAGAACATGTGCCCAGTGAGGTCAGGGTGCAACTTGGTTTTATACATTTTAGGGAGACATGAGACAGCAATCAATTGCATTTAAGAAATACATTGATTTGGTTTAGAAAGGCGGGACAACTCAAAATCAGGGAGGTGCCTCCAGGCTATAGGTAAATTTAACATTTTCTGATAGACAATTGGTTGACTTTCTCTAAAGACCTGGGATCAATAGAAAGGAAATGTTCAGGTTAAGATAAAAGACTGTGAAGACCAAGGTTCTTTTCAAGTCTTATAGTGGCTGCCCTTAGAGACAATAGATGACAAATATTTCCTATTCAGACCTTTCAAAAGGTGCTAGACTCTTACTTAATCTCTTCAGGATTGGGAGGGCCTAGAAGAAAAAAATCTAGCTATGTTAATATAGATTCTTTTATTTTTTATTAGTTATTTTTTTGAGATGGAGTCTCAGTCTATCGCCCAGGCTGGAGTGCAGTGCTGCAATCTCGGCTCACTGCAACCTTTGCCTCCTGGGTTCAAGTGATTCTCCTGCCTCAGACTCACAAGTAGCTGGGATTACAGACACGCGCCACCATGCCTGGCTAATTTTTGTATTTTTAGTAGAGACGGGGTTTCGCCATGTTGTTTGGCCAGGCTGGGCTCGAACTTCTGACCTCAGGTGATCTGCCCACCTAGGCCTCCCAAAGTGCTGTGATTACAGGCATGAGCCACCATGCCCAGCCCCAAGATTCCTTACAGATGTACATTTTCCCCCACAAAGGACACATTTGCAAAAGGGCCATTTCAACATATGGCAAAGAAACATGTTTTGGGGTAAAATTTTGATTTTTTTGGGGGGTAAAATTTTGATTTTTTTTTTCCTTGTCTCATAATGTTATCCTAGAGTCGCGCTGGAAAGAAAGTCACACTATATAGGGTTAAATAAATCCCATCTGATGAGAACTTATGGTTTGTAGTGTATGACTCCCCAGACCCCTTAGATTGGAATTTGGGCAAAATAAAAAAATAATCAAAGCTTAGTCCTCAGGTAAATGAGCTATTAGTGGACAATAATGGGGTATCACCTTCCAGATGTATTTTCTAAATGTTATATAGTCACACACATACAAATATATATACACATATAAACACATATTCACTATATAACACATATTTTACATATTGCTTATTTTGTTTTCATAATTATTTTATAGTATAACTTTTTAAACTTAAAAATTCATTGGCAACCTTTCCCAGGGTCATTAAGAATTCTTATAAAACATGATTCCCAGTGCTTGCAGAATATTCGACTTCATGGTTATGTGGCGATTTATTTACTGGCAGACTTTTTATACATTGAATTTGTTTCGGTTTTGAGTATATTGTACAATTCTCTAGTAACCATCCTGGTGTATACATTTCATGTTATTTTTTTTATTTTATTTGGTCTTGAACTGCATTTTCAATAGACTATGTTTCTAGTAGTAGCATCTTTGGATCAAAATATAATATAATATAAATATTCTTTTTCAAGGCCTCCGATATGTATTAGAAACTCACCATTACTGGCCCTAGATCATTTGATTATGTCTAAAAGGGTGCCAAATCTAACAGAAAGTGATGATATCACAATTGTGATTTTTATTTTGTCCATTTTCTGTTGGTAAAATTGTACATTTTCACAACTATTACCATTTATATCACATTTCAGTTATTCATCTATTTTGTTTCGGAATATATTCCCTTCAAGTTATTTGCTTTTTATTATTGATATTATTATTGATTTGTGAGAACTTACTTTATAGTAAAAACATTAGCTCTCTTCCCAAATAGTTGCAAATTTTTTTTCTGGATCGTAATTTGTCTTCTTTATTTTGTTTCTGGTAGTGTTTGATCTAGAGTATTCTACATTCCTTACGTGCTAAAAATCCATTGATCTTTTAAACTATAGCTTCTTTCTTTGCTTTTTAGTTTAGGCATGACTTCCTTTTCCTCTAAGCAAAATAAAGTCTGTTATTTCAGTGATTTAATGATTTTACATTTTAGCATTTCACACTTTATACAAAGGGTGATATTTTTGCTTTTCAATAGTTGCCAGTTATCTTAGCACCTTTTGTATGTGACAATTTCTTCTATTTCTACTGATTTCAAAATTCCTTATCCATCTTTTTCCAAACAAAACAGTGAATCTTTAAATACATTCTTGAATGAAACAAATACTTTATATAAAACAATTTTTATTTAAAAGGCATAGATTGAAAAGGCCTAGATTGAGATTTCTGAATCTCTACAAAATGTTATGCAAAATATCTGACTTTTAAGTAACAAACAGCTCCTCTGCCATTTTTTTGAAGTTGAATGGAACTTTGGATACTGAAGAATTTTGTAACTGGTCATAAAAATCTCACATTTTGAGTTGTATTTTACATCTTAACTCCTGTCCTTAAATAAATTTTTGTGGTCTTAAGACAAGCGTATATTCTCCCCAGTTTCTAAATTTACTTTTTATTAAGAGCAAACTACATAAAGTTTATGTGCAAGGTCAAGATAATTTGTTTTGTTTCCTACAGCAAAATATACTTTCTTGTTCTCAAAAAAAGACAAAATTTAAGTTTTAACTCGTCAAAAATATCTCTTTAATTTGTGCAGCAAAAAAATATTTCAATTAAAATACCACAAAATTATATATAGCAAATATTGCAATTCAAAGGACAATAGCTTTTTTAGTTAAAGCAAAGATAATTCATCATTTAAAATCAAGTTTTATAGATTAAGATAGATATAAACTTATGATCCACTTTCCAATAGAAAACAAGCAAGTTTTCCTCTTATAATTTACCCTCATCATCCCAAAGTAATATATCTGGACTTGATACATTGATTGGTTCATTGAAATTGAGCTCTTCAGTAGATGATGTTTAAATATCAATCACCTTATGAATATTTAAATTCAAGAAATGTCAATTAAAGGTTTGCTCATCTTGTTTACTTTTAAGAGTTCTTCAGAAATATCAAATAAAATGAGATCATACTTGGTGGTAGTTTAAAACTCTTAAAAGGCTGATCTTTGCATAGTAATACTCCAAAATATTCAGGCGGGAAATATTCAAATATAATGTAACCTTTGGGATTATTAAAAGGAAGCCTTTTTGATCTCAGTAAAACTTTTACTATTTAACTTCAACATTTTCCAATTAACTCTTTATTTAACATAGTGAGCTGAATTCTAAATCAATGCATTTAAATGAAAAATAAATTGTATTGGGCAATTTTATTCTGTGATTAAAATAAGTTTCAATATAGTGGTTAGTTTATTACTTTCTATTTCTCACTGATTACATTTAACATTTTGATGAACCCCAAAGTTGCTTTTATTATTTTCTTTCACTTCTTTTTTAGACAAATATTTATTATTTTAAGTATAATTTTGAACAATCTTAAGTCTGCAAACTATATACAGGTAATACCCATGTATATACAATTTAGATATATGGATAAAATTTTGTCCCATGATTATATATTCTCCTTAAGAAAGGATTCAATAGAGTTCCTGGAAAAGCAATTTGAAAGATTCACCAACATGTTATACACATGCTGTAAGTTACTAGTTTACAAAGTTTACCCTTGAATAAGAACATCAATATTCACCAAACAGTGTACGCCAAACTTTTCTGAGCACAGATTAAGAGGATGTGTACAACTAAAAGAATAAAAAACAAAGGGCCATGAAAGAAACTATTTAAAATCCTATTAGTCACTTGTTCTTTGTAGATAAGTATGCTTATTTGGAAATAGCCAGATGCAGTCTGACAAAATTCAGACAAATATACAGTGTCATAATGTTTTCCAGAGGTGTTTTATGAAGTGGGGTAGAGGGTGATCTCATTCGGGGTCCTGTGAGCTGACTAGGAGAACTCATCTGTCCAATGTTGGTATCTGCTATATCTCCTATGTCTTCTCTACCTGTTACTCTTTTTCCCCCACCCACACATTCTGGAATTACTTTCAGCTTTGACTTTGTTTATCTATTTGACTAGACCTTTAGTTTCTAAAGCTACATCTCATCTCCCTGACACACAGATAATTTGACTAATTTCAATCCCAGACTTCATAAAGGATATGCACATCACCTGTCTTGGTTTCTGTTTACCCCCTACTTTTACAAATCACAACGATGCCTCAACCTGCCCCAGGCATTGGATTCTCACCGTATCTATGATTAGCTTCTACAGATTTCTAACAATGAAAAGATAGTCATAAGTCAGTCTTTGCTGAAGAAGAATATTTTTTGTCTTTACATAATTTTCTAAGAAGTCATTAGATTTAAATGTCTTGAAAGTCTCTTCTAAAGAACTAGTTGATTTTGTTTTTCCATTTTCTTTTAAATAAAGAAAAGTATAAAGCATGCTGCAAAATGCCTATGTGTCATTTTCCCGAAATTAACATGTTAGAATATTGCTAGTCTAAATTTCTAAAAAAGAAATAAACCATATTATATGAAGTTGAAATCCACTATGAAACTTACCCCAGGTCCCTTCCATTCTCTCCTGGATACATTTTCTATACTCAGTGTCCCCTCTTCAGGTTCTTCTGTTCTTTTCAAAAACTACTCTGGTTAGGCTTTTGTGCCTATCACTACACATAATTGTTCTTTTCAAGGTCACAATAACTTCTAAATTGCTAAGTCAGTGGACAAATCTCAGTCTCTTCTTGAATAGTCTAGCAGCATCATTTGATACAGTTGATCACACCTACCTCCTTAAACAAAATAATTACCTAGCTTTCGCCATAGCACACACTATCAGTTTTTCTCTTACAAACCAAATCCTGTTTTCTTACTCCTTTTCTTCTCCCAGATCTTTTAAAATTGTAGTTGACCCTGTTGTCTTCTCTAATTAAACTCACCAACTTGGTGATTTCATTCAGCTTTATACTTTTAAATAAAAAGGTTAGCTCATACACTACTATTTTTTAAATTCCCTTCTTTTATCCTTTTATTTGCCATCTCACACTTGTTCTTCATGGGAACTCCTTATCTTCTTCCTAAATCTTCTGGACCCACAGTCTTTCCCATCTCAGTTAATGGCAACTACTTCTTTCCAGTTGAAAGTTAGAGGTTAGGATTTAGATCTAACTCAAGCTCTTTTATTTCTCTTACATTCTATATCAAAACCCATCAGAAGACTCAGTGGCTTAAAAACACATCTGATCATATCTCAATACCTCCGTCTCTATTACTCTGGTCCATGGCGTCACTTTCTCACTTGGATGGCAATATCCTTTTAACTTGTCTCCCCACTAATGTCCCTTGGCCCCTTTCTAGCTAGTTATAGAAGCTACAATGAATATTTCTTTAGAATAAAAGTTAGATTACGTCACTTTTTTGCTTAAAACTCTTCCCTCACTCTAAAAGCCAACGCCATTACAATAGCCTTCAAGGCCCTACAAATTTTGGCTGCTTCTTCAGTCTCTGACATTTACAACTTTCCAGCTCCCACCCTCTTCTCCATTCACATTGATCTTGTTATTCTGTGGACATGTCGGTAATCTTCCTACTTTTTGCACTGGTAATTCATTTAATCTGAAATTATCTTCCCTCAGATACCCACATTACTCTCTCCCTATGGCAGATTGTTAAGATGAGGTCATACTGGAATGAGTCCTAATCCAATATGATTGATGTCCTCATAAGAATACGTCCGTGTGGAATTAGATAAAAGGAATAAGTTCTAATGTTTGATAGGAGAGTAGCGTGACTATAATTAACAACAATGTATTGCATATTTCAAAATAGCTACAAGAGAAGACATAGAATGGTCCCAATGCATAGAAATGATACATACCCAAGGTGATGGACATCCCGAGAACTCTGACTTAATCACGATACAGTCTATGCATGTAACAAAATACCACATAGTAAGTATGTACAGGCAGGGAGCTCATGCCTGTAATCCCAGCACTTTTGGAGGCCAAGGCAGGTGGATCACGAGGTCAGGAGATCCAGACCATCCTGGCTAACACAGTGAAACCCCGTCTCTACTAAAAATACAAAAAATTAGCTGGGCGTGGTGGCGGGTGCCTGTAGTCAGCTACTCGGGAGGCTGAGGCAGGAGAATGGCGTGAACCTGGGAGGCAGAGCTTGCGGTGAGCTGAGATTGTGCCACTGCACTCCAGCTGGGGCAACAAAGCAAGACTCCATCTCAAAAAAAAAAAAGTATATACAAATAAATATACCCTAAATATGTGCAAATATATATATTAAGAGAAAAAAAAACAAGAATAGTACAGTGCTATGCCATCACTTCCCAAAGAAAAAGTGCTATGTGGCTCTGTTCTGTCTCCCCAGTTTTATGCAGTAAGGCAATATTTATTTCCTCTAACTACTTTTATTTCCCACTTCCCTTCCTAGAAGAGAGCTTAGCTAAGATGAGAAAAGAGGGAGAAATTTCTATTATAACATCAAATAAAGGCTATTAATACTTGCAAGACAGATTTTGATTGTAGATGCTTAACTGAAAGATCTAAAGACTTATTTTCATAGGATCTTTAAGGCACCTAACCTCTTTCAACAGCTTGCCTGCCCACATATCTAACTGGCTGAAAACAAGGAAAAATGGAGCGTATTTACTGATAATCAAGACCTAGGAGAGAGGGAAGAAGGCTAATGAAATTAAGGTCACCCTGGAAGAAGAGGAATGTTAGGTAAAATCTATAGAGACACAAATTAAATTTAATACCTATATGGACTTTGAATGGAAAAAAGGAAAGAACTATCTGTGTCACCCAGTAATGTCAGTGTGTTTTGTATGGGTTTCTATGTGTTTTATGCAGGGTTTTCTTCCAGTAGCAGACACACTTTCATGATCTTCCAGACACAAAAGTCTATGTAACCAATAATTACAACAACAATAACAACAACAACAAAAATGGCCATGTGAAGATAGAGATATACATGGAAAATGCCATGGACTGCAAAGCAAAGATTAGAGTCATGCAACTGCAGACCAAGAAATGCTAAAGATTGCTGGCAGACCAGCAGAAGCTATGAAATGGTGAGGAAGGATTTTCCCTACATGTTTCAGAGGGAGCATGGTCTTGTCTTCACCTTGATTTTAGACTTCTAGTCTCTAGAACTGTGAGATGATGAATTTCTGTTGTTTTAAGTCCCCTAGTTTTCAGGACTTTATTAATCTCTGTCCTGGGAAACCAACACAGGTCGATTTATTTGCAAACAAGAGCATTCCTGTGCATAGATAGTGTAGATAGATAAACATTTGTGGGGAATCATGAGCAGCCTGCATATTTGTAAAAATTCATGTCTTGTGTCAATTGTCATTTACAAATACAGCCAGTTTTTCCATTAAAAAAAAAAAAAGCAACCTACGGTTTATCCGGAAACATATCAAATAGTGAAGACAATATTACTCTGTAGTTAAGTTAATCTTGGGGATTCTATGGATTTACTGAATGAAAGGAACTATGTTTAACCTAATTGCCTGTTGTCATTTACTGATCCCTTCTTGCTGAGTTACTTGTTACCAAATTGGTTTAGATTATTCTCTATGATAATTGTCATTTTCTTTTCTTTTTCTATGGGTTTCTCTTTTATCTTAAAATTACTTTTTCTTCCACTTTCTCCCCTAGTATTACTTTTGTCTTGTTTCTCCAACTTTGTTAAAAGCACTGCATTACACATACAAATAAGCATAAGAGATTTATATAGAAATCAAAAAGCCGTCTCGCACAAGGTATGTGTTTTAATTTCAGCTGCCATCAAGAAGTCAGAAAAGTAATCTGAACTAGAAAATAAAAAACAAATAGTATTTATGGTTTTTAAAGAATTCTGACCTTCCACAAATGGTCCAAAATAGAGCTCCTTAGTTCTTCAAATATTCATTTTCCATGTATGTAACATACTCACCAAGTTAAGGCCCTAAGATCTGCACTGGGAACAAATAGATGGTTAAAACACAACCTATTGTTAAACAGAGGATCCACTGAACAAAGCATCAAAATGAGGGAGAAAGACAAGGAAACCAAATACCCTAAAATAGGGGGGTAAAAAAATCTAAAAATGACTTACATAGAGCAATGTCATTTATGGGGTTCAAAATACTGAAACATCTTTTTGGAACCTCATTTTAGACATAGGGATTCAAGAGTAACATATACTGTTGAATGCTAATTTTAATATAAGTGTTAAAAACTATGTGTGCTTTTATATCTTGACAAATAAGCACTTTTTTTAAAGCGTAGAAGACCCCTGCAAATCTGATGGGATGCCAGTAGAATAATTGGTGCAACTGAGGGAAATGGCAGAAGGAAACCAAAAGAAAACATGAGGTGGAAAGCAGAGGGTATTTTGTGGTGGTATGTAGTTGAATACTGATCTATCACGTAGTTTTGTCTCTCTGCTGGTTTCTCCTCCATCTATCCAACCCCCTGCCATTCATCCATTTATCTTGTGTTTGGAATAAAAAGACATTTGATAACATTTAGATTTGTTTTGAAGTTTTTTTTTTTCCTGTAGGGTGGTTACTTCTCCCTTGCCAAATTCACCAAGTTCTGAATACTAGAATAACTTCACTCTCAGCAGCAATAATGATAACAAGAAAGTATAAGCTTTGAATAATGAAGAAATTGTTAGTCAAATATATTTCTTAAATAAGACATGTTTATTCTATTAAAATAATTGATATCTTAAATAATTAAATGCCATAATAGAATCTAAATAATACTTGTTAAATATTTGTTAAGTCTTAAAGTGAGAATAATTCATTAGTTTTTAACATGAGCTTCTGATATCCTATCTCTATTAGTTCTTTGGACTTGGCTGAATTGCTCAAATACTATAAGCCTCAGTTTTAATACCTAAACTATGAGCTAATTATATGTCTCTCATGGGATTTCATGAAGAATAATGAGTCAATGTATGCAGAAAGTCTTGCTTAATATATGTAGTAGGTGTTCATCACACATTAGCTGTCACCAAAATCTTTTCACTCTAACCTAAACTGTTCAAGATTTCAAGATTTCATCTGACATCAGTACAAGGCTTCCATCATTTTTACGAACCACAAAGTTAAATTTAGATTACTAAAATAAATTTGTTTTATTTTTAAGTCCACTAGCTCATACCCTATCTTATTTCCTGTGTCTGTGATGGAGTAAGGCAGATTTCTTCTCTGCTTTTTCTTCACTTGCCTCTAGACTTTTAAGTTGTGTCTCTAGACGAACTGGCAGGCATTCATTTCATTTTTATTCAACTGGGTGCTACCTCTTCTTCCAGTTCAAGGTCATGTCATTTTATATTAAGAATATATCTTCTGTGAAGTCTCTCACTAGGTTCAGCACATTCTGTTTCTTAATTTTTCTTTACTACCATTGTATTTCAAATTAGCATATGACATTTTATATTTTTAGTGTCAAAAATTAATTGAATCATTATTGTTCTTACTCTTTACTTGTTCTAGTGTTTTTATTTTTTTCACCTCAACTGAACTTGCAAACTCACTGAAGCAGAGTCTATTTGATTCATTTGGTATCAGCTAATAATCAGTTATCTCACCTCGTTGCCATTGGATACAATGGGTTTTGTTTCCAATGCTATCACCTTGAGGCATTATTTTTCCAAAGTACCATGTTTGCATTTGTATGCAAACATTCTTATATTGTCATCTATGGAAATGTAAATTGGCTTCTCTAACAATTTTTAACATTTGAGAGTTAAATAAGAATACTCTTACATATGGTTAATATTAAATATTATTAGCCTAAATACTAATACTTCTACTGCTGCTATTAAGTACTATTACTAGTGCTATTAGTGATAGCTAATATTTACTGGGCATTTTTCTATGTATCCGGCACTGTATTAAGCACATTACAGCTACTGTCCCATTTAATCATCATAACAAAACTATGAAGTATTATTATATTCACCACCATGCAGATGAAAAAACTGAGACACCAAACATTCAAGCAATCAAATTCATGCAGCTAGTCAGTGTCTGTGTTCAAATTGGAATTTATTCTATGTGATGCCAAACATCATGATTTGTCCTTGTCTCCTTCTGGAGATATCAGATTCCAGAATATTGTGTTGGAAGCCCACCTAAACTTCAAAGTAATTACACCTATAATACCTTCCATGAGATACTGAAACAAAGGCCCTTGAAAATCCAAGAGAGCTTGGCATATAGTAGTCATTCAATTATTACTTATTAAATGAATAAATGGGGTTATGGTTAGTTGCATTAGTCTGAGAACAGCAGAATTTAATTATTTAAAAGTCAAATATGATTAGAAAACTCTGTGTCTTAAAAATAATTTAATTCAAAATATTTATTATAAATACTCTTTCAACTATTGTGGCCATTTCGTATGTTCAACTACTAAGTAGTTTATGAGTCTGTGAGTTTTGTTTCCGATAACTTCCTTGAGGAAGTAGAGTGTATATTAAAAATAGACCTTTACAAACAGCAACCTGGTACAGTAAAAAAATGTTCATTTTATAAAGAACAACCTGACAAGTTAGAGGTCTTTCTCTAGACATTGGGCTTCATTAAATCAAGGGTAATAGCACAGTCTAATGCCTGACAATTTGTATCTTTCACATTTAATTTAAATTTTTTCTGCACCATCTATTCCCACTGGTGTATAGCTATCCGATTTTCTACTAAATGAAAAGTGTGAACTTTTAGTCCCGAGTTCCAAAGATCGGGCATTATATTCTTTTCTAACACAAATCTTCAGATGTCAACATTTTTGAGGCTGATTAAACCCCTTATCACACAGCTAAGTAGTAAAACGTAGTCTAGTCGTATGATTTGAGTTACTGTACAGCATGTTCGCAGGGAAGTATCTCTGAGGGAGAAAAACTGAACATTTTTACATGGTGCCACCTTAATTTGTATTCCTCTAGATTGCATTTAAAGTTAAAAGTTTATAAAAATGTAAAGTTTTACAGGCATTGCTTCCTGCAGGCTTAAAAGCCCAACTGACATTTATGAAGAAATAAATTTATCATAGAGTGAATATATTTTTTAAACACTTATGAGTATTCTCCAACTCACAACATCTGCCAACCATGAATGACAGGAATGTTTTCAAGTTTCAAGAAAATCTTTAGCTTATTATAATTTAAAAAAAAAGTGAACAAACTGGTATGTAGGGATTACTTAAATGTTTATGTTTATTTCATCAGTAAATGCAGCTTTTGCTTATGTATTTAATGAAAGAATAAGAGCATATTGTAGTTTTCTAGGATTAAAAAAGTGCTGATATATGAAAGTAGGGCCAAAGATACTCTATGAAAGTATTTTTCTGAATTTGATAACTTGCAGTGCAATAATTTTTATGCCAAATACCTGAGCAGACAACTTATTTGCCACTGGGTTCTATGAAAAAGTGACCAGCTATGATTCTCCACAAGGGAAATTCTAAAGTCTAAATATTAGAACAAGACAAAAAGATAAATCAGTTTATCAACAGATCCGTGACCCAAGTTTTGCTTTTTCCACTCTGCTTTCTCTTTTTTTCCATTGATCATGACTTCTAGTAAAAGTTTATGTTGGTCATTTCTTCAAATCCATAAATGAATAGAATCCATGCTTGAATGGAGATCTTTCTTTGTTTGTTTTTATTTTGAATCTCCCTGGGATGTGAAGAAATGGACATTCTGCATGCAGACAGAACAGAAGGTGATACATTTGTTCAGAAATTTGATGGCCCATGAGGGAATCGTTGAAAGCACAGACATGAGGACATTAAATGGGACTCCAGTGGCAGAAGGAATTGTTGTGTCTCACTGCACACCACAGATTTACTAATGGGGAGAGAATAAAGAATGAGGTATGAACGGAGGCTAACATTTAGGAGGGAAAACCCGTTTCTTTTTTGCTTACCTGACACATCATGTGCCTAACATGTTGTGTTTCTCCAATAACAGTTGGTAGCATTTGCGTACATTGTAGAGAATGCAGATGGTTTTCTGCTGAGAATGCAGCAAGCCCAGGAGGTCACACTGGGAATTACTAAAGTCTTAAACTACATCCTTGTGAGTGCCATAATTTTAAAATCAAGTCCTTATTATTTATTACCTTAACATATTTTTCTGTGTTTAAAACATACGTGCTCTTGACCCACTTAGAAAAAAAAATACCACAACAACTTAACACCCACCAGTAAAGCAAAGGCTACTAGCATAAATGATTGAAGTGTCTGTAAAAACATTTTCCCTAGAGAACGTTACGCTATTGAAGTTCAGATCAGCAAATATCCTCGCCTCATTATTTTTTCATGCCTCACATACCTGCTGCTTTTTCAAACTTTACCATGTTACTTTCTATCTTTACAAGTGCTATGTTCTCATCTAGTATTTTAAGAAATGAGGGAATCCAAAAGCCCTTGAAGATATGGTATATTTTAAAATTTATTACTGGACTAAATATTAAGCTATATTCTAAAGACTTGCAAAAATTGACCCTGCTCACATTATGGTAAAATTTCCACCTTAGATTTGGAGCAGTGGTGCCAAATAACAAGAATGAATGTAGTAGTATAACTGCACTTTGGTTAAGAGTTTTTTGGTTGGATTTGGACCAGAGACAAAGGGAATTAAGAACACTGGGGATTAGGGAAGGCAATTACTTCCTAATTTATTTAAACTCTATTGTTCCTGAGATAGTTTATTGTTATTAAGTGTAAGTGGATAATTTAAGTTTTTTAAGCCAGAGAGAGAATGTTTATCCTACATAAAAACCGTTCTTTAGTTGATGATATTTTTAAAAAGTATGACATGAAGAAAACCATTATTTCATGTGTTCCTTTATGATATACATCTTTTCAAATATCTACAATAGAAATGGCATTGTGTGGGCACTTTGTGTGAGTATTAGGATGGTCAAATACACTCTTTTCTTGTACATTGACATCTTCCAGAATTGCAATAGGGAATTAAAAAAACATATTTTAAGTAACTTTAAGATTATTTCAAGATATACATATTAGAATTGTAAGGAAAACAACTGCTATGCTAAAATATTGATTTTAGGCAGTTAAACACTCTGCAGATATATTTTAATAATTTCAGGAAGTCATGAAGAGATAGAAGGTGAAGGAGTGGTGAGAGGAGAAACTAGGGAGAGAAGGTGATTTTATATAAGTTTACCAGCAACAATCGAGCAGAGAACTGAATAATTGAGGGAGTGAGTTATACAAAGATCTGAGAGTGGAGTAGAAGGAAACCACAGTGTCACACAGTGCAAATGATCTAAGATAGAAACCAATGTGGTGGTGTTTGAGGATTAGGAAATGTAGGCAGGGGCAAAATCATGTAAAATGGTAGAGGTCAATGTTTGGATAGAGTGTAGATTTTATTCTATGAATGATGAAAAGCCACTGAATGGTTTAAACAAAGGTGTGAATGTATAACAGAGTGAGCTAAGAAAGCAGGCTGCCTCACTTTCAATCTTAGCAATAATCTTGGGCAAGTTATTCATTTTCCTTATCTGTGAAATGGGAAAGTAAATGTGACCCACCTATTAGGCTATTCTGAGAATTAAATGACATAATATATGTATAGTATTAATTATTTATATTTAACAAAGACCACTGTTGTTACCCATGGAAACTAAGCCATAGGAACCCAGATGAGAAACAAGAAGAGATTTAGGAGGCTACAGCATATAGAAGTCCACACTAGAGACAAAAGAACTCATGGCCAGTGGTTAGTGTTTGAAGTAATAAGAAGTGGTCAGATTTAATATATTTCATGACTGAAACGCAGCAAGAACTGAGACGAATTCAGTGTGAATTGTAAGAGAGGAAGCAAAGATGGCAACTGAACAGTTGCTCAATATTTGTAGCAATTACTGATATAGGAAAGATTATTGGAGGAGACAAGTTGGAGTGGAATGGAAAAGAATCAAGAGCCTTGTTTGGATATATTAAGGTTATGATACTTATTAGAAATTTACATGGAGATATTAGGCAGAAAGTTAGATATATTAATTTAGTGGAGCTCTCAATGACTGCAGTGATAAATTTCAGAGTCACAGCTACAGATGGCATTTAAAGCCTGGGGAATGGACAAGTGTGCATAGGCAGAGAAGAGAGTAATGCCGAGGAGTGAAGACTGGGATACTACAACATGCAGGAGGTGGAACTAGAAAAGGAGGGGTTGTCAGAGAATTAGAGAGAACTAAAGAGATTGTTGCATCGTGGGAGACAAGTGAAGACAAGATTTGAAGGAATGGGATGGGGAATGATAGTGGCTCAGTTTGGCACGATATAAGTCTATGGCCACTTGACAGAAGCAGTGACCTTAACGAGAGCTGTGTGAGAGGAATTAACAGGAAGGGCCTGGGGTCCCCAAAGAGGAGCTGAGAGATCAAACTCTGGAAATGCATTAATGAATTAAAACAAAGATGATAGAGGGGCCAGAAGACAGAATTGAATATTTAATTCACTCTCTAGAGCAGTGCTAACTTCAGAAGCTCTGAAATACAGTGCAGGAAATACAATGAAAATATTGAAATATTTGAAAGTATACACAAAAGTTCTGTACCAAAGGATACATATACATAGGATGAACAAATCTAGAGATCTAATGTACAACACATAGACTACATTTAATAATATCATATTCTGGGCTTTCGCTGAAGGAGTAGAATTTAGCTGCTATTGTCATATGCAAAAAACTGGGTAATAGTGTGAGATGATAGGTATGTTAACTTGTTTCACTATAGCAACCATTTTCCTACCTATCTGTATCTCATGAGATTATATTGCATAACTTAAATATACACAACTCCTTTTATGGAAAATAATAAAAGTTCTATAAAAATAAATAATTATATGAATATGAGATAAAATAACAAATGAAAATATTAAATATATATGACAAGAGAAACATCTGTGATATAGATAATTATAGGTAAAAACAGTATATTACAAGTACATTAATACTAATGTACGTGTAGAAAAAGATCATAGCGGAGGAAGTACAGGTGAGTCTGATGAATAAATTTTAAGTTAAAACTATTAGTAGCTGTATTAGTCTGTTCTCATACTGCTATTAAGGAGATATCCGAGACTGATAATTTATAAAGAAAAGAGGTTTCATGGACTCACAGTTCCACATGGCTGGGGAGGCCTCACAATCATGATGGAAGGTGAATGAGGAGCAAAGTCACATCTTATATGGCTGCAGGCAAGACAGAGCATATGCAAGGGAGATCCCCTTTATAAAACCATCAGATATGGTGAGACTTATTCACTATCATGAGAACAGCACAGGAAAAACCCGCCCCCATGATTCAATTACCTCCCACCAGGTCCCTCCCGTGACACGTGGGAATTATGGGAGCTGCAATTCAAGATGAGATTTGGGTGGGGACCCAGAAAAACCATATCAGTACCCATTTTTAAAAAGATAACACCAAATGACAAAGAATATACTTAACACTAGTACATTCTAAATTAGTTAGATTATTGTCAACTGGAGCAAATCCTTTTGAAAATATGAAAAACATTTATTCAGGGCTATGAAAAATTTTAATTCCTTTTAACTATTAGCTGTATGCGAAGAAATATATTCCAAAGAAGAGATTTAATAGATGAAAAAATCCTACATAATGATGGCAACAACTGCTATTAAGTAAGTATTTAATAAGGTATAGATATCATAATAATCTATAAGCATTTGAAATTTAGTTAATTCATAAAAGTAGTTAGGACAGTACCTAGCCTATAATTATTATTATTATTATTTTATTATACTTTAAGTTTTAGGGTACATGTGCACAATGTGCAGGTTTGTTACATATGTATACATATGCCATGTTGGTGTGCTGCACCCATTAACTCATCATTTAACATTGGGTATATCTCCTAATGCTATCCCTCCCCCCTCCCCCCACTCCACAACAGGCCCCGGTGTGTGATGTTCCCCTTCCTGTGTCCATGTGTTCTCATTGTTCAATTCCCACCTATGAGTGAGAACATGCAGTGTTTGGTTTTTTGTCCTTGTGATAGTTTGCTGAGAATGATGGTTTCCAGCTTCATCCATGTCCCTACAAAGGACATGAACTCATCATTTTTTATGGCTGCATAGTATTCCATGGTGTATATGTGCCACATTTTCTTAATCCAGTCTATCATTGTTGGACATTTGGGTTGGTTCCAAGTGTTTATTGCAGCACTATAATTATTAATTATTATTATTAATAGTTATACACATAGACAAAGAATAGAATGAAAATGGTCAAAATAAGTGATTGTGCTTGTTTTACTTCATTTGCTTAATATCATTAATATTGGTGTTTATGTGCATATGTGCGTATGAGTGTTTATATTCTATTTAGAGAACAACTCATGACTCTCTAATTCAGAGGTACACATTTTAATACCCGCATGCCTCTCTCATCAGACTCTAAACTTTATGAATGCAGTCACCTTGCCTCTTTCCTCATCACTGTATATCCAGTCTCAGGCACAAAGCATTCAATTAGATGCTGTTGAGTAAATGGAGAAGGAAGAAAGAAGGAAGAAGGAAGGGGAGAAAAAAAAAATGAATCATTCAATCTTCTTCCTTAGCTCTACATTTACATTGCTACTAATACTTTTCTTCTGCATGTCAGATCCATTTACGTTATTTTCTTCACTTAAAAACACTGTCTCCCCTCACATCTAAATATCAAATAATGGCACCACCAGTTTTTTGGTTAATAAAGCTTGACCTATTGCTGTCACTTTGATTTCTTCTTTTTCAGCCTCTCTGTACAACAAACTTTTTAACTTCCAGAGACTGCACGTTCATCCATCCATTCATTCACATGCACTTAGTGAGCACTGCTATGAATCCTTGGAGATAGAGATATTAAATACAGGGGTTACTGTCAGGGAGACCATGGTCTATCAAGGGTGACATATAAATACATAGACAATTAAAATACAGAGCGAAAACTCCTCAGATCCAGTTATGCACAAGTTTTACAAACACATGCAACTGGCAACTAAGTGCCACTGAGCTCCAAAAAGGTTTCCCAGAGAAGATGATACCTACTTTGGGTCTAATAGAAATAATAAATTTATATGGGTGATTATGAAGAAAAGTTAATTCCACTGCAAAGCCACAATGCTTGGGGGTAAAAACATAAGGTTGGTAACTTTAAGTGGTCTTGTATAGCTAGATTTAGAAACACCAGCACATTAGTTTCCCAGGGATGCCATAACAAAGTACCAAAAACTGGGTCACTGAGTGGGAGGGTACAATTGAGGCCATAGAAGTTCCATAAACACACTCTGAGCTTTTTCATCTTCATACATTTGTTCCTATTTATTTATGTGGAAATATTCATCTCTACTTTATCTTTGACTGCTAATATTATTTTATTTATTTGAAGTCTACTTCAGTTGTCATCACAAATATAGCTATTCTCAACAGAGGTTTCTTTATATCTTCTCAGAAATTGCAATGTACTTTTCTTAGGGAAACTTCCTTTCACTACTTAGTATTATAGTCATGCGTGTGTTTACTGTATATCTTCATGAGAATATAATATTCTGGAGAATAGAGATTACATCTTTTTTCACTATAGCATCCTTTGTACTGTCTAACAGGGTGTTGGCCATAATTGGTACTCAGTATAAATACATTAAAAGTGTTTATGAAAATGTAATTAATTTATACCCTCATATTAGAAATGGGGTGAAGAAGAAATTATTTCTGAAGTGTAAAGAAAAAGATTGATGGGGCTGGGCACGGTAGCTCACGCCTGTAATCCCAGCACTTTGGGAGGCCAAGGCAGGCAGATCACCTGAGGTCAGGAGTTCGAGACCAACGAAATCCCGTCTCTACTAAACATACAAAATTAGCTAGGCGTGGTGGCACATGTCTGTAATCCCAGCTACTCAGGAGGCTGAGGCTGGAGAATCGCTCGAACTCGGGAGGTGGAGGTTGCAGTGAGCTCAGGTCGTGCCATTGTATTGCAGCCTGGGCAACAAGAATGAAACTCTGTCTCAAAAAAAAAAAAAAAAACGATTCGTGGACGAGTTGAAATTTGATATAGTGCTTGAACTATGGATAGGATTTTGATATATAGGGACCTAGGGACCTGACAGGAAGGGGTTTAGAGATTAAATTAAATGACCATTCAAAACAGAGGTGATGGAATAGCTCAAGCAGAACTCTGAATTTACAATAAAAAGTATACATATGTGCAAATCCATGTAGTTAGTTTGATTATAGTTTTGTTATACAGCAGTGACAGCAAATTCCAGAAAGATAGTGTGGGACTAAGTCATAAGTGATGCAAATAACATTCAAAGGAAATTGGAATCTTTGGTAACTAATGGTGAGTCATTTAAGGATGTCGTGTATGGAAAGTGTTGGTTAGGCAAAAAAATAGGCTTTATAAGCATAGAGTTTTATTAATAAAAGAAATGTGAGGTGTGAAAGATTTGAGGGTGGGAAGATGATGATGAATTGGAAAATATGGAAAGATGCAGATGAAAACATCCAAAGGCCAGAGTGAAAATAAGAAAATTATGAAAACAAATCTGCTTGCTTTCTAGCATGAGATAAATATTAACATTAGTAGGTGTTTTAGCTGTTTGAATATATCCGCTCACTAGTACCACCCTATGGCTAAACATTTTTAAGGTTCATACTTGGAATTTGTGCCTATTGTGCCTTCTATATCAGGGTAATGTAAATTATTAAACATGCTTAAACATTTTTAAAGAGCCACTTTAGTTGGTTTCATCAGATGTTGAAGAACATACTACTGTAATATTAATAAAAATTACATAATTGATACATTTCTTATCAAATATATTTTTTCTTAAATGCCTAGTTTGTACTTAATTTACACATTTATATCAAACATAGTGCTTCAGATACTTCTTCATAAATTACATATGTATGAAATCAGTTTAACTAAATTTTATTGCATTCTGTTTTTCCAACTAGTGAAATTAGGCAATCGTTATGTTGAATTTTCAGTTTTTAATTAAAACCTAAACTAATACATTGTTTCAGTTACTTTTCATTTGAAAGATACTAGTTTTTCTTTGACAAAGCAATTTTAATGAGACAGCGTAAGTTAGTTCACATTTACCTTTTGGCTATTTGTTTTTTATTACTAATTATAATGACCAGCAAAAAACTGATGTTCCTGTTCATTTACACAACTGCTTACTGGCATTATTTGCTCTGTTTGTTAAACTGTCAGCATATCTAACAAACATTTTTTAAAATAAAAGTTCATTTTAATCAACATTATTGTTTCAGCTGAAGGCCTATTGCTTATAACATTAAAAATATATTTAGCATTTATAAATATAAACATATATGTGTATATACATGTCCATACACTTTAAGTAGGCTATGTAGATATGCAGAGGTAAAGTTGAAAAGAGGGAAAAATTCAGATAACATAATTGAAAATCATTTTAAAAGAGAAAAATTTTCAAAATGGAATGAGGAGACACAGACCAGCCTAATTCACAGAAACAGTAGTGATTTAGCAGGAAGTCAGCAAGTACTCAGGCAAGCTTGTTAAAGGATTTTACTTTCTGGCTTTTAGGCCATGTATCTGTACCATGACTAAGTTGGTCCTGGATTGCTTGATTTATTCTTCATTTTTTTCCTCGGGTGTATTAATAGAACAATCAATGAAACCTTGGCAGGGATCAGAATTGGCCATTAAAGGAGCCCAATACAATGAATCATACATAGAGCTGCTTTTTTCTTTTTTTTTGATAAGCAAATAGAACTGAACTTGGTTGTGCAAATGTTACATATAAATGCACTGAGTGGCTTTTTATTATATTTATAATATCTACCTTTCAAAAACATTGGATACAAATTTTTCGGCTCTATAGTCCTTCAGAAAAATTATATAAAAATGTATTAAATATACAGTGTAAAATACACTTAAGCAAGTGGCTCTATACTCCAGGTGTTTCACACTTTTATATAGGTTGACAATTATTTAGGTAGCAGCTGAAAAAAGAGATGACCAAGAACGTCACTTGTTGCAATTTTATCAGATCACGTTTGTTTTGAATATACATTTCTGACTTTGTAAATTAAAATTGTATTTGTTTACAACTGGCAAAAGTGATGTATTATTAAGAAGATCAAAAAAATTGAATGGTATACAAGAAAAATCATTTTTTCAAGCAAGAATTGCTTATTAATTTATTTGAGAAGTTAGAAAATGAAATGTTTTACTGATGGGTATAAATTTACCTGAGATTTCCACAGAAAGATTAAGATAATATAATTCCATTCTGAAGAGAAATGAAATAGTTTTTCAATTTCACATAATCCCAGTTTTCAAGTACATTTGGGTACTACTTTAAAAAAGATCTATGCATATGTTTGCATAAACAATAGGGACTAGAAAATTTTGTTCAGTCTTATGTTTGTGACCATGTTATCATTTCATACCATGGACAAAGACATTCCTAAGGGATCAATGAATCAAGCTGATCATCCTGGTCCATTCACTTTGGGACTCCCTTGTGGTATTTGTGAAGCAGGCTCACTGTCCACTGGTTACCACTTTGGCCCACTACATCTTGGGCTTCAATTTCTACTACCTGTATGAGTCCAGAGAGAAAGAACACTCACATGGCAAGTTAAGAAATTTAATTACCCACAGATAAGCAGCAAGGGATGGTAGAAGCCTAGTTTTTGTGGTGAGCCAATCCCCTAAGGCTCAGAGAAGTTGTCCAAGTTGGATAGAAACTTGGACTGCAGATTTGCATTTGCACTGCAGCTGAGAGACCTCAAAAATAGTCTGCCTAGGGTTTTATACTTTGATGGGAAAATGACATCCTGTGCTAAAGCGTTGCATGACATCATGTTCTAGGGAAGGCAGGAACACAGCCTGGGCTTTTCTAGTGTTCCTCCTTATCTCACATGTTGCATTCCCAGAACAATCTATAGATATTTTTGAGAACTACAAGTGAGAAAGTGAGGAGAACTTGGTTAGTCCAAGGCCACCCAGAGATGTGTCCTGCAACTTTGTCTACTGGATGGTTGCTTTGAAAGGCATGAAGTGTTGAGGGATTTGTCATAAGTGAGAAGCTTTCTAGATGATGCTAATATGCATCTGGGCATATTCAGGCATTTCATTTCCTCTTCAATGATAAGCTTGATGATTAACCAGCTCTCCCTGGTATGAAAAATGCGAGTGGAAATGAGATTTACCCTAGGTGTTTTACCCTCTCCTTTACACAGGACACTAATGCTTACTGGGTGAAAAAATAATACACACCTCTTTGACCACCAGGCTTTACACTCAGATCCTCTGGTAATGGTTGTTGGATCCTGCTTATGGTTCAAGTTACCTAAATTTCTTTGGAGCTGTAATTGGATACAGCTAGAAAAAAAAATGTGCTCTGGAGAGAAACTTAGTGATGGGTAGGAGAAATATTATTAGAAAACTCGACTCAAGACATTTGTATAATGTTGGCAGTGTTACTCATCAGTTAAGAGTGTTATGAGTTTTGTATTATATAATTGTATATAAAAGACTCAGATGAGTGACTTGGAAATGAATATGTACCAATTCAATGAAGTTTTTTTTGATGTGTTGGCACTGCAAAGAAAACCTCTCCAATTTTAGCACCATTTTACTTGCACCTACTTTTCCCTTTTTCAATCCTTTTGCTTACATCATATTTGCCACATATTTTCTCCTTTTCTCCACTTGTTTCTCATGCATATCTTTCAACAAATTTCCTATTATAAATGTCAGAAAGGACTCTGGTGAGTTTAGAACTTGTGAACCCCAGGGTGTTAAGAGCATTAAACAGTTAGGCAAGGTCAACCCTAACATCAGAATGGGTAAATGGCCTGGTCTCTGAGAGCTTTTTGTTTGCTTTCTTGAAACTAAGGTGAACTAATGATACATTCTTCATTATCCCGAAGTATAAAGCTTTACCTATATAAGATGCCTTACCAATGTTAATTAATGTTAATAACAGCCATATGGCAAAACTAATTTATGTTTGCATTCAGCATTGGAGTTTCCTAATATTTACTCCTAAAGTATGACCATCTAATTTTTGATCTACTCTGGGATACTTTAGCCAGCTCAGAGGATACGGAAAAAGCAAGGGTATGCAAAGGCAATCATGGAAAGTGCCTGGACTTAGAAGCTGGGTGAACTTAGGCATGTACTCGGTTTCTCTGTGTTGTAGTTTATTTGCTTGTTTGTTTTGCTTTATTTTTCATTTGTAAAACTTACCTCCTTCATAGGGTTGTTATGAGGATTAAATGAATCTCTGCATGTAAAGAACAGCGCCAGCAACATAGAAAGTGCCCATTGACTGTAGGCTGGTGGTTTGTTATTATGCATTTTTGAATACAAATTGCATTCACTGAGCTCTTCATAAGTGTAAGGACCTGTAGTAATATCATATACTCTTTCAATTAATAATTTTTATTTAATACATGAATATTACAATCCTGCTATTGCTTACAGCACATAATTGTAGCTTTGTCTTCTGGCAAACTATGTTGTCATCATTTGATTAAAGCTAGGGTTTAAAATTCTTGGTTGTGGGGTTGACTGACTTCAGATTTGGAGCCAAGACGATTACTCTTTTCTGCATTATGATTAGCCGTGGTTAATATTCATTTATTTTGAAATATAATAACAATTATTTTAGAGTAAAATAGCACAACACTTCTATCAGAGGCCAAACAGATAAAAATGAATTTGTTTCCACAGAGGAAGAAATAAAATACCTGTGGACATAGGATCTTCCAACATGTCAATTGATCCAAAACGTTCTAAAAATGTTTTGGGTGGGTACCTAGATTTCTACATAATTCTAGAATTGCAGAAAGTTAACATTAAATGGGGCTACTAAATAATGGAGCTAACATTATTTAGTAGCTAGCTGTACTGTCCTCAGTAGGAAATGTTCCTGACTTTCTTAAGATCACAGAATTAGTAGTGGAATTAGAGTCAGAAAGCAGCTCTGCTGATTGTTTGGAGCATGCTATTTTCTGCCTTGAGCACAACTAACCCTTAGAGCAAGGTATATAGAAGACATTTAATATAAGAATTTGTGGAAGGAATGAATGCTGACTTAAATTCAGGACTCTGTGTGTTATTTCCCAATTATCTGTAACTTTAATCTTACCGAAGGCTCTGAGACTGATGTTATACTAAGGCCTGAAAAATATAAATTACCCTTGGTTAGTGATTCCTAGAGGAGGATTGAATAAATTATGCTCTATCTCAGCCTGGATTTTGAGTGTTATTCTTGCAGTCACCTGGTGATTTGGGTCCTGTTTCCTTGTGCTTATGTCCCTCTATGGGGTAAATCAGTTGATTAGCTACTGAGTAATTTCTATTAGCCCAGTTTTCCCAGTGGCTGGAGTCCTATCTTGTTCCCTTTGCCCTTCCTAAGACTTGATATAAAATGAGGCTGATACATTACTTGATTTGCAAGGATATCATGATGAATCATTGAATTAATGCATGTAAAACCCTCAGGTCCAGGATATAATAAACACTTAATAAATATTAATTTATGAGACAAAATATATAGTGCAATTAAGTTTTTTCGATATTACCCTGAAAACCAACCTCTTTCTTTACTGAATCAACTTTAACAATCAATAAAGAATATACATAAAATTCAACTTTCTTTGCATATGAAACCCAAAGATCGAACCCCATTTCATAACTAGGATAAAGTAACTATTTTTGTTGAAGGGCCTGGTAGAATATGGCCGTACATATTGCAGGTTCAAATGGTGATGTTGACAGCAGAAGCCACTCCTGCTAGGGTAAGTTTTTCCTAGCCAGCCTTATTGGGTACCTTGTCAAACAGCTGTTGAGAGTGGAATATTGGGTAAAGGAGAAAAGCTAGTGGAGACAAGCATGGGCTGCCAGGGGAGAAATAAAGGCAGAAAAGGACAGATATTATTTTAAAAACTTGGCAGAAGAAAAGCAAACAGTAATATAATTAGGTGTCTCATTCAACAATTAGAGGAGTCAAGGGATAATTCTTTTCTCTTTTTTTTTGAGACAGAGTCTCGCTTTGTTGCCCAGGCTGGAGTGCAGTGGCATGAACTCAGCTCACTGCAACCTCTGCCTCCCAGGTTCAAGCAATTCTCCTGCTTCAGCCTCCTGAAGCTGGGATTACAGGCACGTGACACCACGCCTGGTTAATTTTTGTATTTTTAGTAGAGACGGGGTTTCACCGTATTGGACAACAGGTCTCGAACTCCTGACCTTGTGATCTGCCTGCCTCGGCCTCCCAGACTGCTGGGATTATAGGGGTGAGCCACTGCGCCTGGCTGATAATTCTTAATTCTCAATGTGGTGGAATCCCTTGGATATTTCCAAGAGAGTTGAGTTGTCATTGCTCTTATTGATTCTGTCCTTTTGGGAAGTAGTCAAGGTAGCATCGGCCAGAGACATGTCTTCCTCTTCATGTTCTTATAGCCGCCCAACTTCTCCTTTAAGGCCATCACAGAACAATTCTGTATGACATGAACTGCAACTGGAGAGAGAGATTCAAAGCATCTTTTACTGCTGTACAGGTCGGTGTAGCCAAGATAGAGAGAAAGGAGTCAGTACTTAAAATTTTTAGAGAAACAATCAAGACTTAAAGATTGATTATGTTCATGCAAAGATGAGTGGAAGAAATGTGGTTGAGAGCTATACATAAATGGTGGTGTTAATGTAAATGGTAACAGATAGGACAGGGTTGAGTGGATTTAGAAGTCTGGACAAAAGCAACCTGCCTGTCAAAAATAATTCTTCAGGACAGTTGCAATTTATTTCACCACTAGCAGCATCACAGATACGAGTAAGCCAACAAGAAAATGTAAGATTTAAAAAGCATCATGTATGCCCAAGGCAGATGAAATCTAACATAAAGCTCTCTTTCAAGTATATTTTGTTGCAGAAACTTTACCTCATTGCAATGAATTCATTTTTCTGTTTATAGTATTTTTTTATAGTATATAAAAGAAAATATAGGCCTTTGAATAGGACACTTTAAAATATTCATGTCTTCTCCCATCACAGCTTGTATTGTAAGCAAATTGTTACTTAGTTGTATAAAACACACTTAAATGTGTTGTAAATAACTTAACTTTGAGAAAGTGCAGGAAGTTTATTAATAGTACTTGACATGTGTTTAAAGTATTGAAGCATATTTGACCTCAAATTATGGAACAAGAACGTTAACCCACATTTTCTGTGATAAGAAGTCATAAAATAATACTTCACATTTAACTCCACTGAACATTTTGATTAGGGCTTGCTTTATCATGGTGGAAAAATAAAAGAAAGAACATTACTATTAAAATTATTGCAAGGAAAAATGGCAGTACATATGCCAATCAATAAGAATTAATTAAGTATCCACAGCGTCCTCACCACTAGGCACTAGATAACGGTAAAAAATTGTTGCTTAGCTTATATGTACTTCTCCCTATTCTTACTAATAGAGCTCTGGTGTTAACCAGAGTGATCGTCTTGAGTTACCTGTCATTCCTCTGACCAAAATGCTTTCTTCTAGTCACAGTATAATGTAAAATTTTTACACAGGCATTCTAAGGAGCCCTACATGATCTAGACTCCTGTTACTTCTCTGACTCCATCTCTTACTGTTTTTCCCACCTGGATATTCTCTGTTATAGCCATTGGTTTCCTTGCTTTCTCTAATGAGCTTTGCATGATTCTAATGCATGGCTTTTGCGCTGGCTAGTTTCTCTCTCAGAAAGATTCTTCCTGCAGATATAAGGCTAATTTCTTCTCCTTCAGTAACTCTCTGCTTAAATGTCATCTACTCAACGAAAGCCACCAGGACCACCCTATTAAAAATTACACCCACCTGAAACCTCTACCTGCCTGACCATCACTCCTAATCCCCCTTACCTGCTCAGTTTGTCTGAACAGTTACTATGTTAACGTACTATGCATTTATTAAGCTCATTGCTTACTGTTTGTTACTTACCACTGGAATATAAGCATCACACATGCAGATATTTTTGTTTACTTTATTTATTACTGTATCTATAAATCCCCAGAATAGTGCCTGGCACATAGAAGATGTTCAGTTAATACTTGCTGAATCAAATTTCTAGGTGTGGCAATGTGTCTAGCTAAATTTTCAAATTCCTTTAAAGATTCAGGTCTTTTTGTCTTGAGATTTAAACGTGAGTTTTTTTCATGGACTCTTCAGGAAAGTTTTGTTGTTGCTGTATTTTTTTTTTTTTTTAGAACTTTTTCTCCTGTATTCTCTGTATTTTTTTGAAAAGTAAAAATGTATCATTTTTTAGTTGCTATGTGAATTTTCTCAAAATGAAAGCATTCTAGTCATCAACAATACCGATCCTTCCTCATTCATGCTACGTATTCAGCAGTTCAATGAATCTACCTATTTTACTTTCAAAGTATCTCACGTTTTCACACTCTTCCAGTTTCTATTGCCACTTTCTGAATTGCCCCCACCCATTTCACTATAATGAATTATATTTACTAAAATAGAAATCTGTATCATGTCACCACACCCTTTATTCTTTTTATTTTGTTTTTGAGACGGAGTCTCGCTCTTTCACCCAGGCTGGAATGCAGTGGCGCGATCTCGGCTCACTGCAACCTCCACCTTGTAGAAGCAAGCCTCAGCCTCCTGAGTAGCTGGGACTACAGTCACATGCCACCACGGCCAGCTAATTTTTGTATTTTTAGTAGAGATGGGGTTTCACCATATTCGTCAGGCTGGTCTTTAACTCCTGACCGCAGGTGATCCACCCACCTCAGCCTCCCAAAGTGCTGGGATTACAGGCGTTAGCCACCACACTCAGCCCAAACCCTTTATTCTTATTTTTCCTTTGCTTACAAAATAAAGTACTAACTACTCATCATAGAATCCTAGATCCTTTGAAATCTGTTTCCGCTCTATCTTTTAAGAGTATTCCTAACTTGATCCCCATTCTCCTGCACCCTAAACTCCAGTCACACAGATATAATTTTGTTGTCCAAAAATGTTGTAAATTTTTCTTCAATTTTGCCTTTGCAAGTGCTGGTTTTTAACTAAAAGTACTTTCTGTCTTGTGGTTGGTAAAAATGCTGCTTATTTACCTTAGTTGGGACATGTAGTTATGCTGAAGTGTAGCATGCAACCTCTAACTCCTGGTTTAATACAATATAATGGTGGTATTCAAAGTATGGTCCATGGACACCTTGAAGTCCCTGAAACCTTTCCAAGGTCCTGGTGAGGGCAAACTAGTTTCAAAATAATATTACAATGGCATTTTTCTTTTTAACTTTGTTGACATTTGCACCCATGATAGTACATTGTGGGGAAAGGTGGTGTCATAAAACAGAGTTACTATTATGCATTATATTCTTCACTACATAAGATTCTACATTTGTGCCCACAAGAGGAAAAAAAAGGTTAGTGTTCTTTAAAAAATGTACTTGATGAGGCAGCGAAAATTATCAATTAAATTTTGACTCTTGAATACATGTCTTTTTAATATTCTATGTGACACAATGGGAAGAATACACAAAGCACTCCCACTGCATACACTGTAGGATGATTTTCTCCAAGAAAAGCACCTATGCACTAGTTTGAGTTTTGAGCTGAATTGGCACATTTTAATGCAACACTGTTTTTACTTGAATAATGATTGACAAACTACATTTATTCAAAATTAGATATTTGGCAGACATTTAAAAACATCAGTGAAGTGAGTCTGTCACTTCATGAAAATCAACAGAGACTTTTATGATCAATGATATATTTCAGGATTTCAAATGAAAGAATTTTGAAAATCATATGTTTGCCACAGGGAGTTTGACAGCACCCCAATACCTGAAGATTTTGCCGATGAGACTGGTGGTGATAGTAACACTTGTGATTTTTTTATTTTTTTATTTTTATTTTTTAGATGGAGTTTCACTCTTTTTTCTCAGGCTGGAGTGCAGTGGTGTGATCTCAGATCACTCCAACCTCTGCCTCCCAGGTTCAAGTGATTTTCCTGCTTCAGCCTCCCGAGTAGCTGGGATTACAGGCACGTGCCACCATGCCTGGCTAATTTTTGTATTTTTAGTAGAGATGGGATTTCACCATGTTGGCCAGGCTGGTCTTGAACTCCTGACCTCAGGTGACCCACCTGCCTCAGCCTACCAAAGTGCTGGGATTACAGGCATGAGCCACCACTCCCGGACAACTATTTATATTGAAAAATAAAACTTGCCAAAAGCTAAAAGATCTGAATAGCTAAGTCAACCATTTTTTTTTCCAGATGACCAATGCATCATATTAAAGAATCGTGACAATAAAAGATCCATTCACAGTGCAAGAAAAATGATGGATATTAATGTAACAATATAAAAAGTTCATTGATATGGCTTAGATTCCAGATTGCAATTAACCTTTAATAAAGTATAATTTATTGAGTATTTTCATTTAACATCAAAGAAGAAGATACATAATTACCTGGAAAAATTGTTTAAACACTCTTCCTTTTACCAACTACATAGTTGTACGAGCTCAGATTCCTTCATATGCTTCTACTAAAACAATGCATCTCAACTGATTTGATAGAGAACCAGGTAAGAAAAACTAATTTTATTCTATGAAGGCAGACATAAAGAAGACTTGAATTTGTAAGTAAATTAAATGCAACTTGCTATGATCTAAGGTTTGTGTCCACCCAAAGTTATATGCTTAAATCCTAACCCCCAAGGTGATGGTATTAAAAGGTAGAGCCTTCAGGAAGTAATTAATGAATGAGGATGGGGCCCTCATGAATGACATAAGTGTACTTATAAAAGAGGCCTGAGGAAGGTTGTTTGCCCCTTCCACCACTTGAGGACCAATGACAATGTGAAGCTGCCATCTATGAACCACAGAGCAATCCCTCACCAGATACCAAATCTGTAGACACCCTGATCTTGAACTTCCCCATCTCTAGAACTATGAGAAAAAAAATTCTGCTGTTTATAATTTACTCAGTTTTGCTGGGTGCGGTGGCTCATGCCTGTAATTCCAGAACTTTGGGAGGCTGAGGCAGGAGGATCCCCTGAGGTCAGGAGTTCAAGACCAGCCTGGCCAACACGGCAAAACCCCGTCTCTACTAAAAATACAAAAATTAGCTGAATGTGATGGCACGAGACTGTAATCCCAGCTACTTGGGAGGCTGAGGTAGAAGAATCACTTGAACCTGGGAGGCGGAGGTTGCAGTGAGCTGAGATCATGCCACTGCACTTCAGCCTGGGAGACAATGTGAGGCTCCATCTCAAAAAAAAAAAAAAAAAAAAAAAGTTACTCAGTCTAAAGTATTTCATTTTAGCAGCCCAAACTGACTCAGATAGGTCTTCTCACTCACTAATTTGTTTTTTTTATTTTATTTTTAATATATTTTTTAATTTTTTGTTTTATATTTTAATTAAAACAATATATTTTATGTTAAGGTTGATTAAAATATATTATTTTAATTAAAATATAAACAATTTAACAAATTTCTATTTTATTTATTTACTTGTTATTTGTATAAATTCGAGGGGTACAAGTGCAGTTTTGTTACATGAATATATTGAGGAATAATTAGGTCTGGGTTTTTATGTATAACCTTCACCTAGTAAGTAATTTCTCATCTCTCTCCCCTGTCCCACCCTCTCACCTTTTGGAGTCTCCAATGTGTTCATGATTCCAGACTTTATGTCCATGTGTACACACTATTTAGCTCCCACTTGTAAGTGAGAACATGCAGTATTTGGTCTTCTGTTTCTTATTTGTTTCCCTTAAGATAACGGTCTCCAATTCCATCCACGTTGCTGCAAAAGACATGATTTCATCATTTTTAAAGGCTAAATAGTATTCCATTGTGTGTATATACACATATGGTAATATTTACCATATATACGCTGTGTGTGTGTATATATGTATATATAAACTGGCCATTTGTATGTGTTCTTTTGCATGACATCTATGCATATCCTTTGTCCATTTTTAAATAGGGTTATTTGTAAGGCAGGATTTTTCATGATTACTTTGTTGGACTTGTGACAGGGATGTTCTGTTTACTCAGTTTGCCAAGCTCAGCTCTTTGCAAGAGTGAGCACATGCGTGAGCAAGTCTGGCTGCTCCAGACACCAGCAGGAGCAAGCTCCATGCAGAGCCCACGGCAGTGCCCAGGTGGGGGTGTGGGCAATACCAAAGACAAGAAGGCATGTTACAATGCTCTCTTAGCTCTGCTGTCCATAGAGAGTGGTGTGTCATTAGCTCAGCTAGCCCCTTGCCTTATCACATGGGGCAAGCTGCCCTCCACTGGCGAGGGCAAAGGGCCAATGTGGCAGCCTTTTTTGGGTACTTGCACTCAGTGGGTCCCAAGCTCTTGTTCAGTGTCCAAGAGGAATGAGGTCATGTGGACACTTGAAATATAGTGAAGGCAGATAATTTTATTTAGTGATGGAAATGGTTCTCTGTGGAGAGGGGAGCTGAAAAGGGGAGCTGGAGAAGGGACAGGATGGGCAGGTAGTCTTCCCTTGAGGTCTGACCAGCTCTTCCCTGAAGTCAAGCCATCTCTCCAAAATCAAGCCATCTCTCCTCTGAAGTCCAACCATCTCTAAGAAGTCAAGTTGCCTCTCCTCAGTCAAGCCACCTCTCTCTCCTATAGCAACTGAGTCTAGGGTCTTTATAGGTACAGGATGGAGGATGGGGTGGGCCATATGTAGTTTTGGAGAAGGCAACATTTGATTGGCAAAAAGGCATTATTCAGAAAGAACAAATCAGGAGAGAGCAGGCAAACAGGAATAGAAGCTGTTGCTTTGGACAGTGGCTTTTGGGCTTTTTGGCTTGAAGATGGGCTTTTGCCAGGAACCTGCTCCTGTCTGCCTCCTGCCTCTAGCATTTGTTTTGTTGTTGTTGTTGTTGAGTTGTTTGAGTTCTTTGTGTGTATAGCAGTCTCCTGTTGGATGCTAGTTTGCAAATATTTTCTCCCATTCTATAGGTTTTCTGTTCACTCTGTTGATTATTTCTTTTTCTATGCAGAAGCTTTTCAGCTTGAGCCCCATTTGTCTATTTTTGTTTCTGTTGCTTGTGCTTTTGAGGTCTTAGTCGTGAATTCTTTGACTTAGACCAATGTCAAAAAAGTTTATCTAGGTTTTCTTATACTATTTCTATTTTTTCAAGTCTTACTTTTAAGTCTTTAATCCACTTTCCGTTGATTTTTTTGTATATGGTGAGAGATAGGGGTCCAGTTCCTTCTTCTGCATATGGCTATCCAGTTTTCTCAGCATCATTTATTGAAAAGGATGTTTTTTCTTCATCATATGTTTCTGTTGACTTTGTCAAAGATCAGTTGGCTATAAGCATGTGGCTTTATTTCTGGGTTCTCTATGCTGTTTCATTAATCTCTGTGTTTACTTTTATATTAGTACCATGCTGTTTTAGTTACTGTAGCCTTACAGAATAATTCAAGGTCAGGTAATGTGATGCCTCCAGCTTTGTTCTTTTTGCATAAGATTGCTTTAATTTTTATTTTAATTTGAAACACATTAATTATTGATAGATAAAACCTACATACATAAAAGCTCTCTGGGGTCCTCAATAGTTTTTAAGAGAGTGAAGGAATCCCAAGACCAATGTGTCTGAGAACAGACCAATAAAATTTGCTTTCTCATTTATGCCACAGGCCTAACACAGTAAGCTAGGAGATCAAATTTCAAATTGTCATTCAGGAAACAAGAATGAGAGAGGCTTTCCTATCTTGCATTGGTACCATTTGTATATTGTAACTTGTTTACGAGCAAGGAAACAGATGTAAAATACACATAGCCACAGGCTAAATTCTGTGCGGTGGTTTAAACATATCTAGAGACAGGAAAAGACCGTGAAGGAAGATGTCAACAGGGAGTTTTAAGCAGGAAGTATTAGATGAGTTTAGATATTCAATTAGTGATAGTAAATATACAGATGAATTGGTTGGCACAGAGGAGTATTCACAGACAGATGAACAACATTGAAGAAAGTTCTGCTGGATTTGTCTCAATGACATTCATGATTGTGAGGAATGGATTCCAACATTAATGGAAGGTCTACATTAGCGGATGGAGGGAGAAGGGTATTTGGAAAGCCAGGTAAGATTAGATAGCGATGAAGTTTTTTATTTTTATTTATTTTTTTGAAATGGAGTCTCACTCTGTCGCCCAGGCTAGAGTGCAGTGGTGCGATCTCAGCTCACTGCAGCCTCCACCTCCCTGGTTCAAGCGATTCTCACACCTCAGCCTCCCAAGTAGCTGGGACTATAGGCATGTGCCACTGCACCCAGCTAAGTTTTGTATTTTTAGTAGACATGGGGTTTTACCATGTTGGCCAGGTTGCTCTCAAACCCCTGACCTCAGGTTATTTCCCCACCTCAGCCTCCAAAGTGCTGGGATTACAGTTGTGAGCCACCATGCCCGGCCGATAGTAATGTATTTTTAAAATGAGGCCAAACAGTTCATATTTGATTTATAAAATACAAGAGTTTTGATTTTGAGAAGGGTTATGATGCATGTAGCATTTGAAGAAGTTTAGATTGGTATCAGTGGTTTGTGGAATCATTAATTGAATGTGTCTGAGACTGAAATTAGCAAAGTCAGCTAAGGATTTTTGAACAAATCCTAAGCATTAGCAGTATTTATTTGTAACTGGGGGTTGAGGGACAGAGTTTAGAAAAGATGAGGGAAGAACAAACGTAAGAGACAGTTGGAAAAAAACATAAATTAGTTTTGTTGGATGACTGGATATTGGGAATAAAAAGTTTGAGGTATTTGTGTAATACTCAAACTTTATACTCTTTGTAGAGTTTTTTTGACTCTTTTTCTAGCCCTCTCTCTACTTAGAAAAAGTTCCTCCATTCAATATATGCCCACAGAAATTATCACTCTTAACTTGAGTCATAATTTTTTTCCTTACACATATACTTAGATAAGTAGATCTCCAAAGTCATTAGTATAAGTTAAGTTCCATATACCTCTGTGGCCTAATACAATGGTTGGCACATGCTCAGTGCTTAATAAATATTTATTTACTGTATAGTTGCATTATATATTTAATGTTTCAACTTAGGAAGAATGATTTATTTGTTCATCTAAGGCTCGGAAATACAAGGAGTATCATTGGGTATATATGTATTTTGAAAAAGAATATTGACTAAACTTCAGGTTTAATTTAAACTTAGTAAATTTTAAAGGCAGAGTTACAGAATACATAGCATCCTATATACACTGTAGCATTGTTTTTCCTTTCTATGTTGCATAATTGCATAAAATATGTTTCTATTAATAGTAAATATTGTACTATAAGTCAATCTGGGAAAGTCTATCAGACAAAATTATAGTGAAAAATAATATAAAAGTGTGAATTCCTATGTATGACTTATACTTTCATGTATTTTTAGTATATTAGGAAAGGTATGAGCCTACACTTATACGTCATCAGGAAATGGTCAGATATTTTTCTAAGTGCTTTCAACACAGTAATTAATTTAATCCTCAAAATAACACTATGAAGGAGGTATTATTATTATTTCGGCTTTACACGTGAAGAAATTGAAGTAAAGGATCATCAGGAACTTGCACAGTGTCATGTAAGTGTATCATATATGTTTGTGACAGAGGCAGTATTTGTCTCAGGCAGTCCATAACCTCTGTCTTTGGAATGGAGCTTTTCCTATTAGGACATAGTAGAGTTATAAACATCTCATAAAAATGTCATTAAATTCCATATGATAGTATTTTATATATATAAAGGGTGATATTTTTCTCCTTCAAGAAAGAGCAGATTGGATTTTGCCAAGTGGAGAATACAGGAAGAATTCACAGTTTCTTAGAAAATCCTATGTATTTATAGATCCAAAATAGTCAAATGTGTCTTATTTTACAATGAAATCTTAAAGTTAGGATCTGAAATTAGGAAGTAAGAATGCAAAGCTCTCCTTTATGGATTTAGAAACTAAAGTTCTCAAACACAAATGCAAAATTAGCTATGTAGATGATTCAAAGCATATGTGAGTATTGGAAATAGCAAAAGGCTCTTATCAAAAGAATAAGCAGCATGTTATATACACTAAGGACTTCTAAAAAATGTGCATGGGAGAGCTACCAAAATCATGAACACATCATTATTATTATCATTACCATCATCATTTTCATCAGTTGCTATTTTTTAAATATACAGGGTTCATGATAAAGAATTAAATGCTGCAAGACCACAAAAATATTTAAAAATTGCAAAGAAGCTCAAAAAACAAAAGCTGCTGTGTGTTACTAGAGAAATTAAAATAGTGGCTCATTTATTGATTAAAGCTTAACACTTTCCAACAACTGAAAGTATGACATTTAGGATTTTGCAGGTAGTTTCTACAAGAGGGAAATTGTATATGAAAGAGTTAACATAGAGTTAAAATTATCTGCAATCATACCCTGCTGAATGTTTGAGAATCTGACTCAATATTTGGAACCAATTACATTTTCCTATATATAGAGTTGACATTCCTGCTTAAAAAAATCAAAGTGCCCTTTTTCTTTATTGTTTTGCTGCAGGTAGATTTATGATTTTTAGAGGGAAACTATCTCTTTCCACACAGGGATTTAGATTGAAAATAAAATCTTGAAGTCCAAATGACAGCCTTTATATACATAACATACAATCAAATTCAGTGACATGGTTGTTTATTTGAAAATAGAATGAAAATGTGCTTTCTTAAAAGCAAAGGTAGTATTCAGTTCACATTTTACACACTACAATTAAAACAAACAAAATAAATCAAAACACAGTTGCTTTAATCTTTAATTGATGCATAGAGCATATAGGTTGGGATTAAAATAAGACAATCATTCCAAAATTTTATCCTTATGAGTGAGTAAAACTAGGGGAGCAGTTGCCAAAAACCTTTAGAAAAATGATACATGGGTATACTTTTTCTGTAGAATGGATCTGCTTGAAGAGTTGGCAGAAATCTAAATATTTTTGAAACTGAATTAAATATTAGTTGCCTAGAGGTGATTACAATTGAAATGACCCTGGTAAAAACTAATGTTTCCTGTAAATTGCGGGTAGTAACTTCATATATCTACTTAGCATGCTATAGTTTTATGCATGTCTGCATGTACGTATTGAGTAAAACATAGACTTAATTTTATACTGTTCATTTCATTTTAGTATTCATTTGAATTCTTATTGTTTTGGAGAAGCTCAAAAAGTCACAGAAATATTTGAAAAATATAGACCTATAATATGAAGGTGGTCCTCTCTAAGAAACAGAGATAAAGATCTGTTCTCTTGAAACAAGTAAATTAAGGGATAATGATTTATATCTTAAAATCACCTTGAGGATTTCTTAAAGAGTGACTTTTCTCTGATGAGTGTCAGAATCACCTGGTTCAGGTATCTGGGATTTAAGCAAAATTCACAAGTGATGCTGATGCACACCAAAATGTCATTGCTTTATTGCCTTAAAAATAATCTTGATTCATAGAAATTCCATGACACATTTTATGCACTTTCTTTGATTCCCTTGGCATTGCCTCAAGAACTTTCAGGCTTGCGGCTTTGCTAGACAGGCAACTCTACTCCAATCTGTAGGGTTCCACCACTGAAGCTAGCTAGTTCCACACCAGAGTCTTTGTATCCTTCCCCAAAACCTGAATGAACTGTCATACCTAGGGATGTGTAATCTCGCCTTGAGAGAGGCCAATTACCTTATCCAGATGAAGCAACCAGAAACACAGCAGAGTTAACCTACTGTCAGGAGAAATTTGACTAATGGAAATAGGCAATGGGAGAGAATTGGGTAGATGTATCATTCTCTTCTGTTCTTCCCGCAGACCACCCTGAGGCATGAGTTCTCCATCTAGCATACCTGGAGATGTAGCACGTGACTGAATGGACACACGTGCTATTGATTTACTTTCACAGCTCATCAACAAGCTAGTGCAACTCTTCTCATTCTTTGTTTCACTAAATTTTTACTCCTGTATTTTATCCTGTATTTTTTTTAAAGAAACTCAGGCAAAGACAGTCTATGTGCATACATTTTAAAAGAAATATATCTATTATATTAAGTCAAACATGTTTGTATTTATAAAGTATCTTTAATTCAAGTCTACAAAAATAAAATGAATCACAGAAGAAAACAAATCCAGTCTTATTATAAGAGGTATTAATGCAGAAACCCAGAGTTGCATAGAGAACACAAATTACTTATTTTCATGGTGTTTTTGACCAACACTTCTTAAATGTCCCAGTTCACAATCTAATTTATTGAGATAAAAAAGATTCTTGAACTCTTTCTTTCATTCCACGTGCCCACAAGTCCCTACTTATCCCCCCATAAAACCAACACTCAGAAGTAATTGTTTAATTTTGAAGAAGTGGAGGCTGTAAAATGTGTTTACTTGTTATTATGAAATGCAAGTGACTGTGATGTATGGAAGAATCAGTGGTAGTGATGCTTTTCTTATCAATATTAATTATCTTATTTTCTCATCAATTTAATCGGTAGTGGGGGAAATAGAGGACAAAGATGGCCAAATGTTTTAAAATTTGAGTAGTATATTTCTAGCTTGAGTCCTTCAAATTAAGTAGCCTTCTTCTCTTTTTGCTTTTTTATATAAAAATTTCACTTAAAAATCATCCTAGATTAAGCTACTATTTACTTTCTTCACAGAATTGGAAAAAACTTTAAATTTCATATGGAATCAAAAAAGAGCCCGTACAGCCAAGATAATCCTAAGCAAAAAGAATAAAGCTGGAGGCATCATGCTACCTGACTTCAAATTATACTATAAGCCTACAGTAACAAAAACAGCATGGTACTGCTACCAAACTGATATATAGACCAGTGGAACAGAACAGAGGCTTTAGAAATAACACCACACATCTAAAACCATCTGATCTTTGACAAACCTGACAAAAACAAGAAATGGGAAAAGGATCCCCTATTTAATAAATGATGTTGGGAATACTGGCTAGCTGTAGGCAGAAAGCTGAAACTGGACCCCTTCCTTACACCTTATACAAAAATTAACTCAATATGGATTAAAGACTTAAACATAGACCTAAAACCATAAAAACCCTAGAAGAAAACCTAGGCAATACCATTCAGGTCATAGGCATGGGCAAAGACTTCATGACTAAAACACCAAAAGCAATGGCAACAAAAGCGAGAATTGACAAGTGGGATCTGATTAAACTAAAGGGCTTCTGCACAGCAAAAGAAACTATCATCAGAGTGAACAGACAACCTACAGAATGGGAGAAAATTTTTGCAATCTATCCATCTGACAAAGGGCTAATATCCACAACCTACAAAGAACTTAAACAGTTTTAAAAGAAAAAAAAAACCCCTTCAAAAAGTGGGTGAAGGATATGAAAAGACACTTCTCAAAAGAAGACATTTATGCTGCCAACAAACATACGAAAAAAAGCTCATCATCACTGGTCATTAGAGAAATGCAAATCAAAGCCACAATGAGATACCATCTCACACCAGTTAGAATGGCGATCATTAAAAAGTCTGGAAACAACAGATGCTGGAGAGGATGTAGAGAAATACAAATGCTTTCACGCTGTTGGTGGGAGTGTAAATTAGTTTAACCATTGTGGAACACAGTGTTTCGATTCCTCAAGGATCTAAAACTAGAAATACCATTTGACCCAGCAATACCATTACTGGGTATATACCCAAAGGGTTATAAATCATTCTACTATAAAGACACATGCACATGTATGTTTATTGCAGCACTGTTCACAATAGTAACGACTTGGAACCATCCCAAATGTTGATCAATGATAGACTGGATAAAGAAAATGTGGCACATATACACCATGGAATACTTTGCAGCCATCAAAAGGGATGAGTTCATGTCCTTTGCAGGGGCATGGATGAAGCTGGAAACCATCATTCTCAGCAAACTAACACAAGAACAGAAAACCAAACTCTGCATGTTCTCACTCATAAGTGGGAGTTGAACAATGAGAACACATGGACACAGGGAGGGGAACATGACACACCACGGCCTATCAGGGGGTGGGGAGCTAGGGGAGGGATAGCATTAGGAGAAATACTTAATGTAGATGATGGGTTGATGGGTGCAGCATCCGCCATGACGTGTATACCTATGTAACAAAACTGCACGTTCTGCACATTTACCCCAGAACTTAAAGTACTATAAAAAAAAAAAAGGTCATCTTAGAATTAAGAATCATGTTTTAAATGAAATAGAGGATCTATATTGTGACTTGTTATATCTATATCTGTTCTCTAGATTAAATACAAGTCTGCTGCAGTTTGCTGGAGGTCCGCTCAGTGTCTGCCCTGGTGGTACAGGCATACGAGGGAATCTCCTGGTCTGCGGATTGCAAAAACCGTGGGAGAAGCGTAGTATCTGGGTCAGATAGCACAGCCCCTCAAGGCTTCCCTTGGCTAGGGGAGGGAGGTCCCCGGCCCCTTGCACTTCCCAGGTGTGGCGACGCCCCACCCTGCTTCTGCTCGCCCTCCATGGGCTGCAATCACTACCTAACCAGTCCCAATGAAATGAGCAGGGTACCTCAGTTGGAAATGCAGAAATCACCCTTCTTCTGCCTTGGTCTCACTGGGAGCTGCAGACGGGAACTGTTCCTATTCAGCCATCTTGCCTCTATCTGTAAGAGATTTTTATTGTTCTACAACAAATTACCAGAAACTTAGTGGCTTTGAAATGACATTTAACATCTCACAGTTGCTTTGGATCTTTGGATCAGGAGTTTAGCCAAGGCTTAGCTGGGTTGGTTCTGTACTTCAGGATCTCTCACAAGCTCAAGTAAAAGTATTGGCTAGGCAGTAGTCATCTCAAGGCTCAACTAGGGAAAGAGTTTCTTCTAAGCTCATTCACCTGGTGGAGGCTAAGATTCAGTACCTCTTGAAGTGGTAGACTGAGGGCGTCAGTTGTTTGCTGACTGTTGGAGAAAGGCTGCACTTAGTTCCTTGCTACTTGGGTCGCTCCACAGAGTAGCTCAAAATATGAGAGCTTGCTTTATAAGAGCAAGAAGTTAGAAATGTGAGCAAGAGAGAAAATGAGAAAGAGAGCAAATAGGTTAGAAATGTGAGCAAGAGAGAGAATGAGAGAAAGAGAGAGCTAGAGAGAAAGAACAAAACGAAAGTCGCTGTCTTTCATCATTTAATTTTAACATTGATATCCCATCTCTTTTGCCACATTCTATTCATTAAAAGAAAGCCAAGGAGAGGGTATTACACAGGAGCATAAGTAACAGGAGTCAGAGAGCATTGGGAACCATTTCAGAAGCTGCCTAATGTCATCTCCTAGAATTTATTAAAGACTAGGGAATAATATATGTATAAATTCATTTTATGCTTATAAATTCATTTTATACAAGTAAACAAGTTTTTTACAAAAATAGTCATCATTGTGAAGAAATGTCTTAAAAAGTTTTCCTTAAATAAATATTTTGCTCTAACAATATCATTTAAAAACAATTTTATTTGTATATTGTCTCATAGATGCCATACTTGGTAATACGCATTTAGGCCCAGTTTAAATCTAGCCATCAGTCAATCAACCTACTATTTCTGTTTGAAGTGAGTTGTACGTTGTAATAAAATATACAAGTTTAAAACGTGTGTTTTGTCCTCAAGGAACTAGCCATCTTCCTGAAAAGCCAAACCTATAAAATGTGAGAAATTATAAATTAAACTTTACATATATAAGTGATAAACTGAATGATACAGACATTAAATAATGCAGAGATTGCTAGAGAAAAAAATCAACAAAGTTGAAGTAGGTATGAAAGGTTTTATTTAGGAGTTGAAGCTTGAGGTGGGCCTTGAAAAATGGTGAGTACATTTGTTATTCTCTGCCTACAAGTCTACAACCTCCTTCCTAATTTTTGGGGCATTCTCAATTGTGTATTTTCTGGCAAAAAGAAACATCTTACCTCCCAAAGTACAGATTATCTCCATGCCAACTGGCATGGAGTGCACTGATGAATGACTTTGTCTATCAAATATTCCTTAGCTAAAATTTTTCATATGCAGCAAATTAGACAAAGATGAAGTAAATTCCTTTGTGGTGGTGTGTGGTGATGTGTTCTTTGCTGCTTGACTCTCCAGAATTGCTTGGCTTTTTCTTGATTTTTCTAGGTCTAGTTTTCCAGTAATTCTATTGGCTACTTGTCAATTCCTCTTCTGCTTTAAGATAGACAGCATCTGTTTACCTTGCTTGCATTCATCAAATTGGTTGACATAGGCAAATGTCATGTAGGTAAAGAACCATGGTAAGTTTGCTTCAGGTTAGGGAGACAGCATGAACAAAGGGCTGTGGGCCTACAATATGTTACTGGTGTTTGAAAATTATTTGGTATTTTTTGGCATAATTAATAACATGGACAGATGTGTATGCCTGATTTGGCAAGCATGTTTGTGACAAGCACCATGAAGTAAATAGAGAATGCTAATTAGATAACACCTGTCTCTGATATAGATGAATGTGCATATTTTCAGTCTTTAAAGTTGAAAAAGCTTTGTGCCACTTCATGGAACTAGGAACTGGAAGAAAGTTGGACTGACAGGGCTTGCCGTGATAACAGAAATATTCCCTCCTGTTATGCAGGCAATCCTCCAAGCAATAGCTTCTGCATTGGAAAATGGGGCTCGTAATAGAGAAAAAATAAGAAGAAGTAATCGTTTGTGTGTGTGTGTGTTTGATTTTGGAGTGTAGGGTAAAGAGAAAGCAGATGCAATTGGAAATTCAAGACTCAGACCCCTTTTCTCAAGAAATATAAGTAAATAAGACCCCTTGTCTTTCGGTTGAGAGGAATTATTCTGCACAATATTTGGAGATGAAGGAGAATCCCTTGAATTTCCAAAAGTTGTCCTGTGTCTAGGGTGGTACCAGCACTTTGGAGAGATGATGATTTCTAAACTGCTAAATGCCAGATATTTTACTCCGGGAAGATTTGTTGCTGCAATAAAGCAGCAAGCATAAAGACCTTAAATATAAAATAATGTTTTTTAGTTATTAACACAGCCTTTAAAAATAATATTTTATTACTATAACCTGGAGCTAGGTGGCTTTGAGGGACTATAAAACCAATAAAGCATTCAGCATAGCATAATATGAAAGTCAAGATAATGTTATTTTAATAAACATTTAAGTCCATCTGAAGTCATGTGCATTTTTAATTGCTTTCACCTCTTTACCAGACCTTGCTAACTTGAAAGAGAGATTGCTATAGGATGTCACTACTGTTTATGCATATTATTGAACAGTTGGCTTCTGAAATGTGTGGAATCTATTTCCAAAGTGAAGGCTGAAATTTTAATGTGACCCCCTTAGCATCCTGTTTCTGCTAGACCCATAAGCCCTGTAAGTGCAGAGTTAACAGTGCATTTCACTCTGACTTCATCATTTACTAGTAAACCTAAATAGCATTTGAGAAGAGTACATAATAAATGCATTCAGACATTGCAGCTGTTTTTTGTCTGTTTTCCAAACACATAATGTGCTAATTTGGAAAAAAAATCAACAACAGCTGCAAATACATGTCAACAGCAAGGTCTTCAAGGGAAGGCCTTAATAGGTTTTGTTAATCAGTGGTGAACCAGGTGTGAATAAATAATTAACACACTTGATAACGGAGCCTTGTTGCCACTACTGCTGTAGCTAAAGTTCTGATAACCTTTCCTTTAAGTTCAGGATTTACCCACAATATTTTTTTTTAAATGTAATCACTATAAATTCAATAAAGTTAATGTCAGATTTTTTTAAAAGAATATTAAGTATGGATATCAGGAAAGAAACCTCACATAATTTAGGATGCCTTTTAATCTTACAATAACAATAAATGTCTAATAATCTGTTTCATTAGTATATTATTTTGTTAAACAGAGACCTCATTCCTGTTAGTATAGAAATGATTGATCAAAATTAATCTCTTATAGAACATGTCAGTATATTTATTAACATTATGATTGTTCATTTTCCTTTTGACAATTGGAAATTCCATAATACAAAAGATGCATAATCATAACGGTATGTGAGCATAAGATGTACACCAGAACTCTGTGGTTATTACCCTTAAATCTGGTATTGTAAATGTTAATAAACCTACGTGTATTTTAACCACTTACTGTGTAAGGGAATAGAAAAGAAATATAAGGCACATTAACTATTCTTATTGTGTATAAAATATAATTGATGAAATCTTAACATTTGTGGATATTAACAAACAGGCAACAAGACAGAAGAGTCATTATTTTATAGAAGATGTACCTACTATGCACTAGGTTTTAGAATATGCCAGTAGTTCTAAACTAGTGGTTCCAGGATCAGCCACATCAGCGTCACCCAGAAACTAGTTTAAAAGGCAGATTCTCAGGCCCTTCCAGAAACCCAGTCTGAACTCTGAGGGTGAGCCCCAGAGATTTGTGGTTTAAGAAGCCCCTCTGGGGGATTTTGATGCCTGCTAAATGTTAAGAATTATTTTTCTATGTTAGTCACAAATTTGTGTAACAGAATAGTGTTAATTGCCAAATGCATGGTTGGATGACTAAGGCCCACATCTGGGAACAAAAGCTGTTTTACATCCCACACACTCTGTCAGAAAAACCAGCAGCTGTTGGTGTCACTTCTCTGTTAGACTTTCTGGAGGCACCAGGCAGCAGAAAAGTCACTTGTCACCAATTTTTTTTTTTTATTTTGATATAAGAAATGGACAGTGTGGGAAAAGGTTCAGTCACCTTTTGAAAAAGAACAGCATATATATATATATATATATATATATTTTTTTTTTTTTTTTTGAGACAGGATCTCACTCTGTTACCCAGCCTGGAGTACAGTGGTGGGATCATGGCTCACTGCAACCTCTGCCTCCCAGACTCAAGTAATCTTCCCACTTCAGCCTCCCAAGCAGCCGGGACTACAGGTACACTCTACCATGCCCAGCTAATTTCTTATATTTTGTAGAGACAGGGTTTCTCCATGTTGTCCAGGCTTGCCTCAAACTCCTGAGCTCAAGCAATCTACCTGCCTCCACCTCCCAGATTGGTGGGATTACAGGAGTAAGTCTCTGCGACTGGCCTAAAAGAGCAGTATTCTTAAAGTAGGGCTATCCCCCTTCTCCAGTTCATGGCAGTTGAGGAGATTAGAGGTGCTTTGCTTTCCCAAGTTAAGGGTGGGAACGTCAAGTGATTGACTAGTAAAGGTACCATTGACAAAATGCTCACTCCTCCAGCAATAGAAGGATTGATATTAACCTGTCAATTGAAAATTGGAATCAGACGAGTGCCTAAAGAGGTCCACCAAGCTTGGAAGCAAGGCTAGAGAAGTTTCTATAGATAACCTGTTTTGAAACTGCTGGCATATTAATTTCTATTAGGTTGAAAGGAATCACTTGTCTATACCAAAGAATAGGGGTAGGTAGGATACGTAGACCTAGGATCTAGAAAATGACTCTTTTTGATATCATGCTTTCACTGGCCATGTAACCTTGAGCAAATCCCATTTCCTTCGTTTTAAAAATTAGAATAATAATACTACATAGCTTAAAGAGTTTTATATAGATTAAGGCAATGTACATTATTTAGTTTGACACATGATACATAGTAATTGGTCAATAAATTGAGTTTACATTAAGATTTTTAAAATCTTATTTTTTTATATTTTTGATCAAAGTTCTAAAAGGTGGTTTATAAAATTAGCCACAACTGCAGGTACAGAGAACTGACTATAATATTTGGATATTTATTATTTTCTCCCTCCCTGTGTTTTATATTTTCCTCTGGATATATATATATATATATATATATATATATATATATATATATATAGTTTTTTTTTCCTCTGGATTTTGGTGGCCTTGTGTACCCAGTTATGTATAAGAAATAATTGTTACCTGCTGACAATGTACAGGTATATTTTGTTTCAACATGCAGAATGTGTTCTGAAAGGTGACAGGGATGTTTACATTAAGTTTAGCCAGTCCAGAGATCCTCTCTCTCAGATTTTGTTAGTGGAATATGAATGCTTTGTTGGTTTCTCATCAAGTTCAGGCAGATTTCAAGTTTCCATTTACTTTTAAAGGCCTGTGTACCTCTTTTGTTTTATTTTACACGCCACAAAATCTAGTTTCTCAAAAAGTGCACATGTGCATAATATTGAGCTAGAACCATCCATCACATAAGTGATACTTAGCAGATAAACAAAACACATTAACATTTACACAAAAATGAGTTTTTGCCCCATCATGTTACCTACTTCTGATATAGGAGCTGTGAGAAACAGGCACTGAACAAAAATACCTATCGGGAAACATGATTGAACCTGCAGTAAAACTGGATTCCTCTGATGGAGAAATGTTTTATAATGAGGTGTGACTGAATTAAACACCTGGTGGTTGCAATATCAAATTAAATCACGCCCTTTGAACTCAATTTCACTTATGAAGTAACTGTAGTTTTTTTTTTTTTTTAAATGCACTGTGAAAATAAACTCATCAACCAGAATGCTGTGAAAGTGGGGATAAGGTAAGGGGAAGCTGGTTTCAAAAAGGCCTCATTATCATCTCTTCTTAATTAATAAGGAATCATCTTTGTATTCATCTATATAAATTAATTTTGGTAAATTACTTCACAATGTCTGTCATAACTCACAACAATATTTCCAAGTTGTGAGTTAACAACTTATGTTATTCCTTTTTCTACTCAGTCTCTTTTAATGGATAGGTGATCAAAATTGTACTAACAATCATAACAAAGCAATACTACTTTGAACAATTATAACTAACATCTATTAAATGCTTTCTTTGAAGCATTTATACTTGTCATCCTAGAATCTTTACAGGCATTAACTCAAGTCACAAGGAAGACACTTTATGTGGATTACCTCTGCAAGGTTCATAAGAAATTACACTCCCTAAATTGGCCCTTGACCCTTCACCATGACCCCTAAGGTTATCTGGCTGCTGCAAATGATTCAGCATTCATTGAGATAACTAGGTTCTCTTCCATTTCTGAGTCCTTGACTTGTGGTTTGCCCTTTGCCTTAGAACTCTCTTTAGCTTTCCACTTCAATTCCAATCCCCCTTTTGGACTGGTCTTAGGTATCACTCTCTTTAGGGAGACTTCACTTTCTTTGTCTGTTTTGTGTTGCTATAGGAGAATACCTGAAGCTGGGTGATTTCTAAAGAAAGAAGTTTATTTGACTCACAATTCTGTGGCTGGAAAGTCCAAGATTGGGCAACTGCATCTGGTGAGAGCCTCCCTCATGCTGCCTTGACTTATGATCCCAGAATAATGAATGCTTCCTGCAATCGTCATCCTTACCAGGTTGGGAACACTTGGATATGTTATGCTCCTTGTGAATAGGGACTGTATTTTGTTATTCGCATGTAGCATAGTTCCAGGGCACAGTGGATTACCAATATATATTTGCTGAAATCATGAATAAGCTAGATATTTTTATATTTTTATAATTACATTTAGACTATTTTTCAAATAATTCCTGGGTTACAAAACAACATACACAAAAAAGGCTGTGGACACAGCAGGGCAAGAATATTCAGACATTTACAAATGAACAATTTGCTTTCTGTGAAAATCTTGCTATGTTGAAAAAAGGATAGAGAAATAGATCGTGGAGCATTAGCCAGTTAATTCTAAGGATATTGACTTTAAAAAGTCCTAAGTCAGGGTTTTACTTTACCCTTTAGTCATTGAGGGATTTTCAAGTCCACTTAAAAGGCATTGCCAAATGTGTATTATATGAGTGTTTTAAAGCTAATGGCAAGGGATTTGGATTAATAAAAGGAAAGAAAGAAGAACTCTAAAATAAAATAAAAATGCAAAATGAGAATCTAAGCTGTATGGAGTTATATAGAATGAATAGTCAATTGCTGCATTTCTGCAAGATGTATTCATCTGTTTCTTGAGTAAAGTAATGTTCAAACTAACTTTAAACTTTCTTGTTTTTCAGCAGGCTTTTGATGATTAATGATACCTCTAATTTGAGTGCTTTGAGGAGCAATATTTAAACAGGAATCAAATAGTGATAAAATAGCAAATAAATTTTGTGAAAATTTAATCTATGACTTTCAGAAATCAGATACAGAAATAAAAAACATATATATATTTTAAAATAAGTATTGAAAACAAATCAAATGATGTGTGCTGTAAATGGCATGCATTATTTATAGAATCAATTACAATCAGAAGTATTACATATGCACATGTATCAATTATGCTAAATAGATTTCAGATATTTAATGACTAAAGACTCATAGCTGCCTCAGAACTAATTATAAAATGAATAAGCTATTATCCATCTTCCTAGATGTTTCTGAATTGCCTTTGAATATTTAGCATTGTTTTGAGCAAGATGTTGTATTAGTTTTATACATTTGACAGCAAATTAAATGTATTAATCACATTGATTTGCATTCATTTTTTCACTATTATGCCTAGAATAATTCAATTCTAGAAGGATTATCTAAAGGAATTTTTGTAGTACGATTGAAACATTATGAGCTTCCAGTTCTGTTGAAATAGTAGTGCCTTGAAAATTTTAGCAGCTTTTCTTATTCTACATGCATGTTTTGTTCATATTTCAGATGATGCAAACTTGGACCATAATAAATAATAACTAAAACAAGGTAATTTTTTCCCCAAGTATCAGGAAAAAATACAGAGAACTCTTCTTTAAAATATGAAGTTGGTGTTTCTGTTCACCTATTAAATATAAAGTTGTTGCTCTAAAAAAATAGTATTAAAAAGGAAGTGTTTCCATCATTTCCTTCTTTGTGTTCCTGTGATCAGTATGAGGAGGTCATGGTATGTGGTGGTTAAAAATGCCTGCTTTGTTCATGGTGTCTGACATATTTTATGTGCTCAATGAAAATTTATTGATGAATGGTTTCAAATTCTCTTTCACTTTTTGTCTTCATATACTTGGGCAAGTACTTACTGTCTCTAAGCCCCATTTTCCCTTGGAAAATGGGAATAATCCCTGTCATTATTAAATGATAGATTTGGGATATGTTTAGACTTCTTAATTATGTTCCCTCTTTCCAGTTCCCTGTGGTCCTAGACCCTCTTTTTACCATGTACCCTGAAAGCAGGGAACTTCTGTATGGAGAAACCTCTGTATCTAATGTGTTTGCTGGATGTAAATAACTTGGTAGTAACTGACTACAAACCATTCTTATATAAATGTCCCTCTCTTCAAAGTGTTAATTATTCCTGGCACTTCATGAAATTAGACATATTCTGATTGTAAACCTCCTCTCCAGAGCTTGTTGTGAGAAATTGCTTAGGACTATACTAGACCAAGCTGCTAGAGGTGCTCTGTGGAAGACACAGAGGGCCTAGCTGGTTGATTTGTTTCAAGACAGTTATCTGAAGTTCATGCCAAGAATGTAACAATCTAGCTGCCATGCCATGTATGTTGCCTAATTTATACAATGATGAACAGCATTTTATTGTTCATACAGAGATTTCTTAATCCTGTTGTTGAATATCAGATATTTTCCTTCATGGGAAGCTAAAGTTGCCATAACAAATGGTGAACTAAGGTCAGATACAGGAAGTTTTGGTAATTTTCTTTTTTCCAATATCATTTATATTAAAATTTTCATGCAATTGTGAGTAATAAAATACTAAAGTAGTGAAAATATTTCAATATATTGAAAGTTTCAGTAGTTCAATTTATTATTGAAGTATTATTATATATTGAAGTTTCAGCAGTTCAATTTAAAAACAGTGATACACTTACCTGTTAAATTTTTTTTCTGAAAAATGTCAACATTTAGGACTTTTAAAAAATAAGGCAGATTCTTATTAATTGTTTCTAAATTGTGTAGGTTCCTTCCACTCACTGTACTTTGCTACCTGGTTCTATGAGAAAGTCCATTTTTCCAAAGATGCTTGACTTCCATGCTCTTCACATAAAATTGCTGTTTTTAAAATTCTTAAAAATATGTTAAGTACATTTATTATTCTGTCCTCAGGATGCTAATAAAGACATACCTGAGACTGGGTAATGTGTAAAGGAAAGAGGTTTAATTGACTGATAGTTGTTCATGGCTTGGGAGGCCTCACGATCGTGGAGGAAGGCCAAATGAGGAGTAGAGGCACATCTTACATGGTAGCAGGCAAGAGAGCATGTGGAGGGGAGCTCCTCTTTATAAAACCATCAGATCTCATGTGACTTATTCAATATCATGCCAACAGCATGGGAAAGACCTGCCCCCAATGATTAAATTACCTCCCACCGGGTGCCTCCTGCAACTTGTGGGAATTACGGGAGCTACAATTCAAGATGAGATTTTGGTGGGAACACAGCCACACCATATCAGTATAGTACCAGGCAGATAGCAAATGCCCATGACATAGATACTTTATTATGTATCATGGATAAGGCAAAAGGCCAGGGTTAAGATTTTAATTGGATGGTATGAACAGAATTTTTTTTCATAGGCAGTTAATTGACTAAAGTGGAGATGTACACAAAAATACTTGAATAAAAGGAACCCATCTGATTCTCCTGACATTGCGTGGTTTCTGTGTGGCTTTGGAAGTCACTCCAAATTTTCTGATTTCATCTTATCTTTGTAAGTAATGGAGGAACTCAATGCTGTTGGATGAAAGTGCCCACACAGAATTGAAGGCCTTACTCAGAAATACGGTTTTCCTTTAAAGTAAAGACACTTCTCCCCTGCATATAAACATGAGCTCAGCAATTACCAGCAGACGTAAATAACCAGCTGTCACTTATTGTGGGGATAATTGTAGGTACTTGATCCTTCCTAATTAAAAATTTGTTCTGAAATACATATCTGTCTTTGTATATGAGAATCACATATCTCTGAGAGGAGATAACTTGTTCAAAGTCACATTTTGGGAGGCAGAGTAGAGAACTGAACCAGGCTCAGTGCAGTCAAAGCCTATGCTTTTTTCTTATGGTGCTATCCTGCATGTCTTACTCTTAGGTAATTCTTACAGTACATATTGGATTCCCTTTTATTGACTCATTGCAGAATGCCTCTGAATAAAGAAGTTCTCTACAGAGGTCCACATGATTTTTTTCAATGCCATATCATGGCTACAAATCAAGGGAATGGAGATATTTTTTTTCTCTCCTTGATACCAGGTGAAGCCAAAGAAAGGGTTAAAATGTCTTGGATCAAATATTGCTAGTTTAGCAGAAAGCTAATATCTTGAAAAATGAGAAAAAATTTCTAGAAATTATTTTTTCTATATTTATGCTTCAGTATTTTAGGATTATTTTAGTTTTCACTGTTTTGTTTGAATGTCCTCGAGGCCTCCTAACATCTTTCTAGATGTAGGCCAAGAACCAGCACCAAGGACGTTTCATGGGGACATCTGAGAAATGCAGACACGCAGGTCCCACCCAGACCTAGTGAATCAGCACCTGCTTTTTTTTTTTTTTTTTTTCAAAATCCTTAGGTGATTCATAGGCACATTAAAGTTTGAGACTCTCTGTCTTAATATGCCATCAGAATGCTTTTAAAAAGCCTTGGAAACTAGAGAGTAAACACAAGCATTATGATCTCTCAAGGATCAACAATTCTATTTTGATATGCTTATACTTCCTAATGGGAACAGAAGCATTTCATAAATAATCAATCATCTGTCAGGCCCACTCTGGTTCCCAGTCTCAGTAACTGGTCTCCTTACAACTGATGTCACTTGTCCATCTGTAGCACTCCCTTAACTTGCTTCTGAATTTCTGGAATAAGCCCTTATCTAACAAAAGAGCAACTTTGTATTCTCTGGTTCAGCCTCAAGTCATGTCTAGTTTTCTCCTCGTTCCTGTAGTTTATATAATTTGGCTTGTCTCTTGTTTACTGTTCCTGTATCTTCAGATTAATAAAGACTCACATAATGCATCTTTCTCTCTCAAGATTACATTTCCCATCTTTCTGTTTTTTTTTTTCTTTCTTTTGAGATGGAGTCTTGCTCTGTCGCCCAGGCTGGAGTGCAGTGGCGCGATCTCGGCTCATTGCAACCTCTGCCTCCCAGGTTTAAGTGACTCCCCTGCCTCAGCCTCCCAAGTAGCTGGGATTGCAGGTATGTGCCACCACATCCGGCTAATTTTTGTATTTTTAGTAGAGACCGGGTTTCTCCATGTTGGTCTGGCTGGTCTCGAACTCCTGACCTCGTAATCCACCTGCCTCAGCCTCCCAAAGTGCTGGGATTACAGGCTGGAGCCACAGCACCTGGCCCCTTCTTTTTTTTTGTCTGGTTGTTGGTACCTGTGCACCTGTTGGCCTGCCAATAGTTTGCTTCTTGGATTTTCTGATGTCACCTTTCAGCTGTGTATTTGTCCATTTTCACATTGCTATGAAGAAGTACCTGAGACTCAAGAATGTATAAGAAAAAGAGGTATAAGTGGCTCATGATTCTGCAGGCTGTACAGTAAGCATGGCAGCTTCTGGGGAGGCATCAGGAAGATTTTACAATCATGGTGGAAGGCAAAGGGGAAGCAAGCTTGTCTTACGTGGCCAGAGCAGGAGGAAGGGGAGGAGAAGGTGCCACATAATTTTAAACAACACTTTTAAGAACTAGCTATTGAGACCAAGAGGGATGATGCTAAACCATTAGAAAATGCCCCCCCGATCCTATCACCACAGCACCAGGTCCCATTTCCAGCCCTGGGATTACAATTCAACATGAGACTTGGGCAGAGACATGGATTCACACCATATCATTTAACCACTGGCCCTTCTCAAATCTCATGTCCTTCTCACATTGCAAAATACAATCATGCCTTCCCAACAGTCCCCCAAAGTCTTAACTCATTTCAGCATTAACTCCAAAGTCCAAAGTCTAAAGTCTCTTCTGAGACAAGACTAATCCCTTCTGCATATGAGCCTGTGAAACCAAAAGCAAGTTAGTTACTTCCAAGATACAATTGGGGTACAAGCATTGGGTAAATATTCCCATTCCAAAAGGGAGAAATTGGCCACAAGAAAGGGGCTACAAGTCCTGTGAAAGTTGAAAACCCAGAGGGCAGTCAATAAATATTAAAGCTCCAAAATAATCTCTTTTGACTCCACGTCTTAACATCCAAGACACACTAATACAAGGGGTAGGCTCCCAAGGCCTTGGGCAGCTCTGCCCCTATTGCTTTGCAGAGGGTCAGCCCCCATGGCCCCTTCTCCCTTTTAGAATGGGAATATTTACCCAATGCCTGTACTTTCATTGTATCTTGGAAGTAACTAACTTGTTTCTGATTTTACAGGCTCATACGCAGAAGGACTAGCCTTGTCTCAGATGATACTTTGGACTTTAGACTTTTGAGTTAATGCTGAAATGAGTTAAGACTTTGGGGGACTGTTGAGAAGGCATAATTCTATTTTGCAATATGAAAAGGACATGAGATTTGGGACAGGCCAGTGGTGGAATTATATGGTTTGAATCTGTGTCCCTGCCCACATCTCATGGTGAATTGTAGTCCACAGTGTTGGAGGTGGGACTTGGTGGGAGGTGATTGGATCATGGGGACAATTTGGAATGGCTTAGCACTGTCCCACTTGGTTGCAATAGTGACTTCTCCTGAGATCTGGTTGTTTAAAAGTGTATGGCGCCTCTCCCCTCTTTCTCTTCCTCCTGCTCTGGCCACATAAGACAAGGCTGCTTCCCCTTTGCCTTCCACCATGATTGTAAAGTCTCCCTGAGGCCTCCCCAGAAGCAGATGTTACCATGCTTCCTGTACAGTCTGTGGAATCATGAACAAATTAAACCTGTTTTCTTTGTATATTACAGAATCTCAGGCATTTAGCAGTGTGAGAAGTGACTAATGCAAGCTGGATTGCCATGCTCTTGCCTGCTCCGACATCCTATTACTTCACTTTAATAGCAATATCTCAAATCTATGCTGCCTAGTCCTTGTGGTAAGGACTCATTTAGCTTTATTCTTTGCCCCTTCAACTCCACATCTTTTCAAGGCTGACACTGGAGGCATATTTTCTGTCCTGGAGGGTGATTCAAAGTCCAAATTCTAGAGAATTCGTGTCTCACTTTACATGACTAGGAGCTCCAAAACTTGGCAATATGGCCCAATCAGAATAACAAACATAGATAAGCCTGTAAAAAAATCTTTTGTTTTAGATATCATTTAAAAAACATATAGATTAACTATGAATTTGTAAAACCTGCATGTCTGTCTTTCCCATAGCTATGTTCTGTCAGTTTTCAATGAAGAAGAGTATGATCTTCAAAACTACTGAACTTAAAAAATGTGGTAAGTTGGGCCATTTTCACATTTTCTTCAGAATCCACTAACAGCAGAGATATTATTAATTCATCATGTGAAATGAAAGTTTTGGCAAAAATAAAATCCATGAAACTTTAGAAAACAAATGCTAAAGTTTATTCAGAATATTATTCCGAAAAAGACAAAGATTTGGCATTAGCTTAGCTATTTGAAATTAAAAAAATAAAACCAACCTAAATCTATGCTGCTTGGTCCTTTTCCTGGCCCAGCATTATTACCAGTCTTCAGGATATCTTACTTGTGTCTAGAGTGTCTAGTTTTGAGGACTTGTGTCTAGAGTGAGGACAGAGCACCAGATTTACCTAGAAATCTCCTTCTCTGTCTGACTGTTCCTCTGCTCTGTGCTTTAGCACTACCTACCTTGCTACCTGAGATCTAATATGCCTGGAACAAACTCATTCATTTTTCTTGTCATGTTACATTCAGTCACTTCTATCATCAGCATCCCCTGTTAGAATTTACAAAATCCTCTTTTTTCACCAAAAATTCTAATTGTCACTTTGATTAGCATAAAACTATATTGCCATAATCTCTTTTTTATTGGCTTCCCAGTGTCCATTTGTTCTTTCTCCAATAGTTTGTATATGACTTTCAGATCACTGGAAATGCCTTCTGCTCCTAATATGGCCATTTACTTAGTGAACATATCCAACTTCCAAAAAGAAAAAAAAAAAAACACATGGTTTAAATTTCTCTATTCTGTCATTTTAAAAGAAACTTTTAGTATTAAAGATTTGTACTGTCTGTATACACATATTATATATGTTAACACAATGTATGCACAAATAATTATGTATGTGCATAATATTTATATAAATATATAATATATACATGTTAGTGTTGTATATATGTATCTGTCTAGACACACATATATGGGAAAACACCAATAAGTATTCAGATCAATGCATTTTCATAAACTGAATACACTTGAGTAACACTTCAGTTCCCAGATTGAAGAAGAGAACATATCTACCATATCTTTTAACTTTGTACTAAGGTAAAGACATTATTCAGAGTGCTCTTGTTATCATGTTCCTATAATCATCAGTCAGAATGGGCTAGGTCATGCTGCAGTAATAAACAATGCCAATCCTCAAAGCTCTACTTATTGCATTCTTACTGTATATTAAATATTGTGTTTAGCACTATAAGTTAAACAGCTTAAATAAGAGATGTGAATTTGACTCAAGTGGAATAAAATCTCACTGGAAGATATGTAAGGTTTTTGCTGAAGAGGCTGTTTTTCCCAATTTGTTTGAACTATACTACCAAAATGGCATTCAAGGCTTGTACCACAGGTTTCGGCCCACCCTTGAAGTAACTCTCTTATGTCTACATGATTGCAAGATCATTGGAAACTATTTCCATTATGTCCTAAAATTTTTTGTGTGTCATATCCAAAAATTTTTTGCCAAACCTCAGTTATAATAATTTGCTTCTATGTTTTCTAGATATTGTATAGATTTAGATTTTATAATTATATCTATGATTTATTCTGAGTTAAATTTAATTTATGCTATGAGACATTAATCAAAGTTTTTTTATGTTTATATGGATATTTAGTTGTTCTAGTATTATTTGTAGCAAAGATATATCATTTCCCACTGAATTTCCTTTTGCAGTGTTGTCAAAAATAATTTTCCATATACATTTGGATCTATTTCTGAACTGTATTCTGTTTTATTTTTAAATCTGTCTATCTTTATGCCCAAGTCACAACTTTGTAATTACTATAGTTTTATAATAATTATTGAAACTAGATAGTGCTAGTCCCTCAATTTTTTTCTTTTGACAAGATTTTTGGCTGTTATAGGTACTTTACATTTCCATGTGAATATTATAATCAGTTTGTCAATTTCTGAAAAAAAAAATCCTTCAGTGATTTTAATTGGGATTACATGGGGGAAAATTGATATCTTAACAATTTTAAATCTTCTGAACTATATGTCTTCATTTATGTGGTCTTTAGTTTATGTCTACCATGTTTCCTCATAGTCACATTACTGATATAGCACATTTTTTGTCAGGTTTATGCCAAAGTATTTCATTGTTTTTGATTCTGATAAAAATGGTATTTTTATAAAGGTCATACAAATAGGAAGAGAGGAAGTCAAACATCCCTGTTTGCAGATTACATCTAACACCAGTCAGAATGCTGTTATTAAAAAGTAAAAAAAATAACAGATGCTGGTGATGTTGTGGAGAAAAAGAAACGCTTATACACTGTTGGTGGGAGTGTAAATTAGTTCAGCTGTTGTAAAAGACAGTGTGGTGATTCCTCAAAGACCTAGAGACAGAAATCATTCAACACAGTTGAGTATATACCCAAAGGAATATAAATCACTCTCTTATAAACACCCACACACACACATATGTTCATTGCAGCCTTATTCACAATAGCAAAGATATGGAATCAACCTAAATGTCCATCAATGACAGACTTGATAAAGAAAATGTGGCACATATACATCATGAAATACTACGCAGCCATAAAAAAGAATGAGATCATGTCCATTGCATGGACGTGGATAGAGCTGGAGGCCATGATCGTTGGCAAACTAACACAGGAACAGAAAACCAAATACTGCATGTTCTCACTCATAAGTGGAGGTTAAATGGTTAGAACACATGGACACATAGAGGGGAACAACACACACTGCACCTTAACCGAGTGTGCAGGGTGGAAGGAGGGAAGAGGATCAGAAACAATAACTAATGGGTATTAAGCTTAACACCTAGGTGATGAAATAATCTGTACAACAAACTCCCATGACATAAATTTACCTATGTAACAAACCTGCACGTGTATCCCTGAACTTAAAATAAAAGTTAAGAAAATAAAGAGTGTGGTTCAAAATATGTAATATTTTTAAAACTTTCAAATCATTTTTTGGTTGTATTATTTAAGCGGGTGATTTAGGGTTCCTGGTACAATCTTAACTTATCACACAGTCAAATCATATTATACTACTCAGATTGTATACAAGTCTTAGAGCCGTACATTTCCATTTCTATCTCTTTCCACCACCTGCCTTCTCAGACAAAACAAAGCAAAACAAACACAAAAATCAAACAAATCCTTACTTTTTTGGTAGAGTACTTGACTTTCATTCATTGATGGTGGTTTTGAACTTCTCAGCTCAAGAACTATAAAAGAATAAATTTGTGTTGTTTTAAGCTATAACTTTTGGAGTAATTTATTAAAGCAGAAATAGGAAGCTAATACACTTCTCAAATTTCAGGGCTCATCATCTTTTGTTGGCTAATGACTTAAAAAAAATTGTATTATATATAGTGTTTGTTTGCTTTTGGCTATTCCAGGTTGGAAGATAAGTCTGATCTCTGTTACTCCATCTGAACTAAAACTAAAAATCCTAATATGATTTTTTAAAAAAAAAATTGGGGGGAACTGTAAAGAAACAGTTATTTAATTTCCTTAAGACTCATGCATGGAGTTTCTTGTTTTATGGATCAAAGTTATTATTCTTCAGTGTATAAATTTTATGCAATTGATGACTTGAAGGTAGGAAACATGAGTGGTATAAAGATGGTGTCTCCTCCTAATAGTAAAAAAGAAAGTAATTTATACTGCTGTTTGGTGAAGGTAGCATAGTACAGTGTTAAGAAAAACAGCTCCGCAGTTAGATCTCAGTTTACTTTTTTATTTTACTCCTTTCTACTTTGTGTTTGAGGCAAAATGTTACCTACTCTGAGCCGTCATTCTGTTATCTACAAGACAAAGGTAATGTTCTGATGATTATTGCAAAAAAATGTTTTTTTGATTTATTATCTCTTCTAATGAAAGAGTGAAACTTTAGATAATGCAGAAATTCTAGGACCAGGCTACTATTTCCTCTTAAAAAACGGTTAGAGTTGGGGAAGAAGGGTTTAGATGCTTGGTTAGTAGCTAGGGGCTTTTGGATAAAAACTGAAGTGCTAAGGAAGCAATTGTAAATTTCCATATGGTAAGTGATATTTTTATAGTTAAAGCTGAGACTTGTACTGTCTGTAAGAATTTTTCAAATTGAGACTATCCTTTAGTCTCAAGAGTGAGCTAAAACTGAGCCAAAACTGAGGGCCAAAATTCTTTTGTTCCAAGGAAAATACTTTGAATGATCTGGTTAATTAACTTCAAAGCAAATCCCAAAACATTTGGTCTGATTCAGCCCCCTGATGTAGCCACCCTCTCCCAAGTGAGCTCTAGGCCTTACATAAAAGGAAAACAGCACTTACTGAATGCCTACCATTTACAATTTTAGCCCTTAAACCACATGACTTCACAAACCCCACAGCTTTCATCATGGGTGTTCTTCTCCCATCCTCTGACTCAGCTCTACCCACTTGCCTCTTCTCCACTGCTTTTTATCTTGTTTGCCTCTGTCATTCCACACATGTTGATTTTTGATAACTGCCTGCCTACATCTGGTCCAGGGACTTCTCCTGTTTGTTAGAACATTCCTGAACTCAAGGAACAAAAAGGTTACATTACAGAATAAAATAAACTGAAATTTTATGTTATATAACTCTTCTAGGATATAAAATTTTTTTATATTATAATTTACATTATCCTGACCTAGAGGTAGGCTACCCAGTTTGAAACCTTGCCCACTATTTCCTAACTGTGTCTCCATAGGAAAGCGACTTAATTTTTCTTAGCTCCCTTATATGTAAACAGAGACAATAATGGCACCTCTTTCGTTAGGTACTTATAAGAATTAAATGACTAATATATGTAAAAGCACTTAAAACTGTGATGCATGAAAAGCACAAGATAAATTAATAATCATTCATATTTCAAAATGTATGAAAATATATTATGATAATTAATGACTACTAATGATGTTATTCTACTGATAAATATATTAATTACCTGGTTTTTATAACATTGCCAGTTAATATTTAAAATACTTCCTTCCTGTAAGTATTTTAAAATACTTCCTTCCTGTAAGTATTTTAAAATACTTCCTTCCTGTAAGTATTTTAAAATACTTCCTTCCTGTAAGTATTTTAAAATACTTCTTGTAATATTTAAAATACTTACCGTGCCTCCTAAGTAACATATACTAAGGGAAACATGACGATTTCATCCCATTGATTATTTCACTTATATATATTCCACATTAGAACTTGGCTACCAAATATAAATCCATTGGAAAATAAAGACAAAGTTGGAAATTTTCTGCTGATTTAAAAATACACAAAACACCTAAATTTTGGATAATTTATTTTTTCTCTAGAAAGCCTATGTGTTTTGCTAATATAATCTTATATTTTGATGCACCATCAGAGGCATCAGAATTATAGACCTAGCGATTGTTACTGAACTGCTTTTGCAAACTCAATGCCCTATTTTACAGACAGGTAAGGAATCAGGTAACTCATAGCTTTGCGGACATTGTTTTATATGGTTTAATCTATTAGGGCAGAAGTTAATAGGGAGGAGGAAATGAGCTGTTATCTAACAGCTTTAACGTTTCAGTTGTGCAAGATGAAAACGTTCTAGAGATCTGCTGTACAGCATTGTGCCTACGGTTAATAATATTGTATTGTACACTTAAAATTTGTCAAGAAGTTAGATCTCATGTTACATGTTCTTAACCACAACAGACTATGTAAGGAGTGTGGATTGCTTATTTGTAAACGAATATCCCAAGCACGATCTAGACTTCTTTATAATATAATATACCCACAAATCATTTAGGGAGCTTGTGAAAGTATGGATTCTGAATCTGGTCTTCAGTGTGGCCTGAAGATTCTGCAATTACAGCAAGGTCCCAGGTGGCCTGTCAATGCTGCTCTTTCTTGAACCACGCTATGAGCAGCAAGGTTGTAAGATATGGGGAACTGCAGCAAGGATAGGCTAAAAACTAAAGCACATTAGATATTTTGAGGTCCACTATTGGTCCCCAAGTGCATCTTCTGCGCAAACTTGAGATGAACGTATTCTGTGGTTTTGAGATTCTTAATAAATTGTAATACTAAAATGTGCCTCCTGCACAATATGTACTAAGGGAAACGTGATGATTTCATCCCATTGATTATTTCACTTATATATATTCCACATTAGAACTTGGCTACCAAATATATATTCATTAGGAAGTAAAGACCAATTCATTAGGAAATCTGCTGATTTATGTATGGTCATACCATGAACATAACAATTTGAAAATTTGATCATTTAAAAAATCATTAAAATAATTAAGTTGCCTATAGAATACCAAAAGTTTATATGCCCTACTTCTTCCCTAACCCCTTGTCAAAATAGTTATAATCAACAGATCTATAGACATAGATAATAATATGTTCATACACATATTGCCTTAAAAAACAAATAAACAAATATTGGCTGAGGAACTATCTGAATCCAAGGCAAATTTCTGAAAATTTAAATACAATAGCAATGATTAGAGAACAGCAAATCATTGATATTGGAACATGTATTATAAGGCAAAAATTTTAAAGAAAAATGAATAATTTTTAATTAATGTTTATTTTTAAAGGAAATCATATAAAGGTATCAAAATATTCTATAGAAGAAAATCAAATAAATGTTCCTTGGTAGTTTAATTCCAAGAAAAATTACTTTTGAAAATTTAATTCTCTCATCTCTTTAAATAATAGTTAGAATAGTTTGTTATTTATCTCATGTGTGCAAGCATTCTACTTCTGAGAGATCTTGTGTTTTTTTGTTTGTTTTGTTTTGTTTTGGACGTAGTCTTGCTCTGTTGCTGGGCTGGAGTGCAGTGGTGCCATCCTGGCTCACTGCAATCTCCCTCTCCCCCGTTCTAGCAATTCTCTTGCCTCAGCCTCCCGAGTAGCTGGGACTACAGGCGCCCGCCACCACACCCAGCTAATTTTTGTATTTTTAGTAGAGACGGGGTTTCACCATGTTGGCCAGAATGTTCTCGATCTCCTGACCTCATGCACCGCCCGCCTCGGCCTCCCAAAGTGCTGGGATTCCAGGCGTGAGCCACCGCGCCCAGTGGAGATCTTGTTTTAATCTAGCTCACATTGGTCTGGGCATCTACTGCTCATCAGTCTCTATTATGCTTGAAGGTTAGGATATTGTGCCCTAAATGACACACTGGCTACCATTCACATGCTATGCACTAATACAGATTTATTTTTCATAAAAGACTTGAGCCCAAATAAAACAATATTAGATAGCTTTGCTTCTTCAAAAAGGCGCTTTGCTTTTCCCACAATTTCCTTTAATTTCTTTGATTGTTATTTCTAATTACTAGAGAATTTTACATTTGGGTCCCACTACCTTATAAAGCTGTTATCTCTTGAAGTGTTTATGACAGGGTTGGATGTTACCATGGAAATCATTGTGCTACTACACATTCTACATTCTGATTTTGATGTAATATTAAGATGATTATGGATAATAGTTGTTCAAATTTTAAAGATTTAGTAATACGATGACAAGGAATACAATTTTAAACATTTAAAGGTTAACAGATTTATGTTACAATGTGAACATGTTAAGTGTTCTTTTTCTCTGTTATGAATATATTCATTAGGGGGAATAATACAGTTTAATAACCTTTAAATATATGAAGCTATCATTTTATTACCAATTAAGTAAAAAATGATTCCTTCAATGAGCGAAGATTTGTTTTACTATCCTTATAAATGGAATTAATTAGGTCCAATAAGTATAAAGTCACTTGCCATCTTAATAAAATCCATATTCTTGATCGTACTAAACCAGCCACTTTCCAGATACCTCTAATTCATTTAGTGTGCATTCATTTTGCTTCTAACAAGTGCTTGAAAGATATAAGTGACTACAATGGGTGTGATTTCTCCATATTTTATTTATTTATAAGTTAGAGATCTGGTTACGAAGATACAGAATAGGAACCGGTCATTGCTGTGCTTATTTCATTAAAATGTTGTATTTTGGGTTCAAAAAGAAAGATACTGTCAATACCAAAATAGCAGAAATCCCAGAGAGTTAGGCAAATTCTAACTCTTAGATATTAGGTTGCTTTCCCGTATGTTATTTTTGAAGAGATGAAAGGCTTTTTAGTAGCTCTTTTCAGAAATATTGTTTTGACTTGCTTCATTATTTCATTCAGCCTGCTAAAACATCGCATCCTAAGAGAAGATCTGAACACACTATGTAAAATAATAGTTCCTAACCCTTGGTACTTATTCCGCGGTATTTTTTTTCAGAGCACCAATTATCACTTGGGATTGTATATCCTTTATTTAAAAACTGAGATATAGTTGTGATATTCTAATGCACTCACTAGTCTGTAATTTTCCTGAAGGCAGGAGCCTGATTTACTTTACTCATTGCTGATCCTAGCATCTCGAGCAATATCTGGTATAGCATGTGCTCAACAAAAATGTTTTCTTGGGTGAATAAAGGAATACATTACCCACTGTGAGCACTGCCCAAGGGCAAAGCATGCAGATTACATATTTGATACCAACAGTTACACTGATTCAGAGTAGTCAGTTGTTTTTGAAAACAGCAAAGTAGGGAAGGGGCAAGTCAACTGCTTGAAACACAGATGGGCTCACCTTATCCTCAGGAGTCTGTCTTTATATTTAATTTCTTGATTTCTACCTTTTCCTTGCTTTACATATTTTTCCTTACACACTACTATTTTCTTTGTAATTCAAACTGAGTTGATAAATAGTGTGAGAGATAAAAACCAAAATAAATGAATCTATTGTACAACTGCTAAAATTTTCACAAATGGCTAACAAGAAGTGAGAGAAACAGATAAGAGGACTTGGGCAGGGAACCTTTAGTTGTTATTTCTTCACACAATTTGTAACATTTGGGAAACAGATGTAGTAATCTGTCTTGTTGTTCATATTGAAATAATTGTTGCCACAAACAGATGAACTTCAGATGAACTTTAGTTTTAAATATTATTTAACATTTCTCGAAAGAGACTTTTTTTAATACAATGTCCTTGCTGTGCAAATGGAAACGCATAACAATTCCACTAGGACAAAGGGTAAATTCTAAAGGAAAAACAAATTGAAGTAGAGAACGATCTTCTTGGATTTGTTTTTCTTTATTTACGTTTCCGTCCATACACCACGCCATTGCTCATATGCCTCTGGGCACTGTTAGAAATGATCAAGACAATATTAACAATTGATCTTCCACATCTAACTCAAGATAAATGCCAAACTAAATCAATAATTTCACCATTGTACAGCACTTTGCTGTAATTTACTTCTAGGGTAATTCACTGTGTATGTGCATGAATGATTGAGAATTTTATCCCCAAGAGTGTCTTCAACTCAGCCTTAAGGCAATGTTGCAAAAATATCATTCTACTCACTCTCATATTTTGTCTGCCCCGAGCAGCTATACTTTTGGATATACTCAATACAATTAATTTCTGCACATTTCAGAGAAGGGAATGTGGTTCCACAGGTGTCATTTGTATTTCTATACTAACTTATAAACTTAGGGCATTGTATTAGGTTTACAGAAAATGCAGCGTGAGAAAATCACTTTACAATCAGTGGGAGACTCCTAGGGGGTAGATTATTTCCTAGGAATAAATGTGTGACTGTGTGAGAGAGATAGGATCAGGGCTGAAAACTCGCTTGTTCATTTCACCATGCCTCAGCTAAATGACTAAGCAGTGTGGTGAGAATATGGAAAGAGGGATTCCATTAAGACAGTCTCCAGGGGGTTTAGACAAAGAATCTTGTGATTACACAATGGGCTCATCCATGCCCTGTCGTTTTGAACTGAATTGGCCATTCAAGGACAGATCTTAATTTTTCTTGGTTGTTAGAGTAATAATAATGGACCTTGCTCTCTACAAAATACAAATAAAAGCATAACATTTAAACAAACAAAAATGAAAACTTCATAAATCCGAATTTTCTAAAACAAATTTTTTTTTTTTTTTTTTTTTTTTTTTTTTTACGGACTGAATCCAAATTCTAAAGCTGCATCAAAAACATGAGTGTTGTTTGTGACAAGGTCCCAAGTGGATGGGACAAGGGACTATTAGCCATGAATGGTTCTTATTCTATCTCAGACTAATTAAGTAACATTAAGCAAGTCATTGGACATCCCAGTGTTTCCAGAGTCTCCTGGTGTGTAAAATGGAGATGTTCCCTATTCTAAAGCACAGTTAAAGTGCTAAAGTGATAAAATGGTATTGTGGATACAAAAGGGCTTGGAAGGGCCATGCCAGTGTTTTGCAAATAAAACTATCAATAAAGATGTCCATATATATATAATATAATATATAATATTATATGGTATGTTTTTATATAATATATATATTATATTCTACATTTTTATCCAGTTTATTAAACAATTTAGGGAAAATGCTAAGATGGAGTATAAAAGAACTATAGCTAGGAAACAGGTTGATTGTAAGAATTACTATAAACTCAACCAAACTTTGGTCAGTTTGGTCATTTGCTATTATTGTGTGATTTTTTTTTTTACTAAATATACATAGATCGCCCATATTATAGATGTGTGGAAGCTTAGGTTCTTAACTCCTAAACTTACTACCAAGTGGTAATAAATGCAAATCTCAAATTCATTCTGCCATATACAACAAGTAAACAGTTAACTAGAGCACACACATGCTTTTATAAAGCCTCAGCTTGCTAAACTTTTAGGAATGTTTGATTGTATCTTTCTTAAAGCATCGTCAAGATACATGCAACAATATTCTAACAAAATTTGATTTATGAATGAGGTTATACAATCTGCCTGTAACTTTTCTGGACAGAGGATCTATCAGACCACTAAACTTTAAATGCTATAGCTTCTTCATACAAATAAGGAAGTATCTATATAATATTTATTGCTGTTTCACATATTTTAATTTCATCCTACCAGTGAATATCATCTCTGATACCAGTATCAGAACAAAGGTTCTGTTGGAAGCTGGATGAGAGATAAAGGTAATTGAAACAGTAGCATCTCTGAATATGGGTTTAACACTTGAACATTTCAAATGAAAACCAAGCACCCCTGAAGAGCTATTTCTGACTGAAAGTCCTCAGATTAGTAAGTACCAATAGGGTGTAGATTAAAACAAATTTACACTTACTTGTCATTTTGCCTATTCAGAAAGATTTTAAAGTAAATTGCTGGCAGTATAAGAGCCCTATGTGCAAATTTATCAGTATATTTCTTGACTTCTTGGTTCTAATCAGAATATTGCTCAGTCACCGAGTTCTAATATGGTCAGTTATTCTATGATGCTTGTTTAGAAGATGTAAATTTATTCCAATGTGTTTGACATGCTAGGGAACAATTTGAGTGTAACATTAATTTTGCATTTATTTATGGGCAATTTCATCCCTGAGAAACTCTAAGTGAATATGGGAAACTGTCCCCGGTCAACTGAGCCTGGTAGGATACACAAACTACACACATGTAACACACTCCTTAGTTCATCACAGCATGTGTGATGAGCCACACCTGTCCACATGTGGTATGTAACTTTCAGGTAACACTTCCACCACCTCCTGATAAGCAAACTTTCTTTTCAAATAAAATGCCATATTAATTGCAGGATTTATGTATTTCCTAACCATGTAACATGCAAAATTTTGCTACTTTTTTTGGTTGCTATCATTTCTTAAATGTGTTACTCTTGAAGATTTCAAGTGTTGTTCATGACCAAATTTTCCATGGTTGAGTAGATTTTTTTAATGGTTTGATTTTGTTTAGCATAGTGATTCCTAAGAACATACGAGATTTAATTGCAGAACTGGCTGTATTTACAATGAAACTCCCCACGTAGTGTTTTCAGATGTCTGCAGTACTGGCTAGAAGCACAAACAGCATATAGGCTACTTTTTGTAGAGTCTATGTAACTCTGTAGCTACTTTTCCTTATTTTCATAAGTAGTGGTGATTGGCCTAAGTAACTGGGTAAAGTGTGTTGAAAGTAGATAAAGATATTTCAGTGTGCTTCCTGATAAGCCATGGGATTATCTGGAAAAAAAAAAATAAGATGAGTTGGCTTTTAAAATTTTACTTGGAATTTCCCTTGATTGTTGGATTTATTTTCTCTCAGTCTTCATGTCTCAGAGTTTATATAATAAACTCTTGATATTAGTTGAGTAAATATACGAATATATGAACTGTATAGGTACCTTCAAAGGAATAAGTAGAAATTCCCCCACAAAATACACTAGGGATATAGAGGCAGCATGGTCTGATGATGGTCAGCATGGTCTAATGATGACATCTATCAGGCACCAGCTGATATGAATCAACCAAAGTCATGGCACCCCTTGTTTAGTCAGTAGAGATGCCGGCTACTCATTTGTTGAAAACAGAACATGGGATTAGCTTTTTAATCTCACTAAAAGACCGTGTGTTGACCCTAGACAAAGCAATTTTTCAGTTAAGAAAAATATTTTAAAATCATTTTCTCTTTCTTTCTTATATACATAATGACAGGACCAGAAAAACTAATAATTTAACAAATATAATCTGAACTAATGTTAAACAAAATGTATAGAATCTGAAGATTTGTGGCAAGTTTTAATTTACTAAATAATAATGATATAAGTGAATTTCACTGCTACATTCAAGTCCATCAGCCCAGAGAGCATCTCACATTCACTGTTTCTCAGTATGATTAGATCCGAGTGGGAATAACAGGAGACTTTCGATATTTTCTGGTCAATCGATTGCATTGTTTCAATGATATTTCTTTGGACTATGTATGGGTTATTGTGCCCATAGCCATGGAGCATTTGTAATATTATTCAAAATAAGGTTCACAGTGATATTCATTTCTAAGTAAAAAAGAATCCTGTTAAATAGAAGCCACACAATTAGAAAGCTTTGTCAGAATTTTCCGTGTATGTATGGACCTTAATTATTCCTGCTTGAAAGATGAACTTGAGGTTCTGTCAAATCCTAAATTGCCTATTGAATTATCAGTATGAATTTGGAATAATCAGTATATTCATATTCTACTGAATGCAAATAATTTGAAAATATGTTCTACATAGATTATTTATATCAATGCTGAAACAGATCTTTCAGTGAAGCATAGCTGTTTGGAATAGAAACTCTCATAGCTTTAAGTCATTCAGACATGAGTTAAAATCTTGGGGTTTTCCACTAGTTACAACTTCTGTCATCTCATTTTACTGTTATAAGCCTCCGGTTATTCATATATGAAATGGTACACTCATGTTTACTTTACATGGTGATTATAAAATTAAATGAGATAACACTATATCAAATACCTGATGTATTTATTCTCAGTGCAAAGTATTGGTTTTCAATCTCTTATTCTTCCCCTTCATTCTCTGACAATTTCAGTTTTAAATGACATTTTATGGGATATGTAATTCAGCAATTGATTTATAAAAATATTATTTTGTTGGGGTTTTGAAAGAATTGATGCTATCTTCTAAGTTATGTTGTAAAAAAATAAACAGGGTGGTAACTTTCTTCACTCTAACTTGATAATGTTAGTAATATAGAATATAGGCTTCAATAACTCTTCTAATTCAAATATAGCTGCAAAACTCCGATCAAAGCTCATCCTGTTTTTGGTATAACAATGGCTAGCATCAGAAAATTTCCCACAAGATCAGCAGAATTATATAGCTTCCTCCAATGGAACAAAAGCTTTATGTGGTTGATCATTCACTAATTGTCCAGTGAAATTTGTAAATAATGAAATTCACTAGAAGGAGTTGAGAAGTCATCCTCATTTGGCTCTTATAATCAGTTTTGCTTCTTCCTTTCTACACATTGGCAACAATGTTTTGGGATATCAGAACTAGATTTCTGTGATTGATGTTTGTGTAGTGTCACCCATGGGATGTTTGAACATTTTACTGGGGAACAGTGGGCCTACTTTAAAATCTGATTGATAGGTTTGCTTATGGAACACATGAAAATAAAATAATTATATGGGTCATATGGTCCATGTATAAATGATATGAAAAAAGATTCTGTGGTTCATAATAAAAGCATCAAGTTTGCAAAAATCTTAAAATCACAAACTCAACTTCTTAGAACAGTATTTTTTCCCTGAGGTTTTTTTTTTTTTTTTTTTTTTTTGACAAGAAGGCACCAGAATAAGTAAGATTTCTTGTTTTCTTTTACTTTATTTAAAGTGTAAGGAGTAATGACATGGCATATTTATTAGCATATGTTCCTGTCAGTCATGTGGAAGACATAACATAAGCAAATTCTATTCTCATTTTCCTACAATTAGATATAATGAACCATGATGGTCTTTTTGATCAACTACACAGATTAAGTAACTTTACCTTAAAAATTTCATGAAGCCAGCTGTGTGCGTCCAATGTCTCTCATCTTCAATTTATTACCAAAAGTTGGTGGATTTAAATTACTTTACATAGAGATGTTTAATAATTTGAAACTATGTACCATATTGTAGATAATTTAAAACATTTCCTGCATTAATTAAGAGAGCTTCTTAAATTATTTCAAGTTAATTTCTCAGTCCTGTGATATCCAGAAAATTTCTTTCAACTTACTTTGCAAACTCAAAATACTTCATGGACTCAAAGTTTGGGGTTGAGGGATTTTCCAAAGAAGTGTGTCCTTAGAATATTGCCCAGTCTTTGGGTGGAGATTCCTAGGAGGATAAACCTTTGAAGTAAGGATAAACTACAAATAGATGGGCTCTCACAGGGATAAACTCAGGTTTGAAAAATCTCAAATTGATTGGATTAATGTCTTCTGAGATTGCTAGTGTCCATAGCACAGCTATGTAGATATGTATGTATATAGCTATGTAGCTATATAAGCTACATAGCACAGCTATGTAGATATGTATATATGTATATAGCTGTGTAGCTATATAAGGTAGATATAAGTACTCTTTTATGAACAAAATGTCAGTATCTTAAATCATTCTTATAATTTATGTATAAAGTCTAGTGTGCAATTAAAAATAAGACATTTAGGGAGGCAATGCCACAGCACTGAAAAGCAAGAGGAATAATAGATAGTAAAAGGAGACCTAGAGAGGACCTAGGTAATGGGAGAAATTCAGAGAAAATAATATAAATGATTACAGAAATTGAGATGGAGAAAATATTTTAAGAAACGTATAAAAAATCTTGAGGAATATAAATAGAAAAAATACTGTAACCCAACTTAAGAACTCAGTCAATGTGTTTAATAATAAATTAGTTATAGGTAAAGAAAATTGGTGAACAGGGAAATAGGTCTCAAGTGAACATTGAGACTGATATTTGAAAAGACCAAAAACAACAACAACAACAACAACAACAACAACAAACCACACAAAAGGTTAAAATAAGAATATGGATAAGATGACAATATATTCATGCTATTTAATGACAAGAATATGATCTGAGAAATTTGTCCTTAGGTGATTACTTCACTGTGAGAACATCATAGAGCGTACTTACACAAACCTAGATGGTATAGCCTACTACACACCTAGACTATGTAGTATAGACTATTGCTTCTAGACTACAAAGGTGTATGGAATGTTACTGAACTAAATATTATAATATGGCATTATAATCATATGAAACTACTAATGTATACGTGATCTGTTCTTGACAGAAATGTCATTATGTGGTGCATAACCACAATTAATTTCTAAACTGGAAGGTTTGAGAGTAAAATTTGGTTACCAAATTAGTTCAATAAATATTTATAAACTTTGGTCAGTAAAACCAAGATACATCGTCATTCCATACATAGCGTACATTTAAAAGGCCAAATATAAAGTGTATTTCAAGTCACAGAATGGGAAAATTAAGAAAATGGAGTGAATAAGTATTTGCAGAGATAACAGTATAGAATTTTCCAAAATTAATGAAACACATCAAGTCAAAATTTCACCAAGCCCTATGAAGCCCTTCAAAACCTGTCCAAACTCAAATTCACTTTTGGTATGAAAGATTAGGCTCCTAATAAATAAATCATCTAAATATATAACTATTTACTCTAAAATCAAAAACAACTGTCTCAGTGAACTAAAGCAGGAGAACTTTGCTAGAAGTATCCGATTTGTTGTGAACTTTGCATTTCCTGGCTAAACTCTGCCATCTTCTAGGCTAGGGTATTCAAAACAAGGAGACTTAGACATAGGGCCACAGGACAGCACACAGAGGGAGCCCGAAAAAGAAGTCAGAGAGAGTACATGTCCAGTTTAGTGCATAATCTCTGCATTGTATCTCCCTGACTTATGAACTGCTCATATGCAGGGTAGATGAAAAGCATTCTAAACTGTGATCCAAGCTGCTACACATTTTGGATGTGGCAAATTTGCAGTTTGAGCATTACCAAGTTAATTTTCAACAAAAACAAAAACAGTCTTTGAAACTATATAATGGAACCCAGAGCAATATAAAAGTACTCTTTCCAAGGTCATGAGAAGTGAATGGCACCCAGATGATGTTGGAGTCACCCTCCTCACTCATTCCTAGGCTGCTGCTGCAATGGTGCAAGAGTTGTGCCTGCCACATCTATCTATGCTTCAGGTTTCCAATTGCAGAGGGGCTGGTGGTTACCTCATTGATATTCACAATGTCTAGGATAAATATGCCAAATTCAACATAAAAAATATTAAAAGGTAAAAATAAAAGAAACTATGACCATTTCAATAGATGAAGAAAAAGCAAAAGTGCTTTTGTGCATTGAAAAAATTCAACACACATTCATGATAAAATAAATTGGCAAATTAGGAGTAGTAGAGAACTTCATTAACCTAATGAGTGGCATATATGGAAAAGCCTTCAGGTAACATCATAAACTGTGATTTAAAAAAAAAACAACAAACGAAGTGCTTTCCTTCTAAGATTGAGAAAAAAGCATGAATGTCTTTTCTCTGCAATTCTAACCAAAATGGTACTGAAGTGATAAGTATTCCAACTGCACAACTTAAATAGATGCACTATATTGTAAATAAATTATACCTCATATAAGTATATTTAAAAATCCGCTTACATTTAATAGCCATCAAAGTCTGCAAGAAACTATGAAAGAATACTAAACCTTGGTAAATAATAGTAAAACTGCAATAAAACAAAGACAAAAAGGAAATCTTAAATGCAGCTTGAGAACATTATGAAGTTAATATTTTATGTCCTGCATTAACCAATAAACGTTATCCATAGACTTGAATAAGTCAAAAATCTGCATTACAATCTCTAGAAGAACTGTCATTCAAAATGCTTCAAGATTGCATAGAAAAAAATAATTGATGTAAAAATGCGGAATGAAAACAATAATTCAAAGATGTCAAGTAATGAAAAACAGAGGCATAGATTAAGTGAGACAAATTAAATGCTAATAGTTTATTATGCTAAATGTCATAATTAAATGGCAAAACCAAAGAGACTGGTTAAGAAACAGCAACTATATGCTACTTAGAAGAAACACACTTAGAAAAATAAAATTAGAATAATTGAAAAATATATGCCATGCAAATACAAAAGAAAAGAAATCTAATAAAAATGTTTAAACTGCAGATAAGATGAAACATCTTGTTAGCTAAAGAGTGACATTTTATGAAAAACTTTTGTTATGACAGGAATATATAGCGATTCTAAATGGTAAGACCCATTAATATAACTTCAAATATAGCTAACAAAATTGGCAGCAACTAAAAAGAAAAAAGATAAATACACTATTATATTTGGAGATTTTCAAATAATTTTCTCAGTAGCAGAACAAGTAGACTGAAAATTAGAAACATATACAAGAGTTTAACAAAAACTAAGTCAACAAACGTGGACTAATTATCATATACACAACATTGCACCTACTGAATGAAGAATAAAGATCTCTTTAAATTGCTCAAAGATAATTTACTGAAATTGAACATATGCTGATGCATAAAGCAAGGAACAACAATTTCAAGTGAATAAAATCTTAGAATATGTTTCAGATCCAGTGGAGTTAAGATGGAAATCATTAACAAAAGAAAAGGTAGAAATCTAATAAATAATTTGAATTCATAAAATGCATTTCTTATAACTTTTAGGTTTAAAGCAAATATAGAAATGGGAATGTGTAAATATGATATATCAAAAGTTGAGAGATACATCTATATTTCACTGAAAGAAAATGTAGAGCCATACATGTGTACATTAAAAAGAAGAAAGCTGGAACATTAATAATCCAAGACTATACTAAAGGTCATCAGAAAAATCACAGCAAATTATGCCTGACAATAACAAAATATAGAAAGCTTTATGGGAACAAACAGATATGTTTAAAGCAGAAAATAAACCTATAAGTAGAGGTGTAACTAAGTCAGAAGGTAGTTCTTTGCAAAAACCAATACAACTGACAAACACTTCAAACAGCTAGGAAGACTAATAAAGAACGAGTAACTAATAATTAAGTAATATAATAAATTTGAAAATATATAAACAAAGATACATCTAATTTTAGAGAAAAAAATAGCATGTATTATGAAAAAGCTAGGTCAATAATTTTGATAATTTAAATGAAATGTACAAGGTCTAAAAAAATAAACCTATCAAAACTCCCATAAAAAATAAACAATTAAGACTTTTGATATATATTCAGTATTAATCGTCTATCACTCTGGCTCAGATTGCTTCACTGATGAATTGTATCATATATTTAAGGACAGAATGACATCTCTCTTACATAAACTGTAAGAGCAAATAAGAAGACAGAAAATATTTCTCAACTTTTTAAATGAAGTCAGCATTACCTTGATAGCAAAACTTGGCACAGTCATTGTATTAGTCTGTTCTCACACTGCTAATAAAGACATACTTGAGACTGGGTAATTTATAAGGGAAGAGGTTTAATTGACTCACAGTTCAGCATGGCTGGGGAGGCCTCATGAAACTTACAATTATGGCAGAATGGGAAGCAAACACGTTCTTCACATGGCTGCAGGAAGGAGAAGAACGAGAGAAGTGCAGAGTGAAGTGGGGTAAAGTCCCTCACAAAACCATCAGATCTCATTAGAATTCACTTACTATCATGAGAAGAGCACAGAGGAACTGCCCCCATTATTCAATCACGTCTGAAGAGGTCCCTCTCCCAATATGTGGGGATTACAATTCAGGATGAGATTTGGGTGGAGACACAGAGCCGGACATATCAGTCATGATAATAAAAGAAAAGTACAAGCCAATCTCATTTATTAATTCAGAAGCAAAAGCCCTAAACAAATATAAACCAACAAAATTCAGTGACAGAATTTACACCAAAAACCAAGCAGGACATATTCCAGAATGACTTCCTATTTGAAAATCAATCAATATTACTCAGAAAGCTAATGGAGTAATAATATTAATACAATCATACTATTATCTCAAAATATTTAGAAATACATTTGATACAATCTGAAACCCATTCATAAGAAATTTGTGGAAACCTGAAAACTTTGGAAACCTTTATTATTAATAAATAATAGTTCATTACTAAGATGATAAAGATACTTATAAAAGAGACTTCATAATATACCACCAATATCTGAAGTTGTTTTCAAATCTGCTTTATTCATAGGTGACTTCATCTCCTAAAGAAGCTGTAAATTCTTTTAAATTGGGAACCATGCCATGCAATCAATTTTGTATTTGTCTTTACCACTGTACTGGGAAAATAATGCACACTGAATTGATTCCAAAGTCAGTGATTTTTTATTCAATTTTCTCTCTGCTTGGAATTCTGTTGATCCCCATCTTCATAGAGCTAGTTCTTTGTCATCATTCGTATCTACTCAAAGATCACCTTCTCAGAGAGAACCTTGCCAACCATCCTAGCCAAAATCATTCCCCAAAGTCTCTCTGGACAAGGATTAACTATGTTATCAGGGATAAAAACAGTCAGCTGATGTGACTACGGATTCATGTATGCATGTCACAGTATTTTTTAATTCTTTCTAAGTGTCAGGGGTTCTTCTGCATAGATGGGATAGAATAGTGATGAAAACGTAACCCCTGATCTGCTTCATTTTCTGAGAAGATAGATAGTTAAAGCAGCACATATTAAAATCTCAGAAAATGATGAATGCTTGATGTTAATAAATCATAGTGGCACCTCCAAAATAAATTGTAGCCCTTTCCATCCCTGGGTTCCTCCTGTAAGTAGTAGCACCTAAGATTGAGATTACATTTTCATAATTCAAACAATGCATTATGATAATCACTTTATCCTTAACAATATGTGCTTCAAAAAAGTAAAATGAGATCATATGTGTGTGTGTGTGTATATATATTATTTATTTATTTATTTATTTATTTATTTATTTATTTATTTATTTATTTGAGACAGAGTCTCCCTCTGTCCTCTAGGATGGAGTGCAGTGGCACGATCTCAGCTCACTGCAACCTTCACCTCCCAAGTTCAAGCAGTTCTCCCTGCCTCAGCCTCCTGAGTAGCTGGGATTACAGGCGCCCGCCATCACACCTGGCTAATTTTTATATTTTAGTAGAGATGAGGTTTTGCCATGTTAGTCAGGCTGGTCTCGAACACCTGACCTCAGGTGATCTGCCCTCCTCGGCCTCCCCAAGGGCTGGGAGTACAGGTGTGAGCTGCCGCGCCCAGCTATATTTATATTTTTATAATCTTTACAATTACATTAAAAATGAAATCTATATATTTTGATCAACATTTAGAAACAATGTTTTTAGTACCACATATTGGAAACTTTAAAAAATATTTTTCAAAATGATTTTGATGTAGTTTTTAGTAGGAGTTATGCATTAAGAATGTGACTTTTCCTTTCCTGTAAACTCCAGAATTTATCCTCCAAATTGTCGGGTATATACTGCTTTTTAATAAAGCTCTTGTCATTCTGTAGTGGTGCATTACTAATTAGACAATTATTTCCATACTGGTAAAGCATCACTGGAAGTATTTATTATAGCTCTTGGACTGTTAAAGAGTTACCCAGTTATAAATTGCTAACATTACATTAGGTATCATTTGCCACACAGTTCAAAATTGCTTGTCTTTTCTCAAAGCAAGTGTTGCATAATTACAGTAAGTGACTGCAATTACGAACCCATAACTTTCAAGAATGACATTTATTGACTTAATTGAAGTAAATTAGGAATGTAACTTTTATCTACAAACACAAAGTTAATAAATATTGCCCTTTATAGAAGACCTTAATTGTATAAATTTTGTAATCTGTACATCATGTATTTGTTTCTATATTCTTGTATTCAACAAATATTTTTAGAGTACCTAGTATATGTAAAGAAATGTAGACATGAATATCAATAGGATCAGCAATATAATGTAATGAGATTTAATGAATTCATATTCAATGTGACCTGGGAATTTGGCTGCTTATATGCCATCTTAGCCAGAATTAGTAGAAGCATGGTGACAAAATTGAGAGAGGCAATATTTCCATTCCACGGTGATCCATGTTGGTCAGATAACAGATAGGATTATACTTTTTAAAAAAAATACAGGGCCTCACTCTGTCACCCAGGCTGGAGTGTAGGGGCCTATTCGTGGCTCACTGCAGCCTCCACCTCTTGGGTTCAAGAGATGCCTCCACCTCAGCCTTCCAAGTTGCTGGGACTACTACCCACCTATCTGTATGCCAACATGCCCAGCTAATTTTTGTAGTTTTTGTAGAGACAGGGGTTCACCATGTTGCCCAGGCTAGTCTCAACTCTTGCGCTCCAGCTTTCCTCCTGCTTCGGCCTCCCAAAGTGCTGGGATTACAGGAGTGAGTCACTATGCACTGCAATGCTTCATTTTTAATACCACATTTCAGGAGGACATTGCCAGACAAAATGATATTAGAAGAAAATATTCAGGATAATGGGACTGGAAATCTTCATATAAGGAAGAGTTGAAGAAATTGGGGCTGGTTAGCACTAGCTAAAAATAAAAATAAAAATAGAAGAAGATGGAGGGGTTAAAAGAAAGTGTAATAAGTGCCAAGGCTCTAATTTTCATGATAATTCATACATCGTATAATGTTGCATCAATAATTAATAAAAACTTTTTAAGGAGAAAGAGACTGAAACATAAGAGTTAGAGAAGACATTAAAGACTATAGAGAATATAGGTAACATAATTAATGAATAAATCCAATAGACATAAATTAAAATCATATCCTGAAATAAAGAGCATTTTCTTTGTTAGAGTGAATAGAAATTTTAAAAACTTCAACAGAATAGAAACTTCGAGATTGAAACTAAAAATTACTTGAAATATGAAAAACTAGAGCCTCAGAAATCTGATTATTAAAAACACAAACTGCCCTTAATGACCCTTTTTTTCAAAGAATACAATCAATCCTAAATTGCCATATATTTTATAAGTAATAATGATTAAACCCTTCAAAGCTAAACCTTTGGAAGCTAACTAAAGCAACACTCATAGGGATATTTATAGCTTAAATATTTACATTACTGAATGGAAAATAATTAAGCTAATTGAATTATCTACTTATCTGAAATGGTTAGAAAAATAATCAACCAAGGGGCCAAGATGGCCAAATAGAAGCGGCTCCCAGTGAGACCAATGAAGAAGGCGGGTGATTTCTGCATTTCCAACTAACATTCTCATGGGACTGGCTAGGTGGTGGCTACGACCCACGGAGAGTGAACAGAAGCAAGGTGAGGCATCACTTCACCCGGGAAGTGCTTGGAGCAGGAAGACTTCCCTTCCCCAGGCAAGGGAAACAGTGAGGGATTGTGCAACCTGCCAGGGGTGCTACGCTTTTCCCGTGGATTTCTGCAGTTGGTGGCCTATGCCACCAGGGCCCTGGGTCTTAAGCACAAAACTGGGTGGCTTTTCAGGCAGACACTGAGATGCAGGAGTTTTTACATAATCCAGCAGTGCCCGAAACTCCAGTGAGACAGGAGAACCATGCACTCCTATGGAAAGGGGGCTGAAACCAGGGAGCCAAGTGGTCTGGCTCAGCGGGTTCCACTCCCACGGAGCCCAGCAAGCTAAGAACCTCTGGCTTGAAATCCCCATTGCTAGAACAGCAGTCTGGAGTCCACCTGGGACGGCCGAGTTCCACTGGCGGTAGGAGGGCCGTGGAGACCTCCATTTCTGTGGGTTTAGTAGGTGGTTTTCCCTTGACAATGCTAAGAAGACTGGGAGATTTGGACTGGGTGGAAATCCCCATGGTGCAGCAAAGCAGCTGTGGCCAGACTGCTTCTCTAGATCCCTCCTCACGGGGCAGGGCGACCCTGCAGGAAGTCCACTGGCTCCAGTCAGGGGCTAACAGACAGAACTCTCATTTCCCTGGGACAGAGCACCGTGGTCCCAGGTTCAGCAGACTTAATTTTTCCCGCCTGTCAGCTCTGAAAAGATCAGCTGATCCTGACAAAAGGGATTTCCCCCAGAATAGCACACCAGCTCTGCTAAGGGACAGACTGCCTCCTCAAGAGGGTCCCTGACCCTGTGCCACCTGTCTGGGTGAGACCTCCCAACATGGGTCGGCAGACACCTCATACAGGACAGTTCCGTCTGGCATCAAGTTGGTGCCCTTCTGGGATGAAGCTTCCGGCGGAAGGATCAGACAGCAATCTTTGCTGTTCTGCAACCTCTACTGGTGATACCCAGGTGAACAGGGGCTGCAGTGGACCCCCAGCAAACTGCAGCAGACCTGCAGAAGAGGGGCCGGACTGATAGAGGAAAAACAAACAGGAAGCAACAACAACAACAGCAGCATCAACAAAAAAGACCCCACAAAAACCCCATCCAAAGTCACCAGCCTCAAAGGTAGATAAACTCACAAAGAGGAGGAAAAACGAATGCAAAAACGCTGAAAATACCAAAAACCAGAATGCCTCTTCTCTTCCAAATGGTTGCAACACATCTCCAGCAAGGGAACAGAATGGGGCTAAAGCTGAGATGGATGAACTGACAGAAGTAGGTTTTAGAAAGTGAATTTTAGAAAAATGAATTTCGCTGAGCTAAAGGATTATGTTCTAACTCAATGCAGAGAAGCCAAGAAGCAGGATAAAAGATTACAGGTGCTGTTAACTAGAATAACCAGTCTAGAGAGGAACATAAATGACCTGAGGGAGCTGAAAAACAGAGCATGAGAACTTTGTTATGCAAACACAAGTATCAATAGCCTAATCGACTAAGCAGAAGAGAGAATATCAGAGCTTGAAGACTATCTTGCTGAAATAAAACAGACAGACAAGATTAGAGAAAAAAGAATGAAAAGAAACAAAACCTCTAAGAATTATGGAACTATGTAAAAAGACTGAACCTATGACTGATTGGAGTAGCTGAAAGAGATGGGAGAAAGGAACCAAGTTGGAAAACACACTTCAGGATATCATCCAGGATAACTTCTTCAACTTAGCAAGACAAGCCAATATTCAAATTCAAGAAATCCAGAGAATCCCAATAAGACACTTCATAAAAAGATCTACCCCAAGACACATAAACATCTTATTCTCTAAGGTCGAAATGAGGGAAAAAATGTTAAGGGTAGCAAGAGAGAAAGGCCAGGTCACCTACAAAAGGAAGTCCATCAGACTAACGGCAGACATCTCTGTGGAAACCCTGCAATCTAGGAGATTGGGGGCCAATATTCAACATTCTTAAAGAAAAAGAAATTCCAACCCAGAATTTCATATCCAGCCAAACTAAGCTTCATAAGCAAAGGAGAAATAAAATCTTTTTCAGAGAAGCAAATGCTGAGGAATTTTGTGACCACCAGGCCTGCCTTGCAAGAGCTCCTGAAGGAAGCACTAAACATGGATAGGAAAACCTGTTACCAGCCACTGCAGAAACACAATGAAGTACACAGACCAATGACACTATGAAGCGATTACATTAACAAGTCTGCAAAATTTACCAGCCAGCATCATGATGACAGAATCAAATTCACACACAACAATATTAACCTTAAATGTAAATGGGCTAAATGCCACAATTAAAAGACACAGAATGGCAAGCTGCATACAAAGACAGGAACCATTTGTGTGCTGTACTCAAGAGACACATCTCATGTGCAAAGACGCACATGGACTCAAAATAAAAAGAAGGAGGAAAATTTACCAAGCAATTGGAAAGCAGAAAAAAGCAGAGGTTTCAATCTTAGTTTCTGACAAAATAGACTTTAAATTAGCAAAAGTCAAAAAAGACAGAGAAGGGCATTACATAATGTTGAATGGTTCAGTTTAATAAGAAGAGCTAACTATCCTAAATATATATGCACCCAATACAGTAGCACGCAGATTCATAAAACAAGTTTTTAGAGACCTACAAAGACATTTAGGCCTCCAAACAATAATAGTGGGAGACTTTAATACTCCCACTGTCTAATACTGTCTGTATTAGACAGATCATCAAGACAGAAAATACCACCAGAGAATATTATAAACACCTCTATGTCAATAAACTGGAAAATCTAGAAGAAATAGATAAATTCCTGGACACATACACCAGCCCAAGACTGAACTAGGAAGAAGTTGAATCCCTGAAGAGACCAATAACAAGTTCTGAAATTGAGGCAGTAATAAATAGCCTACCAACCAAAAAAAAATATCCCAGGTCCAGATGGAGTGACAGCCAAATGCTACCAGAGGTTCAAAGAGAAGCTGGTACCATTTCTCCTGAAACTATTGCAAACAATTGAAAAGGAGAGACTCCTCCCTAACTCGTTTTATGAGGCCTGCATCATCCTGATATCAAAACCCAGCAGAGATACAACAAAAAAAGAAAACTTCAAGCCAACATCCCTGATTACCATCGACGCAAAAATCCTCAGTAAAGTACCGGCAAACTGAATTTAGCAGCACATCAAAAAGCTCATACACCACGATCAAGTCAGCTTCATCTCCGGGATGCAAGGCTGGTTCAACGTACAAAAATTAATAAGCGTAATCCATCACATAAACAGAACTGAAGACAAAAACCACATGATAATCTCAATAGATGCAGAAAACACCTTTGATAAAATTCAACATTCCTTCATGTTAAAAACTCTCAATAAACTATGTATTGAAGGAACATACCTCAACATAATAAGGGCCATTTATGATAAACCCACAGCCAGTATCATACCAACTGGGCAAAAGATGGAGGCATTCCTCTTGAAAACTGGCACAAGACAAGGATGCCGTCTCTCACCACTCTTATTCAACCTAGTGTTGGAAATTCTGGCCAGGGCAATCAGGCAAGACAAAGAAATAAAGTTTATTCAAATAGGAAGAGAAGAAGTCAAATGGTCTTTATTTGCAGATGACATAATCCTACATCTAGAAAACTCTGTCATCTCAGCCCAAAAGTTTCTTAAGCTGATAAACAACTTTAGCAAAGTCTCAAGATACAAAATCAATGTGCAGAAATCCCAAGCATTCCTATACACCAACAGCAGACAAGCAGAAACCCAAATCATGAATGAACTCCCATTCACATTTTCCACAAAGAGAATAAAATACCTAGGAATACAGCTAACTAGAGAAGTGAAGGACCTCTTCAAGGAGAACTCTAAACCACTTCTAAAGGAAATCAGAGAGGACATAAGCAGATGAAAAAACATTCCACGCTCATGGATAGGAAGAATCAGTATCAAGGAAATGGCCATACTGCCCAAAGCAATTTCTAGATTTAATGGTATTCCCATTAAACCACCATTGACATCCTTCAAAGAATTAGGAAAAACTATTTAAAAATTCACATGGTACTAAAAAAGAGCTTGCATAGCCAGGACAATCCTAAGCAAAAAGAAAAAAGCTGGAGTAAACATGCTACCCGACTTCAAACTATACTACATGGCCACAGCAACCAAGACAGCATGGTACAGGTAAAAAACAGGCACATAGACCAGTGGAACAGAATAGAGAACTCAGAAATAAAACCACACATATAAAACCATCTGATATTCGACAAACCTGACAAAACGACGCAATGGGGAAAGGATTTCCTATTCAATAAGTGTTGCTGGGGGAACTGGCTAGCCATATGCAGAAAATTGAAACTAGATCCTTTCCTTACAGCTTATACAAAAATTAACTCAAGGTTGATTAAACACATAACTATCAAGCCTATCAAGCCTATCAAGAAAGAAAGAATAAAGGGGAAAAGTGACATCAAATTATATATGAAAAAAAGTAAGATAATATATAGGTGAACCTTGTAAAATACTGGAGAAAATAAAATATTTTATATGAAATGTAAATTGCCTGAATGGACTCCAGAAATGCTGGAAAAGCAATGATCAAACATCCTGGAAAAAAGTGAGAGCATAAAATGTATCAAGCTCTCTGTCCCCATGTCAATTCTTTCAAATCTTTAAAAAATTCCAAACCCCCTTGCTACTTTAACTGTTTCAGAGTTGAAAAGGTGGGGGGCGGTGCATTACAGATTATTTTTGCAAAGAAAGTATAAGATTGTATGAACTTTCAAAACAACATGTAAGTGAAAACTATGACACATTAGCCTCACTTTTGAAGCTTAATGTAAAAATGCTTAAAAATATTAATAAATAGAAATATGCAACACATTAAAAGAAAAACTTATCATGTAAGATTGTATCCATTAACAAAATATAGGTTTTTTTATAAATCTACTATTTTAATTTATAAACAAAATTGATCAAAAGTAAAATAACACTAAAAGTTTTTATAGTTACTTAAAAGGCAATTGATAAAAATTAATATTCATTTCTGATAAAAGCTGTTTCAGAAATATGTATGAATATACACACATAGAGCCAAAGCCATAATCATGCTTAAATGTGAATTGCTAGGTTATTACCATTACAGTCAACAATGCCCAATATTGGCACTATTTTAAAGTACTTTCTGACAGTTCTTGACAATGCAGTTAATTAAGAGAAAGACATAATTGGTATAAACATTGGAAGAAAATAATCTAACTTCTTATTATATGCCAGTGATATAGTATTATACCTGGAAAACATGAGAAAGTCAATAGAAAAGTTTGTGGAAACAACAGAAGAATTCAATGAGAGCTATTTATAAGAGAAAATACAGAAAAGCAATAGCATTTTTACATGCATATTATATATATACATAATATACTAAGTCTCTGAACTGGAAGTGTTCAAGCAGAGAGAAGGCAACTGTCTGTCAGTGATAATGTGGAAGGACCACCTACTTGGGTAGGAGTGCAATTATTCTGGGTGAGTATTCTGAATATCTTCTTGGACATTGGACCTTGGCCCATTGGTCTGACTTGCTCTATGTACACACATGATTTTGGTTCCTGCCTCTTCCCTCTTACTGATTTGAACTTGTCTTGATCCTTCCAAATAGACCATATCAAACTGAGTTTTTCAATCGGGTGGATTTCTGTCTTCTAATTAGATCTTCAGTATGTACTCAAAAGTCTGGAACATAGTGGACATTAAATAAATACTTATATAATGATCACATTTGCCCTAATTTTCCACTTAATTCTGATTTACATATTGGTTTTGTCCCTCAGGATGAGGGTTTTGTAAAATTTGATATGCTTAATTATTTCCAGATTTCTGTTCCAATGTTGAGGATTAGAGTTCTCCTATTCATCCTGTCCAAAATTATGTCTTCTAGACATTCTTCACAGAGAATCTATCCAAACCAAAAATATATATGTGAAAGGTTCAGGGGTTTTGGAACTATCCTAATTATAAAGAAAGGTTTTTATTTATATGCATATATTCCATTATTTTTTCTGGAAAATTGGTTTATAAATTTCATTTTAATTATACTGTATATCCTTTTCCTGTGCTTTGCTGTGTCTTGCTGATCCCAGACCCATGCCTTTCAATACTCACATTTGGGTGACAGAATTTGTGTTCCTGGAGATGCTACATTTGATATTTTCACCATCATTATCAATGATACGTGTGAATGATAACATTCAGCCATTATATAGGGCAAAGTGTATGGGCTATTTTTTGTGTCCATAGTATATTACATGGTGTTTGGCATATGTTATAGGCTAAAATATTTTTTCATGACTTAATGCCTGAGTTAATCAATGAATAAATTCTATCAGGACAGTTTACTTAATATGATCTTCTAGGACACACTCAGTTTAGCAGTGTAGATACAATGAAAAAGAATGACTTAGTTGCATAGAGAATACCTGACAGCATGAGTTTTCACGTGGCTATTTTAGGGCTAACTAGGCTTGCATAACTATACTCAGAAATAGCCAAAAAAGGAGATTGGGCCAACAGTGTAGAGTGCTTTAGCCTCTATTTCTAGGAGGCAATTGCTGTCTCTGCATATCTCTATGTGACAAGCATAACTTTGAGTTTTAATCTAACTATCTTTACACTCTTTCATTTTTTATTTATTTTGGCTACTGTGATGTATGCCTTAGGGAAAATGTATCTTGCTAATTGTCTTAGTCTTAAAACTTAAAAATCAATAATGTATGTATTAAAAGAATAAGGATAGTTAGCATCAGCACAGTCTCCGAATTTGGACTCTGTAGGATGCATAGACTACGAAGAGAAAACTTCTTGTAGCCATTCTCAGAGATGGGAGGCTGAACGGGGAAAGTAAGAAACTATATTTCTTCTGTCCGTATACTTATGAGAGCAAAATGATCATAAGATTAAATATATATTCTATTTTTCATCTTTCTAAATTTAGATATGCCATGTATTCTTGAATGCAAAATAATTATACCTAAGCAAAATGCTTCTGAGTGACATCCTATTTTGCTTCCCATGACTCAGGTTAGAGAAATTGGTGGAGATCCACAAGTTCTTATGGCACAGTCACTAGTTATTTTAATCAAATTAAATGTTTCCTGATTTCTAAGGGTTACACAATTTCTGATAAAAAAAATCAATACATGATGTCATGATGTATTATGTAGTTAGAAAAATGTAAAGTTAATTTTTGGTAGTTTGGAAATCCTGGTTTCTAAATTATGAAGACAATTAAACAAAAAATAATTGTTTCTTTACATATTTTTAGGAAAGCGGATAAAATGAGCTTTACTGTTTATGAAATTAGACTAGCATTTTTCCTACAAATGTTTATAAATTAATTATTTTAAAATATTTATACTCATTTATGTTAACTCATGATTTTTAAAGTCCAATTCAACTTTTAAAAGTTTTGCTTAAGTCTAATCTTACTTTACAAACACCTCAATTAAATAAGCATTTACTGACACTGAAGTATTATAGTAGTCTGTGATGAAATGAGGTAAAGCTGAATAGACTTTAGTTCTGTTCTTTTTCAAAGAAACAATCATCTCATTTATAAGGCAGACAAATAAACAAAGTCATAAAAAATTCTTTTATGTATCCTTCCTTTCCATTCCCTAAACACTCTCTTTTACTCTGCTCCCTTTCTCCCTTTGTTTAGACTTTTCTTCATGTATTCTTTCATACCCCAACTTTTTCCTCTCATGAGACTCAGCATATACTCCATCAACATTAAGTGTGCTTCTTATTATAAATAAGAAATTTTGGTAGCAATCGAGGATGTTAATTTACATATAGAGTGATAAACAGTGATATGAGATCATTATTTAAATTGCTAGATGTAGTGATATTATTGTGGTTATGTAAGAAGGCATCTTTGTTCTTATGGATGGATATTGAAGTACAATGAGGGAGAAGTCGCAAATTTTAACTGACCTTAGGTGCTATAGAAGGAAAAAATATGTGAAGCATTTACTTCAATGTACTATAAATTATTAATTCTAGAAGATGAATGCATGTATTCTCTTTATAGTTCTGTATAATTTGAAATTTCTCATAATAAAAATTTAGGAAATGGGCCCTTGGAAAGGTGCAAATGCATACATTGTCCTTGGTGTCTCAGATAAAAGCATTCTCACAATGAGTGAGCCTGTATATAACCCATTATACTTATATTTTATTCTCCTTCCAAATTGCCTACTAATTGTTTCTAAATTGCTTGAAGACAGAGAACCCATATTTTCTAAACTTTAGGAATAAGCCTTGTCTTCAGCATACTTGCATTTCTTTAAAACATTTGTATTATGTATGAATTGTAAATGAGACAATATAAATAAAAGTGGTTTAAACAATATATCATTATCTGCCTGATCTTTATTCTAGAGTGGCTTCATCTTTAACATTGCCATAGCCAAGATGGCTGATGAGGTCCAGTCTACCTGTAAGTGTGGAGAATAGAAATGAGACAAGGGATCAAAACAGCCAGTATCATGTGTTATTATCTTAAGGAGCCTTCCCCAGGGTACTACTCAACAACTTTCCCATGAATCTCTATGGCCATGACTAGTTAGGAGGGAAGTTGGGGATTCAGTCTTTTAGCTGGACAAGTTGCCACCTTGAATACAATTTATTTTATGTTTCTGAGAAGGAAGAGGATAGTAAGGTAGTCAATTTATATTCTCTATACAACTTTGGTTGACGATAAATTATGTTTTGTAAAAGTTAAATTTGAGTAGGAGTAGTTAATATTGACCTTCGTGAAAGCTATATATATAAGTTCCCATTCAAAGACAGTAACTGTTATCCATATTTTAAGAAAGTTAAATAATCTTTGGCTTATAGAGAAAACTGGTGCTAATTTAAAAAGATATTCATCATTTTATTGTTAATTAGCTTTATAATATAGTAGACATGCCATTTCCCCCTCTGTTCTGTTATTATTATTGGGCCACAGAACCCATAATCTAGCATAATAAATATAAGGAGAAAGCCTAAAAAATAAAAACTAACTTTTCTGTTATACAATATATTGACTATCCTAATGGTTATCAGTCATCGATAAGAATTATTTTATTTTTGCTTATGTTGCTACTATGTACTCTGAAATGGTTTCTTAGCTGGATGATTTTTATTCTATGAATTAAAGAAACTTCACTGACACGGTTTGTCATTATTCTTATATTCTTATATTATTAGACTTTCAGCTATGTTATCAAAGCTAATGGTTTGTTACCCATCCCTGTCACTCTTTCCCTGTCTTTACCTGACTTCTCTCTGCGGCTGCCTTTCTGTAGCTCTCATCACCATAGAAAAGATTGCCTTTTTCTTGTGATCTGTCTGTGGCCAAACAACTTGAGACCGGAATTTTATGTATGGAACAAGACAGGAAAGAGTGAAATGAGGGAGGAAGGAGGATAACTTCATTATTATTAGGAGAGTGAGGTTGATGCTGTAGGTACTCAAATATATCTGTGGCAAGTGAATGAATAAATAAAAAGATACACTTAAGACAGAAAAGCACAAAGTCTTGCCCTACTGAAACAGAAAGCTTGGTCTCAAGCCTCACATACTTTGTATAAAGCATCACTAGTGTTCTTTATCAAAGAAACAATCATCTCATTTATGGCAGACAAATAAACAGTCATAAAAAATTCTTTTATGTATCTTTCCTTTTCATTCCCTAAACAGTCTCTTTTACTCTGCTCCATTTCTCCCTTTGTTTAGACTTTTCTTCATGTGTTCTTTCATACCCCAACTTTTTCCTCTCATGAGACTCAGCTTATACTGCATCAACATTAAGGTGCTTCTTATTATAAATAAGAAATTTTGGTAGCAATTGAGGAAGTCTATTTACATACAGAATGTTAAACAGTGATATCTTTTAGCCCAGTGGTTCTCAAACTGGATACACATTGAAACTATCTAAGGGAACTTCTTAAAAATTCTCATACCTGAGCCATATCTCTGGAGAGCCTCATTTTATTGATCTCGGGGGGAGTCCTGGTCTCTCTAGATGATCATTCTGTGCCTTCAGAGTTGAGAACCACTTTTAAGCTTAATTGTTTTTCTTAAAAATTACAAATGGATCTGACTTTTAGAACTTTACATTTCTTTGGTCATCCAGTTAATTGTGATACAGTTCTTTCAAGAAATAAACTGATAAAACATTTCTCGATTTTTGATTTAATTAGATACAGAGGAATAAACTTTGATGTTTAACATTTCTTTGGATTGTCAGCCAATTTAACCCTCTACTCTGAGCTAGATATCTGTTATACTAGTGGCTATATCAGCTGCTCTTGGCAGACTCTTTATTCCATAAAGAAGAAAATTATTGCATGATGTGTGGGACTTCTAGCTTTGATTGTTTACTGCAAAGTAACTTATACGGATTAGAATTAGAAACATGGTTCTAATCTCTGAAGCTGGTTCTTGATGCCCCAGATCAGCAAAATATCCAGTAAGTTTTACATTCAGACTTATTTTTTCAGACTTAATTAATGCCCTTTTCCTTCTTAACATTAGTTTTAACAAATAGAATATTTAAGTAAGAAACTGTGAGTTCCGAGTGTTTTTGAAAATCTCAAAATTCCTCTCCAAAATTCAGTGTTTTTGAAATGGTTGAAAGAATTAACCAATATTCCAGATTAGTCTTTCAGGAATGAAGATTCTGAAAATATGGCTACTTCTTTTGGGATTGACTGGTGGGGAGGTTACAAACATAGAAAATAATTCAGGAATAAGGTATCAAACGTATAGAATTACCAAGTAAATTTATTTGCATCTGTAAGCCAAGTATATCAATGAGGAAGGTGGAATCGAAAAAGAGAAAGAAGTGGATCTGTAGCCTTAATATTTATTGATTTATCTTACTTAGATTGACAGTGTAAATTGCCCCGAAATCACCGGGTAATTAGGCAACCTTCTGCATGGCCCTGAAGCAGCCGTCTTGCTACTACATAATTAATAATGTTCTCTTCAAAGTATGAGAGATAATCCTTTGATTGAATGCTCAGGTTTCATTACATTACTAAATAAAATGAAACAATAATTAGAGCAATGTGCAAGGTAAGGGAAGTCCATATCTTTATGTGTTTGTGTGTAGAGCAGCAGAAGAATTAATCAAATGAAATGTGAAATTATTATGAATAATTGCAGGCATATGGAGATGATCAGCTTGCTTGCAATCAGAGTTTTGTAAAAGGACAATACACATGCTTATCTTTCCTTGTTGAAGCCATGTACATTTTGGTTTATAACTGAGCTCTAATATCTAGAATTACAGCAAAGCCTTTATTCTTTTTTAGGGGTCTTTGTAAGGTCCCTATTAAAAAATTGAATATTTCATTTTAGTTAAACTCTATTATTAATTCCCATTGTGAAAATTAATTTTTCTTTTCTCAACACTGTCAGAATATCTTCTTTATATCACTCCAGACACCCCTGTTTTAATAGGCTTCTTTCATCCTTATGCCATATCCTTCTACTTTCAGTAATACCTTGTAACTGCCTTACATCTTATTTTCTGAAGTCTCTCCCTACAGCTAGTAATATGTATGCCTGTATTGAGTCTTCAATAAGTGCTTGATGAATGCATGAATTCAATCAAATGAAAGACATCGTTAAACATAAAAAATAATAAAAATAAGACTATACATCCTAGGTCCTAAGGATAATAATTCAAAATGAAGCCAATCCTTTACCTAGCCCCCAAATTAAAATAAATATTTCTATTAGCCTTAGTAAGTACTCATGAGTTATGTAAAAGGCACTATCAGAAAATTCAATGCACACTGAATAAAGGCTAACACTTGTGATTTCAGAATAGGAAGTCTTATTAATTACTAATCACCTATTAAAGCTTCAGTTCCAAATTCTCAACTGTTCGTGGGAATTTTAGTCACTTTGGAAAAAAAAATGTTTATTTGTTAAGCAGCAACTATTTGTGTGGAACAATGCTTTATATTATGGGACTTGAGAAGAGAAGAGGGTCTCCATAAGGGACCGTATAAATTGTGCATTTCCTAACTGTCAAAAGGGAATGAAGGATTTATTTATGCACAAAATGATGAGAATGGCACTTCATGGAAGGTGCCTCAAAGTACACACATGTATTAGCATTTCTGCTTTCCTATCATCTTGCTTATCAACATACCAAAGGAACATTTCCAGTTTTCTTGGAAATTCAGCAGGGGGTCCACAGTTGAGGAAACTAAGAAATAAATACTTTTTTAAAAAGTTCATTGACAGATTTTGGCATGATTTACTAGTAATAGGCCAAACCATGCAAACTAACTCTCCTCTTCCCCACTTCCCATCCCTACTACCCATAGGCTTTATAAGCCGTTGTCTAAGGTTTGGTGGCAGAGAAATGTTAGCCTCATGGTAAATGTGGTGGCATTTATTTTTTCTTCCCTCTAAGTGAGAAGGAACCCAAGGAAACTACCTGGAGAGATTGGTGGTACCCACAAAAAGGAGAATAATATGTTCCCTGATAAGATGTTTACTGTTTAGGCCTACGCTGGTGCACCATAATGATACTTGCTTAAAGAGCTTTTCAGAGTTTGGGGGCCTCCAATACTGAAAGAAGTCTAAAGTTAGGAATTGTTCTTAGCAAGGCAAGATGACAGAACATAGTGGAATATGATGGACCCTCTCAAATTAGTGAGGCAAGACTCTGGGACTGTCTAGTTGGCCAAGAGAATGTTGTAAAATGTAACAGCCTTTAGCAATCTTGATATTCACTGAAGAAGAATGACTTCTAGGGAGGAAGGGCCAGGTAATAAGAGGAGCCTGTGGGATAAACTACTTGGGATAGAAACTGAGATAGGGTATGTGGAAAGAGATCCCACAAAGATTGGATTATCCATCTAAGAAAGCTACACCAGATGACAATCCATATGGGGTGCCTCTCTAGAACTCACATTTATAATTTTCCCAGGACTATTGTAATGAATTTCCACACATGGTGGCTTGAAACAGCAGAAATATGTCATTTTACAGTTCTGGAGGCCAGAAGTCCAAACCCTAGGTGTAGGCAGGGCCATGCTTCCTTTAGAGGCTCTAGAAGAGATTCTGTTCCTTGCCTTTTCTGGTTTCTGGGGGCTCACAGCATTCCTGGACTTGAGACAGCATCACTCCCATCTCTGCTTCTGTGTTTCACAATGCTGCCTCCTCTTTTGTCTGTCAAATCTCCCTAAATAAGGGAATGAAGAGACTATGTATTATAGTCTGGATATTCAAGGTTCTGCTACGGTGGCAAACCATCTTAAAATATTAGTAGATTAAAAATACTTAGGTTCATTTCCTATTCTTTCAAAATGTCCGTTTATTGTAGATAATGAGTTCTTCATATTGTATCTCTTTAGGAATACAAGCTGTTGGAAATTTCAGTCAATGGCAGAATGAAAGATTTTAGGGCATTGCATTTTGTTTCTTAAAGAATTCCACCTGGTAGTGACACACATTTTATTGGGCAAAGCAAATTATATGTCTACACTCAATATCAGAAAGGAGTGAAAGTGTAAACTACTATATACCAACTGTGTAACTGGAAGAAGTAAACTAAAAATATTGGTTAATAGCACTAATAGACATCACACCAGGATTGACTTGAAGATTCATGAGATATTTTGCACAGAATTTGAATATTTACAGGGTAGCTAGAATTTGGACAAGAGGAGGGATATAGAGATGCTAGGGAAAAATACGGAGAGCCAAAAGACTTATAAAAATAAATAAGTTTAAATTAACTCTATTAACTCCTGTCACCAAACAATAGATTCCTGTAAAGGCATGTTTCTCTGATTTCAACCCAAGATTCCCAGGCTTGAAAACTTGGAGTTGAGAAACACATCATGATAACAAAAGCCTTCAGTCAGGCTGCATTTATTCTCATTTATTCATGTCCAGTGTTGCTTTAATGGCTAACCAAGTGTTCTCCTTGTATCTAATATATACTTTTCAAATGCAGTCACTGATATTTTTTTTCCTAAAACTCTCTTTGGTCACTTTCATGCTTAAGAATTATAATTTTTGATTGTCTTTTATGTCAATTGCTTAGTCTGTGTCCAAGAGGCTCTGTATATTGACTATTTAAGCCATCTAAACTTATTTATGCTCATTTTTTGTACACCCCCAAAAATAGTTTCCTTATTTTAGCAAAGAAAACATGTTAGTTAATAGCACCATGTTCATTAATAGCAGTTTTTAAATGTTCTCCAGTTGGAGTACCCATTTTTCCTCTTCATTAGTTCATAAAGTGATTCCATTCAAAGCCCACTTTATCCATGAAATAATTTCTATATTACCTCAATATATTTCCTCTTTAAATTGTATAAACAACAACAACAACAACAACAACAAAAAGAAACAAAAGAAAAAGAACTTTAATGTATAAATGTTAATTTTGATATAAGCATTTATGTTTTTATTTGATAAAGGAGAAAACTGAAGTTTAGAATCTGAGAAAATATCCCCAAATTATAGAGGTCATATGACATATACCTGGGATTAAGTTTCAGGTCTATGCAGTGCTTAAACTTGTTTAAACATTATAACTTCTCCTCAATTCTTTTAAGATGAATAGTCTATCATTTTACCTAAATGTGGATTCTTATTTTCCTCGGCATCACTTCTATATGCATGTCTTCTCTTGCAGTTGATGATAGGTAGTTCTCATCCAGGGATCTTTGTTTTGTTTTGGTGTATCCCCACACCATTGAGCACTGTGGATCTAAATGAAGACCAACCAAATGAAAAAAGCAAATGCTACTTTTCTGTGCCTGTTATAGCAGGGGAGTCAGCCACCGTAACTTGTGTTTTGGCAGTGACTCAAAGGCAGCCAAAGAAGTGAAAAGTTTTATGGTAGAGAAAAGGGAAGGCTTTAGATGTGTCCTGATAGGAGGCTGTTGGCCTGGGGAAGCTGGAGGAAGCTAACTAGAAGCAGGGTATCCTATGTAATTGATGAAGGGTACGTATTTGGCTTTTTCTGGTTTGTTCTAAGGTGGAGTTGGGGGAAAAATTACAGAAGGTGCAGTTATTAAGATCTGGTCACTTAGGGCTGGTTATTACAGAAGTTATTGGTTAGCTTCCTGGTTGGTCACTAAAGAGAGCAGTCTGGCTTCCTGTAAGCCTGACTTATAGCAGGATTAGATACCTGGGTTGTTTATCATAGGTAAGGGGTTGGTTTCGTGGGTATGGCGCAGCATATTGTGCTTCTGAGTTCTATTATTAATATTATATGTAGTTTAGCCAGTGTCTGTTTGTATATTCTCTAAGCACTGTGTTGAAAAAATGAGAAGCTATCAGAAAACACTCAATAATTTTAATTTGGCTATGCCATAGGGAAGGTGAAGTGGCTCAGTTCCATCCCTGAATTGTGATGATCTGGCCATATTTGTGATCTATTATGTATGATTTCTTCACTACTGGACCATTTTCCACTTCTTCAAGGTCAGAACAGGGATGGAAGAAAATCTCTAGTTCAAGGAGAGTGGCTATAATTGTTTTAAATGACTTTGAGGTTGAACTACCTGAATTCCAATTTTAATCCTAAACCTTACATAACATTTGACCTGGAATTTATTACAAAATATCTTTAAACTTTCATTTCTTCCTCAGTATGTTAGAAAGTATGATATTACCTCAGGGGACAGTTGTAACAAATCAAGAAAAATTAGGATCTGATTCATGCTAGCTCCAAGAACTGACATGATTATTGAATACCTTCATATATAATTCAAAATAAAGACATTTCTAAACTATGAATTAATTGGAAAAAAGTAAAATTTTAAAATTTCCTATGATTAATCATTTTATGCTTCTTTGAAAATACCACATATTAAATTATTTCTCCATTCTCTTTTGAGAGTAGGTTATTTAGGTGTTGCTGGTGCCTTAAACTCTTGTTTATTTATATACTACTTATTAGGTTTTTGGTGGTTAAATTTTGCTTCATTCTTTATAGTGATTTTCACATGTGTTTGAATAGATAGATGCTAATCCATGTATTTCTGCTTATTCTTTTAAGATTAATTTTTAATTGACAAACTATTTTACAAATTTATGAGGTACATTGGATTGCTTTGATATATGCATACATTATGGAATGATTAAATTAAGCTAATTAACGGAGCCGTCATCTCACCTACTTATTTTGTGTGTCTGTGTGTGTGTGTGTGTGTGTGTGTGTGTGTGTGTAGTAAGAACATTCACAATTTATCTTAGCAACTTATATACAACACAACTCATTATTAACTATGGTTACCATGCTGTGCAATAGATCATTAAAACTTATTTGTTCTATCTGAAACTTTGTACCTTTTGAGCAACATCTCACTTTTCCCCAATCACCCCCTCAACAAG